>NC_000017.11:82885364-83247441 GCF_000001405.40 Homo sapiens | reverse complement strand
ACCACACCCACACCCACACACCACACCCACACCCACACCCACACCCACACCCTAACCCTAACCCTAACCCTAACCCTAACCCTAACCCCAACCCCAACCCCAACCCCAACCCCAACCCCAACCCTAAACCCTCACCCTCACCCTCACCCTCACCCTCACCCTCACCCTCACCCTAACCTAACCCTAACCCTAACCCTAACCCTAACCCTAACCCTAAACCCTAGCCCTAGCCCTAGCCCTAGCCCTAGCCCTAGCCCTAACCCCTAACCCCTAACCCCTAACCCTCACCCTCACCCTCACCCTCACATGTAGATGAAAACTTTACAACTTACACAAATAATCACTCAAAATCATCCTTACACTAAAAATGCAAAACTATACAATTTCTAGAAGAAACTATAGAGGAAAAGCTGTGTGCCTTTGCGTTTGGTAATGAATTTTAACAAATGACACAGAAGGTTGATATACACAGAAGAAATGACAATGTGGATTTCTTAATATTTACAGTTTATACTCTGGAAGAGACCTTGTCAAGAGAACAAAAACACAAGCCACATATTGAAGAAAATATTTGCAAAATACAGATCTGAGAATTTGTATTCAAAATATATAAAAAATTGTTAAAACTAAACAATAAGTTAAACAACCCAATTAAAAATGCACACAGATCTGAACAGACACTTCACCAAAGAAGATCTACAGATGGCAAGTACACTTACAAAAAGATGCTCAACATACTAGAGAACTGAAAACCACAAAAAGATAGCACAGCTGGTCTATATCTCTTAGAACTGCTAAGCTCTTTAACAAATGACAAATTGCTGGAGGAAAAACAAGAACTCTTTTCATTGCCAGTGGAACACAGTGTATAAGACCAAACTATGCCACCCCAAAATATAATGGTAGGAAACCAGAATATGCAACCCCAAAATATGTCCCTTTGGCTTAAGAATTATTCCAAGCTAATTATTTTGGAAAAAAAAAATGCTAACAAAGGAAGTTGTGAAAATAAAGTAGAAGTTACTTGTGTAAGGAAAATTTACATCTATAAAGGAAATCACCATTTAAAAGCTACCTCTCTCAACACCAAGAAGAGAAGGATAACTAAATCACTGAAGAGTCTTATCAATGGAGAATGCATGGACTTAAGTCTGTATAACGAACCTTACCCTTGTCTAATGTGCTTTTGCTGGTTAACTCCCCACTACTGCACCTCAAATCTTCTTTCTTTAAGTTGAAGATAGTATTTATGCTTGAATTGAAAGCCACCTGTTGGAGATTTACTCATTTTTCCCTGAGTATCTCCCATGTAACCATAAGATATACATGTTTTTAAACTTTTCTCTTTTTCTCATTTTAATCTGTCAGTTTTTACAGAGCGTTCCATCTAAGAATTCCAAAAACAGAAAATTATTTTTCCTCCCCTATTACAAGTTGGGCATTTTTTTCCAAAGCTAAACAAGTCTCACCTTACAATCCAAAAATAACATTCCTAGGTATTTTGACAACTACTTTGATGTTATTTCCCATCAAAAGCTACCATGCAGTTATTTACAGAAGCCCTATTCATAATGACCAAAGGAAAAAAAAGGAATCAGAAAGTCTTACAATAGATGACTGTGTGGGAATCCACTCAGACATCAAAAGTTGTTATAAAGATTATTTAAATGAAAACATTTGAGATACTGAAGATGAAGAAATCTTACCAGAACTTACTTTATCCAATTAAAGCACAGCTCCCAGAAAAATACAGCTGCCATTAACCCCATCCAAGGAGTTTCTTGCAAATTCAGCTGCCATGAAGACAGCGTACTCTTTCCCATTAGCATTGATAAATGAAAATTAAATTCTAAGCTCCCAACTGACTGAACAGACCCACTCTTGGCTGAGGGGACCCCAGAGTAACTTTCAAAACTGAGTTCTCAGCTTTGCTAGGATGGGATGATGGGGTTAAGATACACATCGTTATACCCCCTCCTTTGCTAACCATGATGAGGCTTTCTTCCCTAAGGATTTAACAGAAACCAGCCCTTTCAAAGCCTCCACCACTGATATCAACCTCTCCTTTCTTCCCTGATAAGAGACCACCCACGATGGAGAGGTTCTGGCCAGCGTACAGAGGATGCACAGAGCAAGTTTTCATGTCCTCTACTTCACCTTTTAATGTCAGAGGGCTGAAAACTCCACCCTGGGATCATGCTAACACTGCCATTTTTTGTACATGGGACCCATGAAGAAGCAAGAAACTCAATTGTGCGTGCATGCATTTCTCCTTCCATAAATATTCATGACTCCTCCTAGAGCTTATTAAATAAATCTATTTGGCCATTCCACTCAGCATAAGTTGCTATTTCCTTTACCTCCTCCTTGAAGCATCTGTTTCTGGCTTCTGGCTGGAGGCTATGCTTCCCAGCCTGTCAGAAGGACAACCCTGCAGGCTACAACCCTTTATAGAAAATAAATCTCTCACTGGGTGGGTGGCTCATGCCTGTAATCCCAGCACTTTGGGAGGCCGAGGTGGGTGGATCACCTGAGGTCAGGAGTTTCAGACCAGCCTGGCCAACATGATGAAATCCTGTCTCTACCAAAACTGCAAAAAATTAGCCAGGTGTGGTGGTGGGCATCTGTAATCCCAGCTAATCAGGAGGCTGAGGCAGGAGAATCGCTTGAACCCAGGAGGTGGAGGTTGCAGTGAACCAAGATCATGCCATTGCACTCCAGCCTGGGCAACAAGAGTGAAACTCTGTCTCAAAAAAAATAAAAATAAGCATAAAAATGAAGAAATGTCTCCTTTCCAAATTTATGAACCTCATCATTCTTCCGTTCACAGCATTAAAAGGTTCAAAAAGACCTTTCCATACTCTCCCACAGAAGCCCTAGAAATTGTCATTTTGTTCATCATTCTGGATGCCTGAGAACTTGTAATCCAATGAGTAGAAAGTTTGGTACCCCATTTATGGCTGTCAACCTGCCAGTTCTCAGGAGTTTGTATAAAAGCCTAAATCCGAAAGGATCTCATCCCATTAGGACCCTTGTCTCCTTTTCTGTTGCCTTTGCCCACTGGCTCTGGCAACAGGGGTCTTTCTTTCTCCTTGGCTATCTTTGGATATGGGGGCTCCGTCTTCTGTGCCACCTTAGGGAATGCCTTTTGCAGGCATGGCTAAGTCATTAAAAAGCCTACAGTTTTAGTAACATTTTGAGTGAGCACTCTCTGAAGCTGCGTTGGAATCTCAGGCTTCTTTGTCTGGAAGATAACTCTTGGGCTACAAGTTTCTTATCCTAGCTTTGGTTTTGAGGCCTCTCTGTTCTCCTCTTGGGTTGGAAGTTATTCCTGGCTTTTTGTTTCAAGGTGTCTGTGATCTTGATCTTGCTGCTTTCATGGGAACTTCTCACTTCACTAAATTCTCCCTTCTCAAACCTCTGCTGACTATGTGTTCCACCAATATGGAACTAATTCTACTTCTTTTCCTGTTTGCATGACTTTACTAAGAATTATTTACAACTTTAATGGCTCCTTTGAGAAAATTTTTATCTTCCAAATTGCCTCCTTTTAGACCTTTCCTTTCCCAGTTGAGTCTCTCAACTCCCTATAATCACTGAAACTTCAGGCACCCCACTCCATGCCTTGGAGGCTCTCAATGTGCTCAAGAATCTGCAAAAGCAAACACCTGGGGCTGAAGAATAAAATAGAAAAAAAATTATTTCTCAGCCTCCATAAGATTCTATGTCAAAAAAAAAGAAAATCTTTAAAATCTCCAAAAATATTGGTGAGAAAAAAGCCTTAGCCCTCATATGAAGAAGAAAAAACTTGTTCCATTTTCCAGATACATAGTTATAATACAAATATAAAATGGGGCAAAGACAAAAACCAAGTCTTCTATATAAACTAGTGAATTGTGTAGTTATTGTAATCACATTAGTCAGGGGTCTCCAGAAAGGCAGAATCAATAGGATATATGTAGACAGATGAGAGAAGATTCATTAGGGGAACTGGTTCACATAATTATGGAGGCTGAGAAGTTCCACAATAGCCTGTCTCCAAGTTGGAGAACCAGGAAAGCTGGTAGCATGGCTCACTCCAGATACAAAGGACTCAGAATCGGGGAAGCCAATGGTGTAACTCTGATTGTGAGGCCAAAGGTCTGAGACCCTGAAGTTCTGATGTCAAGGGCAGGAGAAGAAGGATGTTTCCATTTCAGAAGGAGATAATTCACCTTTCCTCTTCCTTGTTATTCTATCTGGGCTCTCAACCAATTGGATGCTGCCTGTATTCATCCATTTTTATACAGCTATGAAGAAATATCTGAGTCTGAGCAATTTATAAAGAACAAAGGGGTTTAATGGGCTGACAGTTCCACATGGCTGCAGGGGCCTCACAATCATGGCAGAAGGGGAAGCAAAGCTATCCCTCTTCACATGGCAGCAACAAGAAGTGCTGAGCCAAAGGGGAAAAGCCCCTTATAAAACCATCAGATCATGAGAACTCACTCACTGTCATGAGAACAGCATGGCGGTAACCACCACCATGATTCAGTCACCTCCCATTGGGTCCCTCCCACGACATGTAGGTATTACAGGAACTACAATTCAAGATGAGATCTGGGTGGGGACACAGCCAAACCATATCAGTGCCCATCCACATTGGGTCATGGTTATCTCAGTGTCTTCCAGAAACACCCTCATAGATATGCCCAGAAATCGTGTTTGACCAGCTGTGTGTGTCTCTCAATCCAGTCAAGTAGACGTCTACGATTAACCATCAGAATATTTATGCCTGATTCATGGCTGAAATCGTGTTTGACCAGCTATGTGTGTCTCTCAATCCAGTCAAGTAGACGTCTACAATTAACCATCAGAATATTTATGTCTGATTCATGGCTGAAATCCTGTTTGACCAGCTATGTGTGTCTCTCAATCCAGTCAAGTAGATGTCTACAATTAACCATCAGAATATGTATGCCTGATTCATGGCTGAAATCGTGTTTGACCAGCTATGTGTGTCCCTTAATCCAGTCAAGTTGATGTCTAAAATTAACCGTCAGAATATTTATGCCTGATTCATGGCTGAAATCGTGTTTGACCAGCTATGTGTGTCTCTCAATCCACTCAAGTAGATGTCTAAAATTAACCGTCAGAATATTTATGCCTGATTCATGGCTGAAATTGTTTGACCAGCTATGTGTGTCTCTCAATCCACTCAAGTAGATGTCTAAAATTAACCATCAGAATATTTATGCCTGATTCATGGCTGAAATTGTTTGACCAGCTATGTGTGTCTCTCAATCCACTCAAGTAGATGCCTAAAATTAACCATCAGAATATTTATGCCTGATTCATGGCTGAAATCATGTTTGACCAGCTATGTGTGTCTCTCAATCCACTCAAGTAGATGTCTAAAATTAACCATCAGAATATTATGCCTGATTCATGGCTGAAATCGTGTTTGACCAGCTATGTGTGTCCCTTAATCCAGTCAAGTTGATGTCTAAAATTAACCGTCAGAATATTTATGCCTGATTCATGGCTGAAATCGTGTTTGACCAGCTATGTGTGTCTCTCAATCCAGTCAAGTAGATGTCTACAATTAACCATCAGAATATTTATGCCTGATTCATGGCTGAAATCGTGTTTGACCAGCTATGTGTGTCTCTCAATCCAGTCAAGTAGATGTCTACAATTAACCGTCAGAATATTTATGCCTGATTCATGGCTGAAATCGTGTTTGACCAGCTATGTGTGTCCCTTAATCCAGTCAAGTTGATGTCTAAAATTAACCGTCAGAATATTTATGCCTGATTCATGGCTGAAATCGTGTTTGACCAGCTATGTGTGTCTCTCAATCCACTCAAGTAGATGTCTAAAATTAACCGTCAGAATATTTATGCCTGATTCATGGCTGAAATTGTTTGACCAGCTATGTGTGTCTCTCAATCCACTCAAGTAGATGTCTAAAATTAACCACAGAATATTTATGCCTGATTCATGGCTGAAATCGTGTTTGACCAGCTATGTGTGTCTCTCAATCCACTCAAGTAGATGTCTAAAATTAACCGTCAGAATATTTATGCCTGATTCATGGCTGAAATTGTTTGACCAGCTATGTGTGTCTCTCAATCCACTCAAGTAGATGTCTAAAATTAACCACAGAATATTTATGCCTGATTCATGGCTGAAATCGTGTTTGAACAGCTATGTGTGTCTCTCAATCCACTCAAGTAGATGTCTAAAATTAACCATCAGAATATTTATGCCTGATTCATGGCTGAAATCGTGTTTGACCAGCTATGTGTGTCTCTCAATCCGATCAAGTAGATGTCTAAAATTAACCGTCAGAATATTTATGCCTGATTCATGGCTGAAATTGTGTTTGACCAGCTATGTGTGTCTCTTAATCCACTCAAGTAGATGTCTAAAATTAACCATCAGAATATTTATGCCTGATTCATGGCTGAAATCGTGTTTGACCAGCTATGTGTGTCTCTCAATCCGATCAAGTAGATGTCTGAAATTAACCATCAGAATATTTATGCCTGATTCATGGCTGAAATTTCAGGATGAAAGCTATGAAATCTCTATTTGTGTTTGTGTATCTATTAATGTATGTTATGTATATGTGATATTTTCTTAACTCCAGAGAGCATTGCAAAATTCATTTATGAAATCCTCTAAAAGTGCTCTATTCTAACTTGGCTTGGAAAAAAATAAGCATTTATAAATAAATATTCACCAAACTCCTAGAAATATAGGAACTGATCAAATGTTTCTTAAGTTAACATGATTTGGATAAAACTTAGTTAAATAAGATTAATATAGTATTTTTGGTGTAATAAAACAACTGTATCTTCAAAATTATTATTGAATATAAAACAAGCATAAATTCCTATTCTGCTTGAGTTCTAGTCAAATAAGCTAATATTATACTTACTAGAAACATAAAATCTTAAAGCTTATAGATTTGATTCTAATTAAGTTGTCATTCTTATGAAAAACATTATTTTTTTATGCTGAAAAGATACACATATATTTAGAGTTAGCCAGCTGGACTCAGTTTAGGTGATCCCAATTTTGTTACAACATCGAAAGCATCATAATCAGGAGCAAGTCGAACATATGCCTTCTTCTCTTTATCAGGACAAATCAGGGTGGTGACCTTGGCCACATCACTGTCATAGACCTTCTTCACAGCCTGTCTGATCTGGTGCTTGTTGGCTTTAACATCCACAGTGAACACAAGCGTGTTGTTTTCTTCTATCTTCTTCACGGCCGACTCAGTGGCCAGCGGAAACTTGATGATAGCATAGTGGCCAAGCTTGTTTCTCGTGGGGGTACTCTTCCGAGGATATCTGGGCTGCCTCCGGAGTCGCAGTGTCTTGGGCCGCCTGAAGGTGAGTGACATGCGGATCTTCTTTTTTGCGTGTGGCT
Source organism: Homo sapiens (assembly GCF_000001405.40). NCBI lineage: Eukaryota > Metazoa > Chordata > Mammalia > Primates > Hominidae > Homo > Homo sapiens. The sequence continues at coordinate 83,240,019 of NC_000017.11, read as the reverse complement.
GCGGACACCTTTCAACACTGCCTTCTTGGCCTTTAAAGCCTTCGCTTTGGCTTCGGCTTTAGGAGGAGCAGGAGCTTCCTTCGCTTTTGGTGCCATCTTGTGAAAAGCGAAAAACATTATTTCAAAAATAATTTGTTTACAGTAAATCTGCCTAAGAATAGTTTCCAAAGTACTTTTGGTAATTTTTAACCTTAAAGTTAAGCTAAGTAAAAGATTTGCATTAAATATCTAGATCATTTATAAATAAGATACAATACTAAAACATTAATTACTGAACATAAATAATTCAAGTTTATGTACTTTTGGCTTCCTATTTTTACAGAGAGACTAAAGATATTTTGGCCCGTTAATAAACATGTTTTTTTCTGCCACACTGAGGAATTGTATTATGAGGAAACACATCCCTCTAGATGTTGGGAGATGGTATATTCATACATTTTCTAACCTACTATAGAATGCTAATATATGACAGTTTATAACTGTCTACTTCCTAGTTTTCTCTGGAAAATAAAAGATTACTAAGTATTAAAATTATAATCAATATATGTAAATAAAACTACTAGAAATAATAGAATAACTAGAAACTATGCAAAGCATGCAAGAAAAGTAGGGCATGTTTCGCAAGTAAAGTAGGTTGCATTTTTTATAAGGAAAACCATACAGAAGATACAAATAAAAAGAGATACCTAACCTTCCCTGTGTTATATTTGTATGGGTAAAATGTTATGTTTTCAGAAATTATATAAAATTCCTGGAAGTTTGTCAATGTCCTCCTTATCCATGCTATGTGCCACTATAGAGTAATGAGTCATAATTCCAATTATTACTTTAAATGTTGTGCCAGGCACAGTGGCTCATGCCTATAATCCCAGCACTTTAGGAGGCTGAGGCGGGTGGATCACAAGGTCAGGAGATCCAGACCATCCTGGCTAACCCGGTGAATCTCCATCTCTATTAAAAATATAAAAAATTAGCCCGGCGTGATGGCAGGCACCTGTAGTCCCAGCTACTCAGGAGGCTGAGGCAGGAGAATGGCGTGAACCCAAGAGACAGAGCTTGCAGTGAGCCCAGATCGCACCGCTGCACTCCAGCCTGGGCGACAGAGCAAGACTCTGTCTCTAAATAAAGAAATAAATAAATGTTGTCTGCCACAGAAAAAATCGAATATCCTTGTCAGTTGTGGTATAATGAACTCTCATCAGATCTTTCATCACAGCCATTTCATACTTTTTGTCATTTAGATATTATTTCCCCCTGATGCTTTCCTGAAAGCTCCTGCAATCAACTACAGGTCAGAATGTTCGTCTCCAAGACAGGACTCCCTCTGAGACTCACAGAAAAGACTATGACAGGTACTCTGGTTATAGGCTTCTGATGATATTGCTTAAATAACTTTAAGACCATACACTTGACTCAGTTAAGGTCTCCAGAAGTCCGGTTGGGAAACTGATGGGTTCATGACACTGCTAACTCAAGATCCACAAGACTGGAATTGATTACATGGCACTGAATGAACTGATGAAAATTGATTATAATTGTATAGCTTTTTGGAGCATTGCTGGTTAATATTCTAGTTTCTGGATTTAAGAAATCTCTTTCTCTTACTCTAACTGTAACTTACAACAATTTAGTAGATTATACTTTTGTAAACAGAAATGAAGCGTTTATCTTTTTTTCTTGCCTGATTTTTCCAGAATTTTGAAATCCTTACTGAATACTCTTATTTCCACGATGATATAGTTGTTAGCAAAAGTCCAATAAGAATCTATTCACCTTATAACAGGACATAATTGGAAATTTTGGTTATATTATCAAGGTTTTTACTGGAACATCATAATTAGGAAGTGTACCTAAGATCAGTTATGACCAGCAATTTTAAGGAAGTAAGGTTCACTTTTATGGAGACAATGCTTACAAAGCACTGTGGAAAACTTTGAGGAAAGTTCTTCCTCAAAGATTATAAAGTCACAACTACCCACTATTTTTATATGTGTGTGTGTGTGTGTGTGTGTGTGTGTGTGTGTGTGTGTTCCAAATCACTTGTCCTAGCTTGCTCCAGCATGCCTGGACAGAACTAGACAAGCCCCAGCCCATACTGCATGCCATTCCTTATTTGGAGATGCTTCCTTAACTATCCCTGGGCAACTTCCTTTTCTTTCTTTCTTCTATTCCCCTTACCTAATTAAGAAAGTTTTAAACAAACAGCCAATCGGGTAAAGTGTAAAATGGGAGGTCCTATTCCAGCCAATGGAAACTGGACACAGCAGTAGGGTAGACACGTCAGGTTATAAGTAACTCTGTCTCCTTTGTTTGGTGTGCTCTTGTAGCTGGACAGCTATTGAGTAGCACCCTTTGTGCAGAAAAATAAAGCTCGCCTTGCTAAGAGATCATTTGTTCCCATGTTAGTTCTTTTTTTGGGGGGGGGAACATAAAAAACTTCATTCCCAACAGCACTCTGAGAAAACCCAGCCTGATACCTAGATTACAGGGTTCACAGCCTTATAGGTTAGTAAGGAAGGTCATTTCCTGGTAGGCCCAGGAATTTAGGGATATTTTGGGGCCTCAAGAAGAGAGGAATTCACACAAAGCTATAAGGACTGCAGCTGAAATTTGATAGCATGTTCTTGGCTTGGCTTTTAGCCTGAATAAGGCCTTTAAAAGTCAAATCTGAGATTCTGTATGAAAACTTCCAGCAAAGAAACCTGAAAGCACCTACGTGGTCATCTCCTGTTCTTGCTGCACTTACGTAAATAATCAAGCAAAATCTAACAAAACTAGACTTATTTTTAAAACAAGAATAGTCTTACTTTGATTATGATCAAAAATGATGGTTACTACAGAGAGAAATTTTATCTTTCAAAGGAAAAGTATAACACAGCCGGGCATGGTGGCACATGCCTATAATTACAGCCCTTTGGAAGGCCAGGAGTTCAACATCAGCCTGGGCGACATGGTGAAACCCCGTCTCTACCAAAAATACAAAAATTAGATGGGCATGACGGCATGTGCCTGTGTCCCAGGTAATCAGGAGGCTGAGGAGGGAGGATCGTTTGCACCCAGGAGGTAGAGGTTGCAGTGAGCTGAGATTGCACCTTTGCACTCCAGCCTGGGTGACAGAGCCAGACCCTGTCTCAAAAAAAAATTTTTTAAAGGAAAACTATAGCCATTGTGAGTTATCAGATTCTAGTCTTGTTTCTTGTTTCTGGGCTATTTTTACCTCTTTGTAAACTGGATCCTGCCATCTGATGAATTTTGTCCCACAATGATACTTGGGGAACAAGAAGCCAAGTATTGTCTCTCCTACTAATGTATCTAGTGTCAGTTAATTTGAAGGTCTCCAACCCTGGAACAAAGTTAGAAGAGGAAGGTTCTGCTCCCCAAAATGCATAACCAAATTGTGCTACATTCATGTAATGGAATACTATTTAGCCATAGAAAGGAACAAGATATCAACACACACAAAGACATGAGTGAATCTTGCATGCACATTGCTAAGTGGAAGAAGACAGTCTGAGGAGGATACACACAGTGTGACCTCATTTAATGAGACACTGGAGAAGGCAAACTACACAGATGGGAAGCCATTGGCTCCATGGGGTGGGGGTTTGAGGCATTCCATATGATACTTTAATAGTGGGATATCTGCCACAATGCATTTGTCGAAATACGCAGAATTTTACAGCCAAATGGTTAAAGCAAACTCTATTCAAATTAAATCCAATTACTCAGGATGTGGAGTATCCCAGGACAGAATACATCATGTGAAAAAGAATTTATGCTACAAATTACTATGGTTTGGATGTGGTTTGTCCCCACAAAAACTCATGTTGAAATTTGACTCCCACTGCGTCAGTGTGGGGCGGTGGGGCCTAGTGGATGGTGTTTGGGTCGTGGGGACGGATCCCTCATGAATAGATTAATGTCCTCCATGGGGGTGAGTGAGTTCTGTTCTCACAGGAATAGATAATTCCTGCAGGAGTAGGTAATTAAAAAGAGTCTGGCTTCCTTGGCTTCCCTCTTGCTTTCACTTCTGCTGTGTGATCTCTGGTGCACCCCTTGCTCCCCTTCCACTTTCCACCATGAGGTGAAAAAGACTGAGGCCCCGCCAGATGCAACTGCCCAATCTCACACATTCCAGCCACCAGTATTGTCAAACAAATGAAACTTTTTTACTTATAAATTACGCAGCCTCAGGTATTCTGTTACAGAAGCACAAAATGGACTGAGACACAAATCTAGGTAAAAACTTTGAAAATGAAAAGAATCTGTAGGCTGAAGGCACATGAACTATACTTCATTATTGGATTCCATTTTATAAAGTTCTTTCCAACAGAAGCAATTGTGAACAATTGTAAAACCACAGTGTCTGTATCTGGAATAAAACAATGACTTACATAAGTCGCAGATGGTGGGAACCAGGTTTCTTACTGTTGAAGTGGGAGGTTACAAATTAGCAAGGCGAGAAGGCTAGAATGATTCATGTGATAGTAGATCAGAGGTGGAGACATCAATGTAAACTTATGTTTAGTTTAATATAGACACACACAGTTCTACATAGAAAACTTTATAATTAGGTGTGTATAGGTAGGTTAGACACACACATATACTTCCTAGCATTGCCAATGAGGGAGAAGATACAATGTGCTCATTCAGCAGCCAGATGTAAGTTTTCCTACCATTCTGAAAGGAATCAGGCTCTTTGAAGAAATGTCTGATACTAGAACTGGGACAGTAAATATAGGAGCCAGGATAATCTGGAAGTATCAGAAAGTAAGTACAAAAAAATTAAAACATATCAAAGAAAAATAAGAGCCAATAAAAACAGCTACTGATGGCCAACACAGGAATGAATTGTGCAACATAATACTGTAGTGTTGAATAATAACTAAAGCTTAAGGTAATTATCTAGGTGTCTGTATTTGTATACCTAGGTGAATAAGCAAATGGAGTTGCATAGAAATCTCCTTTGCAAAAGAATTCCAAATAATTGATGTAGACACTCAGCCGTCAAGAAGGTGGAGCCAACTCCTGACGGAGTGAGGCTCTGCATAGTGACTTGCTCCAAAAGAACACATGCAGTGCGGACAAGGAGGAGAAATAACCTCACAGTGGAGAAACCTGACAAACATTAGCTCTGCCAAATGATCCAAGTGAACATCAAAGGTGACAGTTCACCTTGAGAACATGAAGTGACAATGGGGGACATTCTACAACATTCCTGACCAGTCCTCCTCAGTGCTATGAAGGTCATCATGAGATGGAAAGCCTAACACACTGTCACAGCCAGGAAGAGCCTATGTGATGACTACATGTCGTGTGGGATCCTGGATGGGATCCTGGGTCAGAGTAAGATAGAACTAAGGGAATCCAAATGAAATATGAACTTTAGTTAATAACAGTCTATCAGTATTGGTTCATTAACTGCGGCAAATTATGTAAGATATTAATAAGCCATGTGAGACACACTGATAGAAGATGTTAATAAGAGAGGAAACTAGGTTGCGGCTACATGGGAAATCTCTGCTTTTTTTTTTTTTGACGATTTCTGTGTAAGTAAAAAAAAGACGTAAAATAAAACTTTATTTAAAACACTTTTTTTAACACTTCCTTGTTTAATTATTTATACCATGAATTACTAGTAATTGACACTGTTAACTAGTCCTGTTTTTTAAAATAAGAGCAATTATGACACAAAAAATTAAACAGTGCAGACTGATACATAAATCAAATGTTCTTTACATGTTTTCTGTTACTGTAGTAACACACATGTGTAAACTTAATTATCACATGTTTTTCTTGTGCTGTGGTTGTGTCCTGGGTTCATTCTCTAAAATGCTGTTCATCTTAGACCAGGAAAAATATTAACCATACAGACTCTGTTTCAAGTCATAGCTGAATATTTTCAAAAGAGTGACTTTGTAAAAACATGTTCCAATGGCAAATTGATTCATTGTGATGGGATCAATTATTCCAAAGACTTCTTGTCTTTATTTTGTTGCCATGCCTACCTTTTAGCCATGATACAACAGAATCAAATATTGGCCACTGGGAAAAAATATTCAAAGAAAGAAAGAATGTGAACAGAACTTGTGACCACGATGATTCAATGTTTTACCACAATGCTTTCTAAAACAAGAGTCTAAAAGGATATTCAAAGTCAATTTCCTCAGTGAGGCTTTGCAGAAAATGAGGAAACTAGAGAAACAAAAATGGCAGGACATTCTACGGTTGATTTTAAATGTTGCTATGTTTTATGGGAAAAAATACTTTACCTTTTAAAGAATCACAAAGAATTATTGGAAACCCAAACTCTGGAATGTTTGCAAATTTAGTTGAGCTTCTATGTAATTATGTCTATATAGGTAGCCATGAAGTTGATGATTTCTTAAAAATCTGTGCCTTATTTGTGTAATAAAAGACACAATGAATAATTAATACTCATAGGAACACTTACGAAGGGAAAATAAATCTTGGGGACCCAAAATCACTAAGCTAAAGGGAAAAGTCAAGCTGGGAACTGCCTAGGGCAAACCCGCCTCCCATTCTATCCAAAGACACCCGTCTGATCACCGAGATAAATGCATACCTGATTGCCTCACGTGGAGAGGGTAATCAGCAATGCAAAAGAATGAAACCATTTGTCTCTTACCTACCTGTGACCTGGAAGCCCCCTGTCTGGCCTTCTCACCTTTCTGGACTGAACCAATGTACATCTTACACATATTGATTGATCTCTCGTGTCTCCCTAAAGTGTATAAAACCAAGCTGTGCCCCGACCACCTTGGGCCCATGTTGTCAGGATCTCCTGAGGAGGCATCACAGGTGCACATCCTCAAGATTGGCAAAATAAACTTTCTAAAAAATCTGAGAGCTGTCTCAGATTTTCAGGGTTCACACATGTAATGTAGGATGTCAATGTTTATAAAAGGGATGTTATTCTATCTACTATTAGAAATATGCTGTCAATTAACCTTAAACTTTCTCAACAAAATAAAAAATGTTGATGAGGTACAAATAATATATCTAAGCTTAAATAGTGTTGCAGGTTTTAATATGCCTACTTTTCAATTTTTCAATACTATCTTTACTAATTTAACACTGTAAGAAAAATGAGTAATTAAAACATGAATAAAAGTGTTTACAGGGGATGCACATGTTTCCTCCAGCCTCTGCCTATACCCAACTTTCATCCCAACTGTCCTGATGGTGGCTCTAAGCATTTCTCCTTTCTCTATACCAAGATCTCTCCCCAGAAACAAACCCAAATCTTACTATATGTTATGGCACGCTATGATGATGAGCAGCGATGAGCAGCCGAAGCCTCAAGGAAGGGATGCTTTTGTAAAACAAGACTTGTGGAATATAACATGTGAAAGTAAAGCCCACGGCAGAGCTCCCTCCTCAGCACACGGGGAGCAGACAGGAAGTTTTTCCTCACCTTCCTCAATGGCCTGCAGCCACGTCTCCCCAGGTCAGTCTTAAGGACAATGAAACTCTGGTCTTCACTGTGGACACGCCACACTACCAGGGGCTCCAAAGCCATGGTGACCCACCCTCGGGTGGGTCCTGAGGAGAACAAAGCTCTGGTTCTAATTCTAACCCTAACCTTGTCCCAAGACTTTGACACTGAACCTAAATCCTGATCCCTATCCTGGTCCCTAATTCTGACCCTGACTTTGATCTCGACCCTGACCATGACCCCACCTCTAACCATACTTCTGGCCCTGACTCTGACCCAGATCCTAATCCTATCCCTAACCCTATTATTATCTTTACAATCTATGTCTAATCTTACCCTCTAGTGCTAAATAGCTGTACCCAAAAGCACTTTTAAATTATTTAACTTCTTTTCCTTGAATTCTCTAAGGACATCCTAAAGGAGATGTCAATATGTATTTTGCATTCCCTCTGAGTGGTATGGCTTCAGATAAGAAGTTCTAATACTTTGCAAGACATAAAAAGTTTGGAGGGTGACAGCACTGGGTTGTTAGGGATGCATGTTGGCATTCGTGGTAGTCATAGGTGCTGTTCTCCAGATATTTTCAGTTCATATTTTATGAATGCATTCTGACTGTTCCATCCCGCCTACTTACATTTTCACATGGCCACATGACTTTTTTTTTGCCAATGGAGGTGAGAAGAAATAACATGTGACTTTTTCAGGAGAAATCTCCAAGAAACAGAGTTCTATTCCGCATACTTTTTTCTCTTTTCTATAGCAATGGGGATCTTACTGATTGTCCCTCCTTCTGTCTGGATTCCTGTGTTAGGATGACACGGCACAGAGCTACCTCTCACCTGACCCATGATGAAATGTAAATAAATGAGGAAGAAGATTTTTGAGCCACTGAAATTTGGAGGTTGTTTGTCACCACAGTTTAACCTAGCCCCCATTTACTGATGCACGGCTGAAGAATGAGTCCGAACTGGATCTAGACAAGACATGTGAAGAGCACGCCAGGCTGAGTAAAATTCAAGTGTTGTCTCAAAGATAACACTGAGCACGATATGTTATTGGGGTGGGTGTGGGATAAATAAGGTATATCAGGTGAGAATAACAAGAAACTCAACTTTAAAAGACGGTGCCGATTTGGAAGACACCAAATTGGAAGACAGCAGGAGCTGCCCCATAATACCAGTAAAGTGAGAAGCAGAGATAAACTAGTCCTAGACAGCTGACTCATGTTGGGGGCAGCCCACTCACAGTGGCCCTGACCCAACTCTGACTAGAGGCCACTTGCTCTCAACACCAGGGTGCTCAATGGCCCGTCCTGGTACTCTGCTCTACACTGGTTGTAGGAAGGAATCTACAGGTTGAAATAAGGAGATCATTTCCCTGAGGTTCCGAAGCTCATATTTACTCACCATTTGTTGTTTACTGCTAATGTTGAGCACTGTCAGTAAAATACATAAAACCCTTTGCCAATCCAGGAAGTGAAAATGACACTTTACTGTTTTAATTTGCATTTCTCTGCTTACAAGTGGATTACACACATTTTCATGTGCTGTTGGCTACTTATTCATTCAGAAAACATACTAAGTGCTGGCTCTTTTTCATGTCCTTTATCAAGTTTGGATCATGTCATTTGCTATTTTCTTTCTGATGTAAACTCTCAAAGTCTGAAGGGTATTGTCTTTTCCTGACACATATGTTGTAAATAATTTTCTGGCTTACATTTTGACTTTTAATTTCATTCACGATGTTTTTAATGAATAATTTTAATTTTTATGAATGCAAGTTAAAATAATTCTTTCATTGTGGTTTCTGACACGTCATGCCAATAAGGGTCTTCTCCTCCAAGAGCACAGAAATATTTGCCAATACTGTCCTTAAAATCGGTCACAGTTTCATTTTTTATATATGCATTTTACTTCAATTGGGGCTTCATTTTACTGAATGCCCTATTTGAAGCAAGTTTCTCAGTTAATTCTTTTCTCAAAGGGCTAAGTATGGTAGATTGCAAACATAAGTGGCCACATAATGCTCTCACCTCCTTTGCCTCCTCTCCCAGGAGGAGATAGCGTCCATCTTTCCACTCCTTAATCTGGGCTTGGCCGTGTGACTTGCACTGGCCAATGGGATATTAACAAGTCTGATGTGCACAGAGGCTGTAGAATGTGCACGGGGGCTTGGTCTCTCTTGCTGCCCTGGAGACCAGCTGCCCCACGAAGGAACCAGAGCCAACCTGCTGCTTCCTGGAGGAAGACAGTCCCTCTGTCCCTCTGTCTCTGCCAACCAGTTAACCTGCTGCTTCCTGGAGGGAGACAGTCCCTCAGTCCCTCTGTCTCTGCCAACCAGTTAACCTGCTGCTTCCTGGAGGAAGACAGTCACTCTGTCTCTGCCAACCCAGTTGACCGCAGACATGCAGGTCTGCTCAGGTAAGACCAGCACAGTCCCTGCCCTGTGAGCCAAACCAAATGGTCCAGCCACAGAATCGTGAGCAAATAAGTGATGCTTAAGTCACTAAGATTTGGGCAAAAGCTGAGCATTTATCCCAATCCCAATACTGTTTGTCCTTCTGTTTATCTGTCTGTCCTTCCCTGCTCATTTAAAATGCCCCCACTGCATCTAGTACATTTTTATAGGATCAGGGATCTGCTCTTGGATTAATGTTGTGTTCCCACCTCGAGGCAGCTTTGTAAGCTTCTGAGCACTTCCCAATTCCGGGTGACTTCAGGCGCTGGGAGGCCTGTGCATCAGCTGCTGCTGTCTGTAGCTGACTTCCTTCACCCCTCTGCTGTCCTCAGCTCCTTCACCCCTGGGCCTCAGGAAATCAATGTCATGCTGACATCACTCTAGATCTAAAAGTTGGGTTCTTGGACCAGGTGTGGTGGCTCACACCTGTAATCCCAGCACTTTGGGAGGCCGAGGCGGGTGGATCACAAGGTCAGGAGATCAAGACGATTCTGGCTAACACGGTGAAACCCCGTCTCTACTAAAAATACAAAAAAATTAGCCGGGTGTGGTGGCAGGTGCCTGTAGCCCCAGCTACTTGGGAGGCTGAGGCAGGAGAATGGCTTGAACCTGGGAGGTGGAGCTTGCAGTGAGCCAAGATCACGCCACTGCACTCCAGAATGGGAGAGAGAGCGAGACTTTCTCAAAAAAAAAAAAAAAAACTTAGGTTCTTGGATGTTCGGGAAAGGGGGTTATTATCTAGGATCCTTGAAGCACCCCCAAGGGCATCTTCTCAAAGTTGGATGTGTGCATTTTCCTGAGAGGAAAGCTTTCCCACATTATACAGCTTCTGAAAGGGTTGCTTGACCCACAGATGTGAAGCTGAGGCTGAAGGAGACTGATGTGGTTTCTCCTCAGTTTCTCTGTGCGGCACCAGGTGGCAGCAGAGGTCAGCAAGGCAAACCCGAGCCCAGGGATGCGGGGTGGGGGCAGCTACGTCCTCTCTTGAGCTACAGCAGATTCACTCTGTTCTGTTTCATTGTTGCTTAGTTTGCGTTTTGTTTCTCCAACTTTGTACCTCATCAGGAAAAGCTTTGGATCACAATTCCCAGTGCTGAAGAAAAGGCCAAACTCTGGAAAAAATTTTGAATATTTTGAGCCAAATGTGAGGACTACAACCTGTGAGAACGGAAAATAAATCCTGGGACCCCAGACTCACTAAGCCAAAGGGAAAAGCCAAGCTGGGAACTGGCTTATGCAAACCTGCTTCCCATCTGGTTCCTAAATAAGATAGCTATTACACAAAGATAAAAAAGCTACATCCCTGCCTCTACCTCCATCACATGTAAAATGTGTATTCAGTGAACGCTGACCAAAGACAGAAGAATGCAACCATTTGCCTCTGATTTACCCACACCCATTTTTTCCACTTCTTCCCCTTTCCCCAACACCCACACTTCTCCCCTTTACTTACTGAGGTCCCCAGACAACCTTTGGGAAAAGCACGGACCACAGTTTTTCCTGTGGTTCTCTGTTCTTTTCTCAGGTGTGTCCTTAACCTTGCAAACAGATTTCTTGAAATGATTGACACTCACCTTGGTTGTGTTCTTTGATCAGCGCCTGTGACGCAGCTTCAGGAGGTCCTGAGAACGTGTGCACAGTTTAGTCGGCAGAAACTTAGGGAAACGTAAGACCACCATCAGTACGTAGGAGTTGTGCATTGGTTTGGTCTGGAAGGAGGAAAATTCAAAGTAATGGGGTTTACAGGTCATAGATAGATTCAAAGATTTTCTGATTCTCAATTGGTTGAAAGAATTATTATCTACAGACCTGCTATCAATAGAAAGGAGAGTCTGGGTTAAGATAAGAGACTGTGCAGACCAAGGTTCTTATTATGTAGATGAAGTTTCATAGGTGGCCACCCTTAGAGACAATAGATGGCAAATGTTTCCTGTTCAGACCCATAGAAGGTGCTAGGCTCTCAGCCAATGTCTTCAGGATCAGAGAAAGACCTGGAAAGGGAAGGGATTCTCTACAGAATGTAAATGTCCCCCACAAGAGACAGCTTGGCAGGGCCATTTCAAAGTATGTCAAAGAAATATATTTTGAGGTAAAATATTGATTTCATGGCCTCTGTCTGTCATGTGATGCTGCACTGGAGTCAGGTTGGAATTTGGTATCTTATTGCTAGAGAGCCTTGTCAGTCTTCAGATCTCTGTTTTAATGTTGGTTCTGGTCAGTTCTGCCCAAATTCCAAAGGGAGGAGGGTACAATGAGGCCTGTCCAGCCCCCACTCCTCCTCATCACGGCCTGAACTAGTTCTTCAGGTTTCTCTGGAATCCCTTTGGCCCAGAGGCGGGGTCCACGCGATCGGCTGTGGGGCTTAGAATTTTATTCTTGGTTTACGGCAGCTTTAGGGAGGTGCTCTGAGACCCGAAACTAGACTCGACTTTAACAGACACAGACGACCCTGAAGGTGAGACTGTCTGCTGGTGGGATGCTGGGCGAGTTGCTTAATGTCCCTGAGCTGCTATTTGCTAACTGTGAAGTGGGATCCTGGTCCCTGACAGGCAAGATTTTGGCACACGGAGAGCTGGTGCACGTGGGCGGCTGTCCCCTAAACTCGCGTCCCTTCTTTTTAATCATACCCCACTGGCTGCACCTACACCTCCTCCCAGGCACACACCGAAGAGGATGAGCTCTGGTCCTCGAACCTCTTGTCTGCTCCCACCAGGCAGATTCTCTGTTCCCCGTGCCCAGGCAGCAGTGGTGGACACCAGCATCCCGGAATGGTGTAGAAAGGCTGACCCCATCATAGCCAAAGCCTGGGGTTTCCTGTTTCCCTCCTCCTCCTCCCCACTCCTCCCCCGACCCCTCCCTCCTCCACTTACCCCCATCCCCTGCATAATGGGTTTCTAGCTGCCTCCTCTGCCTGCCCAAACAGGACAGGCAGGAAAAACTGGCTTGGTTCTGAGTAGGCAGTTTCAGGGCCTTAAGGAGAAATTCATCGGCCATTAATCAGGACCTTCCCTCCGGGGAGTTGGCAGCTTCAGGTGTGGTCTCTGGAAACAAGCCCCACAAATTATTATCAGAGAACCTCTGTCTTGGGTGGCAGAGGCAGCCTGGTTGGGGTGGGCACCCCGGCTACGGAAAGGAGCAGCTCCCTCCACTTTCCTTCCGGCTGCATGTGGAGAGGCTCGAGCGGGGCACAGTCCATGACGAGATATTAATCTTGTGTTTGGATTTTTCCTTTTTTTTAATAAAGAAGAAAGATAAGGTATTGTGCTCATCTTGTAAAAATCAAGCACACAGTACATCAGTCTATTCTACAAAGAAACACAACCTAAGCAAAGATTTGTTATAGGCAGTGGCCAGTTACAGAAACAGTAGGACTTGCATTAGGGGTTTTGTATGGGAAAGAAAGGGAGTCAGACACAGACGTGATGGTGGAGACAGGGGCAGGAAGACAGAGCAGCTGACACTTCCAGAAATAGCTGGCCAGAGGCCAGCAGGAGGGAAACACCAACCCGAGGAAAGAGAGACGGGGATTGGGAGAGAAATTCAGAAGAGACTGAGGCACGCACACAGACAGACGCACCCACCCACACACAGATACGGATTCAAAGAGACACGCACACTCTGAGTTTCTGAGAGTAAGCCACTGTCAGTTCCTGGGGTGAGCCACCAGCCACATGGACACAATTTCCTCTTTTTGGTAAGTCTTTGACCTGTCTGAACCCCCTACTTAATTACCTATAAAATGAGTCATTGCAAGGATGACAAAGACGCTCTCCTTGACCAAACTCCACTCAGGCTCCTTTGAGCCTTCTCCTTGATGAAGCCTCATCCTTGGCCTGCTGAGCTCAGTGCTAGCAAGGAATGCTGCTAAGGTCCTTAGTGAGAATCTTCCCCACCCTTGCTAACTAACCAAGCTCCTTTCAACAACTTTTCATCACCTCCCTCACCCTGCTCATTGGCTATCCCCACTTGTCTCTGTTGTATTGAGAGTTGAATTCAGTCTCTCTCTCTCCTCTTGCAATAGTTTTTTTTTTTTTTAAGAGACAGGGCCTTGCTCTGTCAACCAGGCTGGAGTGCAGTAGCACAATCACAGCTCAGAGCAGCCTCAAACTCCTAGGCTCAAAGGATCCTCCCACCTCAGCCTCCTGCGTAGTTGGGACTACAGGTGTATGCCACTGCACCAAATAATTTTTTAAAACATTGTAGAGATGGGGTCCTGCTTTGTTGCCCAGGCTGGTTTTGAAGTCCTGGCTTCAAGTGATCCTCCCACCTGGGCCTCCAAAGGTACTGGGATTACAGGCATGAGCCAACCTATCAGCCTGGTAATCAGCCTGGTAATCACGTAAAACAGACACATAGACCAGTGGAACAGAATAGAGAACCCAGATATAAATCCACACATTTACAGCCAGCTCATCTTCAGCAAAGGCACCAACAACATACGAGCGAAAGGACGGTCTCTTCCATAAGTGGTGCAGGGGAAACTAGATAAAGATATGCAGAAGAATGAAACTAGACCCGTCTCTCTTACCATACACAGAAATCAAATCAGAATGGATTAAAGGTAAAACTGAGACCTGAAAGTATAAAACTACTGGAAGAAAACATTAGGGAAGTGCTCCAGGACATTGTTCTCAGCAAAGACTTTTTCAGTAGGGCCCCAAAAGCACAGGCAACCAAAGCAAAAACAGACAAGTGAAATCACACCAAGCTAAGAACCCTCTGCAGACCAAAGGAAAAAGTCAACAAACTGAAGAGACAACCCACAGAATGGGAGAAAATACTTGCAAGCTACCCACCTGACAAGGGATTCATAACCAGGAGCTCAAACAATAGCAAACAATTAATCGAATTTTAAAATGGGCAAGAGACCTGAGTAGACATTTCTCAAAAGAAGATGTACAAATGGCCAGCAGGTACATGAAAAAATGCTCAACATCACTAATCATCAGAGAAACGCAAATAAAAAACTGCAATGAGGTCTTCTCTCACCTCAGTTAAAATGGCTTTCGTCAAAAACGCAGGGAATAAGGGATGCTGGCGAGGATGTGGAGAAAGGGGGACCCTCACACACTGTTGTGGGAACGTTGATTAGTACAACCACTATGGAAAACAGATGGAGGCTCCTCAAAAAACCAAAAGGGGCCGGGCATGGTGGCTCACGCCTGTGGTCCCAGCACTTTGGGAGGCCAAAGCAGGGGGATCACAAGGTCAGGAGTTTGAGACCAGCCTGGCCAACATGATGAAACCCCATCTCTACTAAAAATATAAAAAATTAGCCAGGCGTGGTGGTGCGACCCTGTAATCCCAGCTACTTGGGAGACTGAGGCAGGAGAATCACTGGAACACAGGAGGTGGAGATTGCGGTGAGCGGAGAGCGCACCATTGCACTCCAGCCTGGGTGACAGAGCAAGACTCCTCCTTAAAAAATAAATAAATAAATAAAAGTTGGCCGGGCGCGGTGTCTCACACCTGTAATCCCAGCACTTTGGGAGGTGGAGGCGGGCGGATCACAAGGTCAGGAGATCGAGACCATCCTGGCCAACATGGTGAAATCCCGTCTCTACTAAAATACAAAAAATTAGCTGGGCGTGGTGGTGCGCACCTATAAATCCCAGCTACTCGGGAGGCTGAGGCAAGGGAATCGCTTAAACACAGGAACCCGGGAGGCAGAGGTTGCAGTGAGCCAAGATCACACCACTGCACACCAGCCTAGTGACAGAGCAAGACTCCATCTCAAAAAACAAACAAACAAAAAAAAAAACACCTAAAAGTAAAACTGCTGTATGATCCAGTAATTTCACTAACTGGGCCTATAGTCAAAAGAAACAAAATCAATATATCGTAAAGACATCTGCACTCTCATGTTTACTGCGGGACTACTCACAATCGCCAAAATACGGAATCAGCCTCTGAGTTCATCAGCGGATGATGGATAAACAGAACGTGGTGTGTATACACAGTGGAATATTATTCAGCCATACAGAGGAACGACAGCCTGTTATTTGTACAAGATGGAACTAGGGATCATTATGTTAAGTGAAATAAGCCAAGCACAGAAAGACAAACATTGAATGTTCTCTCCCACCTACTAAAAAAGTAGCTCTCGTGAAGACAGAGGGTAGACGCGTGGTTACCAGAGGTGGGGAAATGTAGCGGGGAGACGGGGAGAAAGAGAAGTTGATTGAAGGGTACAAATACGTGGTTTGATAGAAGGAATAAGACCTAGGGTTACATAGATCATAGTTGGCAATTGCCTACTGTATATTTCAAAATGGCTAGAAGAGAAGAATCGGAACGGTTCTAGCATAAAGCAAAAACAAATATTTAAGGCGATAGATATTCCAAGTAGGCTGATTTGATTTTCACAATTATATGAATGCATTAAACTATCACATGTACCCTGAAACTATGTACATCTATTATGCATCAGTGAAAAAGAAAAAAGAAACAAGAACTTAGATTTTAAACTCAGCACTCTCCTAGTGGGCTCCTTAAAAATATTTTTGTTTGGGAGGACAAAGTAGGAGGATTCCTTGAGCCCGGGAGCTTGAGGCTGCAGTGAGATAGTGCCACTGCACTCCAGCCTGAGCGACAGAGAGATACACTGGCTCTAAATATAAATAATATAAATATATATTTATGGAATAAATAAATGAATAAAATATCTTTGCATGCTGGTGAGCCCAGGGTACAGTCTGCCCTTGGCAGCTCGGTGACTCAGCCAAGGCGGCTGAACAATCCTCGCCCACTAGACAGTGGAGGTCGCCCTCCAGAGGACCTTATCAGATGTACGTGCAAAGCAGTTTTCAAGACAGTTTTCTATTCAGAGTGTGGTTTAGCCGTTCAGGGAGAGAGATCACAAAGGAAAACCACCTTTAGGAAAGCAGGTGAGAAAGGTGTAAGTTCCCAGGCTTGGGGGTCCTGGCCCAGCCTAGCTGTGGGCAACCCCAGGAAGGCTGAGCCCCGCAGGCTGTATGGACAAAGCATCTCGCTTTCCACACTGGCCACAGGTCTATCCCTGGCAGTAAACAGGTCACAGGTGGGCAGCAGGTCTAACACCTGTAGCGAAAGAACGCAGGAGAGGAACTGAGGCTCTGCTACCAGCAGATGCTCCAAGCACATCCCACGGGGAGGACCATGCACAACTCAGCTGGCCACAACCAGGAAAAGGGTGTCCAGGGCCTCAGAGCTGCTTCAGTGGGGCCATTTCCAGGCTCCCAAGCAGTAATGTGGGTGCCCTCTCAAGAACAGAAGCGGAACAGCCTAACGCTAATGTTTGGGAAGAAGAGAACAGTGATCCCCCTGGTTACCTCCCATCTCTCTCTGCAGTTCTCATGCATCTGTGCACACACGCTCACACACACATATGTCCATCAATCCACTCACAATGTTTGACTTAAAGCAGAAACCATATAAAGGGCAGGATAAGGAGAAAAGACGAAAGGAACTGAAAAGATGCAAACAGCCACTAACACGCCAATTTGCACCTTGCACAGGGCCTGGGAAGTAATGACACGGCTTCTCGTTATGCATCAATGATCTCATGTTTTCATTTTAACAAACACCCTAATACAAAAATAGGCTTTATAGGGAGGAGAGAAAATATGTTTTATAGGGAGGAGAGAAAAGCCATTCTGAAGAGCTGGATAGGTTGCCTTTGGCCCACATGGAGTCAGCCCCCTGCCCACGCCACCAGGCTCACGTTCAGGGCCCTGGCTGGAGAAACCTGAGCTGCAGGACCCGCTGCCCACCAATGCAGAAGAGAAGGCAGTATGCTTTTTGCATTGGGTGGAACAAAAACAGAAGAAATGGGAATTTGGTGAGAAATAAGGGAGGTGGTCCTCAGAATCTGCAGAGCAGTGGCTTCCAAACTCTGTGATGCAACCCCAGCCAGAAAAACACTTTACATCATGGCTGAGGGCACATACGTGCACGCACATATGCACAATACAGGAAATCTGGAATACAGAAAGCCCTGGAATTCCTAAATAACATCCTGCCCACATGGGAATTCTGCCCTAGCTGATGGCTTCTCCGAGGCCTAGGCCCAAATCCACACCTGCTGTTTAGCCCAGAGCCAAGCCTAGGAGTGTAGGGTCCCCTATGCATGGGTGTCCAACCCCATCCCTGTCCGGAATAGCACGGGTGCTTCTCGGTGCCACAAATGTTGGTGGCGGCTGGGGAGGAGTGGTTCCTCCAAGGCTCCATGCCTGCCTCCACCACTGAGGCCAGCACGGTGGGACTGGGCTAGGGAGACAGGCAGGCTGGCCTACCCACTGAAGGAGCCAGTCTGCTTCCACCTAGTCAGCAGCTCCAGGGAGCGCATCTCCCTCCAGGAAGGGCAGGAGGCCAAGAGGAGCTGGAAAGGTGGGCATTTGATATCATGAGGTATAAAGAGAGCTCCTAGGGGTCCCAGACATCAACTAATAAAAGCACCTCAGAAGTTCATAGATGGGGAAATAGCTGTGTGAATATACCGTGTTATCCAAGTCATGCGGAGAGGAAGGGCTCGAACCCATGGCTACTACTCCCCACCCCCGTCCTCCTCCTCCTCTTTCCATTAAGTTTTTGTGATTATGAAAGTAGCTTACATTTGGTGTAGAAAATATGGAACATATGGAAAAATTTAAAAAGACTCAGGCAAAGGGTCATGTGTCACTTCTTATGACCAGAGGCCGTTGCTCTTTATTAACAGATGGAAATGTTTTCTTCCAAATTGTGCTGCACGTTTTTGGCGAGAGCATGGGGCTGTGCGGCGTCCCCTCCCTGGCGCCCACCTGTGCCCTGCACACTGGCCTGCACTGTGGTGATCTCGCTTGGCCCCCACCTGATTCCCGACATACAGCAGAGGAAGCTTAGGCTCAGGTGGAACAGCCTCAACTGATTCTGTCCCTGAACTTCCGTACACAGCCCTGGAGTCGTCTTAGAGCCATGATTTATTTAACTGTTCTTTCATTTTACAGAACATAAAATGTATTGTTTCCAACTTTTTTCCTATGGTAAATAATACTAAAGTAAATATCTCTGTGCATGAATCTTTTTGTATATGTTGGAATATCCTTAAGATAAGGCCCCAGAACTAAAAGTACCCTGTCAAAAGGTGAGCATTTCCGGTTCCCCTGCTGTGCTTTGCTGCGTTGTTCTCTCCTGCTGCAACGTTCTCACTCCACAATCCTGGGGCAGGGAGGGGAGGCCCAGCTGAGTTTGGATCATAATCCTGAAAGACACAATCCCAAGCACCATAATGTGGAATGTTGAAATCCCTAAAGATCAAAATCCCTCAAGTCTAAAATCCCTGATATTTCAGATGACCACAGCTACAGGGCTAGGTGCACACAATTAGTAACCGTAGCGATATACGTGTACACGTTTCTCTTTTGACTTATTTCTTTATGGTCTGTCTTCTTATAACTGCTACACCCATGCCGCCGTCGTTAGTTACCTCAGTGTTTATGCAAAAATACCTGTTATCATTGCCTATTTTATTGTGTAAAGTGGCCTATGAAATGTTCTGTTGTGTTTTTATGTTTCTCAAATACATACCTTTTAAAAATGTAAATAAATAACATCGACATTATTTTTTCCAGATTTATACTTTTGGGATTTTGATCTTTGGGATTTCAGGATGAGGTATTCGGAGCTGTGTCTTTGGGGATGATGACCGGCTCCTGTGCCGTCCCACCCATCTTTGCGGCATGGGACCTTGGCATCCCCACCTCGGCCCTGGCTCTACCTGACCTCACAATGGACCAGGCCAACTCAGTCAATGTGGAGTCAGCATCAGGTAGACCTGGGGCTGAAACTCAACACTGGTGTTCACCTTGACCTAGCTTCTCTGAGCCTCAAGTTCCTCATCTGGACACCAGTGGGGTTAGGGGCTGAGGCACATCAGCACTAAGCAGGAGAGCTCATCGTTGCCATGCATCAGCTGTGGCTCTAGAGCCGAGACGCTCCCAGCCGTGTAGGCTTCCCAGCAGTGCAGGCCCCTCTCTAGAGCTGAGATGCTCCCGGCAGTGCAGGCCCCTCTCTAGAGCCGAGACGCTCCCAGCCGTGTAGGCCCCTCTAGAGCCAAGACGCTGCAGGGTTAATCAGGGCTGCCCAACAGTCCATCCCCTCTTCTCTCTCTGAAATCAAGAAACATTCCGAATTCCAAAATGCAACTGGTCCCAAGTGTTTCAGTTAAGGGACTGTGGCCCTGTGTAATGCCAGGCAGTGACAAGGACTGTGACTGGGAGCCATCGTAAGTCGATGCTGAATGCCAAAGGGAGGAAAGGAGGCAGCGGTCCTTAAAGGGCCCACTGAGCTCAGATCCCACGCCTGAGCCTCCGCCTCTCCGTGCAGTCCCGGAGATGGCACACAGCCTTCTGCACGAACCGCAATGAGCTGGGCTCCCTCATCACCGCTAGGAGCACTCTGAGAAAGCAGGGCCATTCCACGGGGTTCTGCAGGAGAACGGCGAAGGGTGCTGTTCAACCTGCTCAGTCAGTTGCTAGGTGAGGAGAATTTAGTATTCATAAGTGAAAATTTCTAAGTTACTGGAATTAATTATGGGGTTTGATTCTACATCATCCAGAAAAGCCTGGATGCCACACAGACTCAATGCTGAAAGCTCCCAGTGCACCTGCACAAACACACCCACACATGCACCCATATCATATACACACGTGCAAACATGTTCACATTCACACTCACTCCTACATACTCGGATCATATACACATTTGTGCACACGTGTTCATATTCACACTCCTACACACCCAGATCATACACACAAACACACACTTGTGCATACACATTCATGCTCACTCCCACACACCCAGATCATATACACACTCGTGCACACATGCTCACATTCACAATCACTCATACCCAGATCATACACACACTTATGCACACATTCACACTCACTCATACATACACAGATCATATACATACTTGCGCATACGTGTTCGTATTCACACTCCACACCCAGATCATACACACATACACACACTTGTGCATACACATTCATGCTCACTCCTACACACCCAGATCATATATACACTCGTGCACACATGTTCACATTCATGCTCACTCATACACACCGATTGTACACTCGTGCACACATTCACACTCATACACACCCAAATCATATATTCATGCACACATGTTCACATTCATGCTCACTCATACACACCCAGATCATATATACACTCGTGCACACATTCACACTCATACACACCCAAATCATACTCACATTCATGCACACATGTTCACTCATGCTCACTCATACACACCCAGATCATATATACACTCGTGCACACATGTTCACATTCACTCATACACAGCCCAAAATATACACATTAATGCACACAATACATATTCATACTTGCACACACCCAAATCATATACCCACTCACACACACATGTTCACATTCACACTCATACACACTCAGATCATAAATACATATGTACACATTCACATTCATACCCCCAAATCATACGCACACTAGTGTATACATGTACACACTCACACACACAAATCATACACACTCATACACACAGTCATACACACTCACACATACCCCCAAATCATATACACACTCATGCACACCGTCACACATATAATCCAAACACACAAAAATATATGCATGCGCTCATTCATACACAATCTCACACATACATATACAGCCATGTGGGATTTTTCTGCCATTTTCAGAAATGTAAATTTTGTAGTTCCTGCTTTTTAAAGACTATAAATTATTTTTAATTTACCTTCATTCTCAATTTTGTTTGTTATAAGTAGCTTGATTGTCATACAGCATCCAACGACGCATATTTCCTTTATTTTTTTTGAGATGGAGTCTTGCTCTGTCACCCAGGCTGGAGTGCAGGGGCGCGATCTCGGCTCACTGCAACCTCTGCCTCCCGGGTTCAAGTGATTCTCCTGCCTCAGCCTCCCGAGTAGCTGGGATTACAGATGCCCATCACCACGCCCAGCTAATTTTTGTATTCTTAGTAGAGACGGGGTTTCACCATGTTGGCTAGGCTGGTCTTGAACTCCTGACCTCATGATCCACCTGCCTCGGCCTCCCAAAGTGCTGGGATTACAGGTGCGAGCCACCGTGCTCTGCATATTTTCATGTTAAAAATGTTTTATTTAAAAAAAAAAAAAAGATGTCCAGAAGAGTTGCAAAGACAGTACTGCAACTTCCCACAGACCCGTTCACCAGCTTCCTCTCACTTGAGCATCTTACACAGCAATGAGGCACGTGTGGAAACTGCGACACTCACATGGGTGCCATCTCAGCAGCTCACGGTGTGGAAACTGCGACACTCACATGGGTGCCATCTCAGCAGCTCACGGTGTGGAAACTGCGACACTCACATGGGTGCCATCTCAGCAGCTCACGGTGTAGAAACTGCGACACTCACATGGGTGCCATCTCAGCAGCTCACGGTGTAGAAACTGCGACACTCACATGGGTGCCATCTCAGCAGCTCACGGTGTAGAAACTGCGACACTCACATGGGTGCCATCTCAGCAGCTCACGGTGTAGAAACTGCGACACTCACATGGGTGCCATCTCAGCAGCTCACGGTGTAGAAACTGCGACACTCACATGGGTGCCATCTCAGCAGCTCACGGTGTGGAAACTGCGACACTCACACGGGTGCCATCTCAGCAGCTCACGGTGTGGAAACTGCGACACTCACACGGGTGCCATCTCAGCAGCTCACGGTGTGGAAACTGCGACACTCACACGGGTGCCATCTCAGCAGCTCACGGTGTGGAAACTGCGACACTCACACGGGTGCCATCTCAGCAGCTCACGGTGTGGAAACTGCGACACTCACGCGGGTGCCATCTCAGCAGCTCACGGTGTGGAAACTGCGACACTCACGCGGGTGCCATCTCAGCAGCTCACGGTGTGGAAACTGCGACACTCACGCGGGTGCCATCTCAGCAGCTCACGGTGTGGAAACTGCGACACTCACGCGGGTGCCATCTCAGCAGCTCACGGTGTGGAAACTGCGACACTCACGCGGGTGCCATCTCAGCAGCTCACGGTGTGGAAACTGCGACACTCACGCGGGTGCCATCTCAGCAGCTCACGGTGTGGAAACTGCGACACTCACGCGGGTGCCATCTCAGCAGCTCACGGTGTGGAAACTGCGACACTCACGCGGGTGCCATCTCAGCAGCTCACGGTGTGGAAACTGCGACACTCACGCGGGTGCCATCTCAGCAGCTCACGGTGTGGAAACTGCGACACTCACGCGGGTGCCATCTCAGCAGCTCACGGTGTGGAAACTGCGACACTCACACGGGTGCCATCTCAGCAGCTCACGGTGTGGAAACTGCGACACTCACGCGGGTGCCATCTCAGCAGCTCACGGTGTGGAAACTGCGACACTCACGCGGGTGCCATCTCAGCAGCTCACGGTGTGGAAACTGCGACACTCACGCGGGTGCCATCTCAGCAGCTCACGGTGTGGAAACTGCGACACTCACGCGGGTGCCATCTCAGCAGCTCACGGTGTGGAAACTGCGACACTCACGCGGGTGCCATCTCGGCAGCTCACGGTGTGGAAACTGCGACACTCACGCGGGTGCCATCTCGGCAGCTCACGGTGTGGAAACTGCGACACTCACGCGGGTGCCATCTCGGCAGCTCACGGTGTGGAAACTGCGACACTCACGCGGGTGCCATCTCGGCAGCTCACGGTGTGGAAACTGCGACACTCACGCGGGTGCCATCTCGGCAGCTCACGGTGTGGAAACTGCGACACTCACGCGGGTGCCATCTCGGCAGCTCACGGTGTGGAAACTGCGACACTCACGCGGGTGCCATCTCGGCAGCTCACGGTGTGGAAACTGCGACACTCACGCGGGTGCCATCTCGGCAGCGCACGGTGTGGAAACTGCGACACTCACGCGGGTGCCATCTCGGCAGCGCACGGTGTGGAAACTGCGACACTCACGCGGGTGCCGTCTCGGCAGCGCACGGTGTGGAAACTGCGACACTCACGCGGGTGCCGTCTCGGCAGCGCACGGTGTGGAAACTGCGACACTCACGCGGGTGCCGTCTCGGCAGCTCACGGTGTGGAAACTGCGACACTCACGCGGGTGCCGTCTCGGCAGCTCACGGTGTGGAAACTGCGACACTCACGCGGGTGCCGTCTCGGCAGCTCACGGTGTGGAAACTGCGACACTCACGCGGGTGCCGTCTCGGCAGCTCACGGTGTGGAAACTGCGACACTCACGCGGGTGCCGTCTCGGCAGCTCACGGTGTGGAAACTGCGACACTCACGCGGGTGCCGTCTCGGCAGCTCACGGTGTGGAAACTGCGACACTCACGCGGGTGCCGTCTCGGCAGCTCACGGTGTGGAAACTGCGACACTCACGCGGGTGCCGTCTCGGCAGCTCACGGTGTGGAAACTGCGACACTCACGCGGGTGCCGTCTCGGCAGCTCACGGTGTGGAAACTGCGACACTCACGCGGGTGCCGTCTCGGCAGCTCACGGTGTGGAAACTGCGACACTCACGCGGGTGCCGTCTCGGCAGCTCACGGTGTGGAAACTGCGACACTCACGCGGGTGCCGTCTCGGCAGCTCACGGTGTGGAAACTGCGACACTCACGCGGGTGCCGTCTCGGCAGCTCACGGTGTGGAAACTGCGACACTCACGCGGGTGCCGTCTCGGCAGCTCACGGTGTGGAAACTGCGACACTCACGCGGGTGCCGTCTCAGCAGCTCACGTCCAGGACCCCAGGCTGCACTGGCCCTCACGCCTCCTTAGTCCCCTGCACCGGTGACCCTTTCCTGGCCTGTCTTCGTTTCACCGCCTTGACAGCTTTGCAGAGTACTGCTCAGGTATTCTGCAAGATGCCCCTCAATTGGTGTGTGTGTGATGTTCTCTCTGATTACATTGGAACTGTGCGTTTGCGGAAGAACACGGCGGAGGTGGAGCGCTCTTCTCATCACGTGCTCTCAGGGGCCACGATGTCAACATGCCTCATCACTGGTGGTCTGGACCTTGATCACACGGCCAAGGTGAGGCCTGCCAGGTCTCCCCACGGGAGAGTGACTGTTTTCCTCTCCATGTCCTGCTGGTTAAGAGTGAGTCATGAAGTCCAGCATGAGCTCCAACTCCTACAGGAAGGAGCATCAAAGAATTTGGGCGCCGCGGTAATTACTGAACATTTAGGGGAGACACTTTGAGACTATACAAATATCTTCTTTCTCCTTAAACTTTGCACAGGAATTTTAGCATTCCTCAGGGGAGCTTGCCTGCAGCACTGATGGTGACTTTCTTTTTTTTCTTTTCTTTTCTTTCTTTCTTTCTTTTTTTTGAGACAGAGTTTTGCTCTTATTGCCCAGGCTGGAGTGCAGTGGCACAATCTCAGCTCACTGCAACCTCCCGGGTTCAAGCGATTCTCCTGCCTCAGCCTCCCAAGTAGCTGAGATTACAGGCATGTGTCACCAGGCCCAGCTAATTTTGTATTTTTTTGTAGAGACAGGGTTTCACAATGTTGGCTAGGCTGGTCTCGAACTCCTGACCTCAGGTGATCCACCTGCCTCAGCCTCCCGAAGTGTTGAGATTACAGGCACGAGCCACTGTGCCCGGCCTGATGGTGATTTTCCCTATTTACTCCACATTTCTTGTTTGGAATTTGTTCCAAGAAAGGCCTGTCCCTTTCAGTTTTTTGTTTTGTTTTGTTTTGTTTTGTTTTTGAGACAGAGTCTTGCTCTGTCACCCCAGCTGGAGTGCATTGGCGTGATCTTGGCTCACTGCAAGCTCCACCTCCCGGGCTCACACCATTCTCCTGCCTCAGCCTCCCGAGTAGCTGGGACTACAGGCGCTCGCCACCTCGCCCGGCTACCCTTTCAGTTTTAATTTATTCAATAATTTATTTATATGCTTACGAATCCATGGACATTCATTTTATTCTTTGGGGCATAATCCGATTTGTGTGTGTGTGTGTGTATGTCTGTGTGAGTGTGTGTGCACTCAAATCATTGTAGCTGTGGCCACTGGGAGCTCTTACATTTTGGGTTCCATGCCCTTTTGAAATGCCCACAGCTTTTTAAAAATTTTATTTTTGAGCATTTTCTTACTTCCTGGGACTACAAGATGCTCCAGGTTCATCTTGTATTTTCTCTCCCACATCCCAATTATCAGCCATTTCTCCAGGGAGACTTGGCTCCTTTTATTGAAGATGAAATTTAGAAACTAACATCTGGGCATGGAATGTGCTTGCTGCTACTGGGGTGTCCCCTCTCAAAGGACAAACCCAGGATCTACAGATGTGTGTGCTAAGCCATGTATGCACACGCACGTGTGTGTGTATATATTTAACCTATCTGTATATATGTATTATGTAAACATGAGTTCCTGCTGGCATATCTGACTATAACTGACCACCTCAGGGTCCATTCTGATCTGTATATATGTATCATGTAAACACGACTTCCTACTGGCATATCTGACTGTAACCGACCACCTCAGGGTCCATTCTGATCTGTATATATGTATCATGTAAACATGATTTCCTACTGGCATATCTGACTATAACTGACCACCTCAGGGTTCATTCCGATCTGTATATAAGTATCATGTAAACACGAGTTCCTGCTGGCATATCTGACTGTAACCGACCACCTCAAGGTCCATTCTGATCTGTATATATGTATCATGTAAACACGAGTTCCTACTGGCATATCTGACTATAACTGACCACCTCAGGGTCCATTCTGATCTGTATGTATGTATCATGTAAACACGAGTTCCTACTGGCATATCTGACTATAACTGACCACCTCAGGGTCCATTCCGATCTGTATATAAGTATCATGTAAACACGAGTTCCTGCTGGCATATCTGACTGTAACCGACCACCTCAGGGTCCATTCTGATCTGTATATATGTATCATGTAAACACGAGTTCCTGCTGGCATATCTGACTATAACTGACCACCTCAGGGTCCATTCTGATCTGTATATATGTATAATATATATTATATATGGACCTCAGGGTCCATTCTGATCTGCATATATGTATAATATATATTATATATGGACCTCAGGGTCCATTCTGATCTGTATATATGTATCATGTAAACATGAGTTCCTGCTGGCATATCTGTCTATAACCGACCACCTTAGGGTCCATTCTGATCTGTATATATGTATAATATATATTATATATGGTCCTCAGGGTCCATTCTGATCTGTATATATGTATCATGTAAACATGAGTTCCTGCTGGCATATCTGTCTATAACCGACCACCTTAGGGTCCATTCTGATCTGTATATATGTATAATATATATTACATATGGACCTCAGGGTCCCCGCTGGCTTTTCCATGACTTCCTTATCCAGCTGTGAGAACCCTGACTCTTACTACTGTATTGACTTATTTGTGAAACCTTAGTATATATAAAAGTAGTTTCAAAGTTGCTAACATGTATTGCTGTGGGAAACAATTTTACCAATTGGAGTTTAGTGCTTAGATATGCAGAGTTATTTGATTCTTTCCAGAATCTAATCAAAACACTGTTTTTGGACTTACCCAGGTCAGCTCCTTTCTGCCCACTCTTTCAGCGCAGGCGTGTCCTGCTGTGGAACACACTCTGGGATTCCTGTGTGGGTCTGTACCCATCCTGTACCCGTCAGGACCCCCAGGCCCCAACTCTTGATGTTGTTCTTGCTCCTCTTGTTGATCTTGTTGTTCCCACAGTGAGGTCCAGTCCTGTGGGGTTTGACAAACACAGCATCACGTACCCAGCTCTGTAGAGCCACACAGAAGACTTTCATCCCTCAAAAATGGCCCCAGTTCGGCCCCTCGGTAGTAAACTCCTCTCCCCTCACTCACCCACTGGCAAACACTGATCTGTTTCTGTCCCGATAATTGTGTCTTTCCATATACACAAAAGTGAAGTCTGAGGGTGAGGCCCATGGCCTTGGGAAGCAGGCATAAGTTGGGGGGGGTGGGCACACAGGGTCACCGCGGAAGAAGATCCATGCTGCCCACACAGCCACATGTGGGACAGGGCAGGACCAGCCCCCCAAGCTGTGAACCTCGCCCGAGGCTATGCCCCACTCTGGAGCAGAATGGCCTCTGCAGAGCTTCCACCATGCACATAGGGAGTGCACAGCCAGGCCAGGAAGGGGAGGGCCCCTGTCTGCAGAGACAGGCCCAT
The DNA here is from genome assembly GCF_000001405.40 of Homo sapiens. NCBI lineage: Eukaryota > Metazoa > Chordata > Mammalia > Primates > Hominidae > Homo > Homo sapiens. Next base: position 83,211,916 of record NC_000017.11, on the reverse strand, counting down.
CCTGGACAGGAGGGAACAGCATTCCAGGCAGATCCGCCACTGGCTGCTGTTCCCAGAGTGGCTGTGTCCCCTCTGCAGCGTCCATGCCGGCCTCCCCTGCCTCCCTCTGCAGCTGTCGCTCTCCACCCTCCTCTCCTTTCTTCTCTCCATCCCCCCTCCATCCCCGTCTCCTTTCTCCTCTCCATCCCCCTCTCCATCCCCCTCTCCATCTCCCTCTCCTTTCTCCTCTCTAGCCCCCTCTCCTTTCTCCTCTCTATCCCCCTCTCCTTTCTCCCTCTCCATCCCCCTCTCCTTTCTCCTCTCCATCCCCCTCTCCTTTCTCCCTCTCCATCCCCCTCTCCTTTCTTCATGGCTCTTTCCCTTTCCTGCCACAACTGAACTGAGTGCAGGTGATTTTCGCTGCCTGCTGGCTTTATTCAGCTTCAACTTCTTGACTTTAAAGGTGGATGCAGGAAATGTGTGTCTTGTGTCACACATGGAAATGTTGCTGAAATAAGTTACTCTTCACTGATGTGGCCTCGAGGGTTTTCTGCTGGGTTTCTGGACCTTGTAAGCAAAGCAGACCCTCACCCGACTGACCTCCTGGCTGTGACGATGTGTGTTTCTATCCCACACAGGGAGGGTGTTTATGGTCTGAAGTGAGGCCTCTCATTAACTCCTCAAGAGTCGATTGAAGCACAATTTATTAGAGCCCAGAAATCATGGCAATCCATTCCCACAAGCACACAGCACAGCTAAACCAGCTCCAAGGAGGGTCCGAGTGTCCACAACTGCACCCCAGGCCCATTGTGCCTGCCGCTGGAGAGCGTGGGGCCCCTTGGCCCCTAAAGGTTTGCTGAGAAGTCACTGACATGAGACAGATGGATTAATAGGAGAAACGGTATGCAAATTTATGTGATGTGTACATATAAGAACCTTTAGAACGAAGACCCAACGATGGGGGAAATTGTCCATTTTTATGTTTAGGTTTAATAACGTATGAACAGTCCTCTAAAAAAAGGATTGGACACAAAGGGCTTGATCTAATGTGAATAGACTGAGTGGGAACCCAGCAAGGTCTGTCTAGATTTGTCTTCGTCTCTGAGCATTTTCTTCTCTGGACGTGGGGCAGGGCCCTCTCTGGAATGACAGTCTCATGACCTACAGTCAAACAAGGGATGTTGGATCATTTCTCTCTAGTCAGCTCTTATATAGAAAGGTAGACGGAAAACTGAGTAATATTTTTAGGTTTTCTGACCAGCTTTGGGGAGAAGGGGTTCTGATTTCTGTGACCGGCCTTGGGGAAAAAGAGAGTCTGGTTTCTACAGCGCCTTCGGGGAGAATGAGACTGAGAGACAGGAGGGCAGGAGAAGGTCAGAGACAACTTTTGCTTCTGAGGCTGCTGCTGAGGACTTCATTTTGGGGCGTTGTTTTCTGAGCCCCAACAGAAGGAAGGAAGCCTCTCCCTCCAGGGGTCAGTCCTGGGCCTCAAGGGCACCCTCGAAGCAGGCAGCTCAGCTCACAGAGCTCCCCTCGGCCATGTCCTCCACCTGCCCTTCCTTGGTCCAGCACCTCACCTGCACACACCTGTCTGGAGAGTCCCCGAGGTTGGAGAGCTGCTGAGTCAGCTGGGCCGAGCACACAGCGCAATACTTCCTTGTGCCTCCTAACCAGGATGGGCGACACCAGCCCATTTTATGGATGGGACAAGAAGAAGCTGGGCTGACAAGCCCAACATAGTGGAGCCAGCAACAGGCTTTTACTCTCCTCTCTGTCTCTTTGTCTCTCTCCCCCACCGCACCTCCATCCGCTCCATTCTCCTCTCTGCACATCAGCTTCCCAGACAATATTCTTGGTTTCTGTGGCTCCCAAACTGAAGCTTCCCCACAGTGGCTGCAACTATCCAGACCTGGGGCCACACTTGGGCCTCCAGGCAGGGGATCTAGTGATCACATTCTGGTCATGTCATCAGGCCAACTTGGCTGAGCTCTGCCCTCCTTATCTCTCCTCTCCCCTCGAGCCCTCACCCTGGTTACCTGCACAAGTAAACTTGCCCCTAACTGACCCCCTTTTCTCCCTCCATGTCCCTCAATACAACACTAACTCTGGCAAAAAAGACCAGCCTGGCCAGGTGCGGTGGCTCACGCCTGTAATCCCAGCACTTTGGGAGGCCGAGGCGGGCAGATCACAAGGTCAGGACATCAAGACCATCCTGGCTAACACGGTGAAACCCCGTCTCTACTAAAAATACAAAAAATTAGCCAGGCATGGTGGCAGGCACCTGTAGTCCCAGCTACGCGCGAGGCTGAGGCAGGAGAATGGCGTGAACCCGGGAGGCGGTGCTTGCAGTGAGCCGAGATCGCGCCACTGCACTCCAGCGTGGGCGACAGCGAGACTCCGTCTCAAAAAAAAAAAAAAAAAAGACCAGCCTGAAGCAGAGATTGGGTCCCAGCCTGGCTCTGCCTGGCCCTCTGCTCCCGCTTCACCTCACAGACAGAACGCTGCCCTGTGGAGGGGTCCCCGGACCCTTTGGTGGGTGCCAAGCGGGTATGGAGGCCAAGGCCTGAGTGGTGAGAATAGTCCAGGGGCTAGCGCTGCGTGGGGAGGGCGAGCTCAGAGAGCAGGGGAGCCTGACCCTGCAGGTCAAGACTTCTGTCTGAGAGAAATGAAAAGCTGGGGATTTTAAGCAAAGGAATGCCTTGACCCAACCCTCACAACTTACATAATAATTAACTTAAAAGGAATCATAAGTTTAAACAGAAAATCTATATAAGAGGTTTACAGTTTAATTTAAAAACTATAATAGGTTTATAGTTTTTAAATTAAAATTTTAAATATAGTGGTTTATAAAACTTTGAGAAGAAAACATAAAATCCCTATGAATGCTGCAAAAGTCACTGTTGAGAGAATGAAAACACAAGACATACAGTTGGAGAAAATATTTGTGAATCTCATATCTGGCAAAGGAATTGTATCTAGAATACATAAAGAACTCTCAAAATCCAACAGTAAAAACACCAAATAATCCAGTTACAAACCGGGGAAGGACTTGAACAGATGCGTCACCAAGCAAGGGATATGGATGGGAAATAAGCTTCCATCAGCCACCAGGGAGATGCAAATTACAGCCACTAGGAAACGCTTTTCATTCATTCCGGGATGGCTGAAATGTAAGCACGGAAAATGCTGGGTGCCCGCAAGAACGCGGAGCAGCAGGCACTCATTCCCGATTAGCGGGAGCGCAAAGCGAAGGGGCGGCCTGTGGTGTTTTCCTGTAAAGTTGGGCACACGCTTCCCACATGACTCAGCAATTGCACTTCTGGGTATGTACCCGAGAGAAACAAAAGCTTATGTTCACACAAAAACCTACAACGCAAATGCACAAACAGCTCTATCCAACAACCATCCCACCCTGGAAGCAACCCAAACACGCTTCAGCGGCACAGGCGCCTCCACGCGGAACCCCACGCGGCGCTCAGCACGGACGAGGAGGGAGCCGCGCACGCGCGGTCGGCTCGGCGAGGAGCCGGTCTCCAAGTGCCGCCAGCTGCGGGATTTCCTCTGCAAAAGACAAACCACAGGGAGAGCTGCCGGGGCTGGGTCGGGGAGTGTGACTGTGAACGGAGTTCTGGGGGTGATGTAACTGTTCTGTATCCACAGTGTTGCTACATGAATCTATAAATGTGTTAAACTCATAGAACTGTACACCGAAAAATAGCAGTTTTGCTGAATGTTAATTCAGAAATGAAATTAAAATTTTAAATTAACAACAAGCAACTTTACAAGAGAAAAAAAAAAACCTCATTTCCTCCCCACAAAGCCACCTCATGAGCCTGGGTGGTGCCTAGCCAGTCCTGCTGCTGAACCTGCTCTGACCTGGCCTAAGGGTAGGACTCGAGGCTGGGAGCCAAGGGCCAACCACAGGACAGGCAGCAAGACCCGCTTCGCTGGTCTGTCACACACACCGCACCAAGTCTGTGCTCAGGATAAACCGGGGCACACTCTGAGCTGGGCCTGTCTCCGGCTTCAACCAAAAAGCCTGAGCTCTAGCAGGTGAAGGACCAGACGTTTCTGTGGGGCTATGGACTTGTCTGGGAGGCAGCCACCTCTAAGCCACCCAGGATGGTTTCGGTTGTGTTTGGATGGAGTTCTGAGTTTTGCCAGTTAAAATTCCCCCTTCAGGAGCTCTCTATGGGGTTAAAGTGCAAGATTTGGGGTAGAAAAATGACAAGTCAGAGGACTGGAAGGAACATTATGGACTGTCCTCCCTTCTGCCTGAAGAGATGGGGAGACTCTCCCAGGCCATGTGGAAGACCTCACAGGGGGACCAACTGCTGCCTTTCAGCCTGGCCGAGGGAAGAGCCCCTGACTCAGCCTCCGCAGGAGGAGGTGGGCTGGAACCAAGTTTCCCTGCATCAATCCAGGCAGGCAGCCCCGAACAGTGCACTCCAACATGGGATAGTGAGCCAGCTTGGGGGACGGCAGCTGTCTAAACAGGAGCGTGCAACCCCCATGCTGAGAGCTCCCCAGGGTCACGACTACCCAGAGTCAGAGCTGCCCAGGGTCACAGCTACTCGAGGTCAGAGCTGCCCCAGATCAGGGCTGCCCAAGGTCAGAGCTGTCCTGGGTCAGAGCTGCCCACGGTCAGAGCTGTCCTGGGCATCAGAGGCGCAGAGGTGGGAAGGGCTGGCTTCAGGTGGGAGTTATAGGTGGGAGTTATGCTACAAAGGGTCTTGAAGGCCAGTGTTGTTGACAGGGTAGGGTGCCTGGGTAATAGCAGAGGAAGAAAAAGGCTTAGAGTTGGAGGGAAAAACATGAACTGGAGTTGGGGGAGTGCACCTGCCCCCTCAGAGACCACAAAGCCTCCCCAGGGCTGGGCTGTGGCTGCTGGAGCTCCCAGCCCATGCCAAGTGTCAGAGCCCGGGCAAGACCCTCTGGGGTAGCCCGGGACCACCAGAGGTCAGAGCTGGAGGAGGCTCAGCTGGGGCCCTTGCACCAGGCAGGAGGCCCAGAAAAGAGACAGTGCTCTTGAACTGCAGGAAGGCAGCTCCGTAGAGAGGCAAATCTCACTCCAGCTCGGGCAATACTCAACTACACGGACGTGGATGCTCTCAAGGGGGCTTTGGGGCATGTGGTGTCGGCATTGGACCCAAATATGGGCTCAAAGCTTTCCTTTACCATATTCTTTCTACATTTTTCTTGCAGATTGAGAAGGGATAGGGAGGAGTTTAGGGAAGTGAGTGAAGCAGGAAGATGTTGACCAAGGGAAGTTAATTCCATAAAGAGGAGGATGAGGGGACAGAAAGGCAGGAGGAAGAGGAGGAGGAGAATCTTCGCACAGGGGGTGTCAGCTGATGGGGGCAGCATGGGCGCCCATGGAGCCCTTTAGGGGTCGTTGGTTGTGTGCAGAGAGGCCACAGCAGGCGAGGCAGGCAGTGTCTACCAGCCCCAAGGAGACACCAAGAATCCCTGTCCTTAGGAAGTCCCCTCTTCCTCCTCTTGAGTCTCATCTCGGAAAGAGGGAGCTGTCAGTCAGAGCTCAGGCCAAACACTGGGGCTAATAGGTGAGAGCAGGGACCTGTGGGGTCCTCACCGCTGTCCCCTTCTCACCTTTCTGGCTCAGGCCAGGCTCAGCCCCCAGTGGTCTATTGTCTTTCTATCTGTCATCTATCTACCTACCCACCTATGTAACCATGCCATCTATTTCATCTATTTTTATCTATCAACCATCTATCATATATCTACCTACCTACCTCTGCCCTTCTTTCTCTCTACAAATTAGAGGCCACATCCCTGGCCGCTGAAGCCTTGTACCCTGACCCACTGTCTGAACCTGATGGAGTCTAAATGCAGTGAGCGGGTGCCAGCCTTCCCTGGAGCTCTGCAGAGGCAAGGAGGGGGTGGATGGAAAGACGGGAGTCCCTCCCCTTAGGTGAGGGGGGGAACTAGGGCCCGGGGAGATGCCCAGGCCTGGCGGCTGGCGTACGTGGGTTCTCTGTGGCCAGCAGGCGGCGCTGCAGGAGGGGAGATGCCCAGGCCTGGCGGCCGGCGCACGCGGGTTCTCTGTGGCCAGCAGGCGGCGCTGCAGGAGAGGAGATGCCCAGGCCTGGCGGCCGGCACACGTGGGTTCTCTGTGGCCAGCAGGCGGCGCTGCAGGAGGGGAGATGCCCAGGCCTGGCGGCCGGCGCACGTGGGTTCTCTGTGGCCAGCAGGCGGCGCTGCAGGAGAGGAGATGCCCAGGCCTGGCGGCCGGCACACGTGGGTTCTCTGTGGCCAGCAGGCGGCGCTGCAGGAGAGGAGATGCCCAGGCCTGGCGGCCGGCGCACGTGGGTTCTCTGTGGCCAGCAGGCGGCGCTGCAGGAGAGGAGATGCCCAGGCCTGGCGGCCGGCACACGCGGGTTCTCTGTGGCCAGCAGGCGGCGCTGCAGGAGCGCTCAGAAGCAGGGGCCTGGGCCTGCTCCGGGGGAATCCGCCCACCCCACCGCGGCGGCCTCTCCTGAGGTTCCCTAGTGGCCGCGAAGGGTGGGCTCAGGGTGAGGGGTCAGGCCACATCAGTGGGTGCAGGGATGGCTGCGGCCACGGGAGGGCGTCCAGGGAGGAGGCCGGAGCTCAGGCCCACTCTGCACACCCAGCCCGCCACCTCCCCCGGCTCTCTCTTCCTTCGTGCACATTCTGGGGCTTGTGCTTCTGCTGTGGTCCCATTTAGCCAACCTGGCCAGCCTCTCATGCCTGCTTCATGGGTGAGACGTGGAGGCCAGGTCAGCCACAGACCCCGGGGCACACGCCGCAGCCAGCACAGCAGGTGGGCGTCTGCGGCCGGGGCCAGCGCAGGGCCCACTGGGCCTCGGAGGGGCCTCCCTGCCGACTCTGCCCCCGTCCTGTGGCCGTAAGTCCACCCAGAGCGCTCGATCTTCCGTCCACCAGGCCAGGGATGCGCGCAGAGTAAGGATGTGTGTGTCTACGCATGTGGGGGTGTGGGTGTGACGGGGTGTGTTCTGTGTGAGAACATGTGTGTAGTGTCCACATGTCCTCTGTGCGTGAGTCCCTGTGTGTGATGTTGTGTTCTGGGTGTGAGTTCATGGGTGTGACGGGGCGTGCTGTGTGAGAACATGTGTGTAGTGTCCACATGTCCTCTGTGCGTGAGTCCCTGTGTGTGATGTTGTGTTCTCGGTGTGAGTTCATGGGTGTGACGGGGCGTGTGCTGTGTGAGAACATGTGTGTAGTGTCCACATGTCCTCTGTGCGTGAGTCCCTGTGTGTGATGTTGTGTTCTCGGTGTGAGTTCATGGGTGTGACGGGGCGTGTGCTGTGTGAGAACATGTGTGTAGTGTCCACATGCCCTCTGTGCGTGAGTCCCTGTGTGTGATGCCTGTGTTCTCGGTGTGAGTTCATGTATGTGTGTGTGAGTTTATGCTCTTGTGTGTCAGCACATGGGTATGATGTGGGTATGTTCTCTCTGTGGGTGAAAACGTGTGTGATGTGGTTCTTTGTGAATCTCTGTGTGTGACGTGGTGTGTTCTCTGTGTGAGTCTGTGTGTCTGGTGAGTGTGTCTGGGTGTGTCTGGGTATGTGCGTGCTGTGTGTCTGTAGTATGTGTTCCTGTGTCTCTCTAAGCTGGTAGCTTCATCTCTTCCATGTTCTCTGACATTCAGAGGAATTTTCTCACAAATGTGTCCACAACATGGCTGTGTGCCATTTCTCCTGCTTTGGGGAGCACCAGTGTCTGCAGAGAGAAACGTCCCTGCTCCTGCCCCTGCATTCACGGCATGACCCTGTTTGCCCAGCTTCCCCCCATACACAGCCCCGGACACACCCTCCTGGGGGAATGTGGTGGGCTCCGCACTGACCGCAGGATCTGCCTCTCACCAGGGATTCATATCCACACGAAAGGGCCAGAGCAACAGCTGGCACATCCCCTTCCTTCCTCCACCGTTCCCACTTATTCTTCAACCAGCCCTAACCAGGCAGGGAGCCCAGGTCCCACGGAAAATCTCTATGAGAAAGTAAGACAGAGGGCAGACCTCCGCCGTGGTCCCTGGAGAACCAGTCGGCGCTGACACCAGGAGCAGGAACTTACTCTTTCCCAGAGGCAGGCAGGGACGGTCATCCTTGCCCAGAGGCCTCGCCTAGAGTGGGGTCCCAGCCCTGCAAGGGACCCCTAGGAAGGGAAAAGGAGCCACTTGTACATCCTTGCTTCCTACGGAGCCCTCACATGGAGCACATGGCCACTTCGGTCTGGGTCTCTCCGTGCTGCTCACTGTGCTGGTGGGGTGTGCTGCGGAGGTCTCTGGGGAGGTCCCAGGAGCGAGAATGGACCAGGCCCAGGGTAGAGGTGCAAGAGGGTCCTGCCCTTGGCTCCCTCCCCCGGCACAGGCCAGTCAAGGTGGAGAGGAGGCCCCAGCTTGTCCAGCTGGCAGAGGCTAGCCAGGGGGACTGACATGGTGTCACTCTAACCCTCATTTTTCTCAGCCCTTCCATTCCTTATGACTTCTTGCTAGGAGAACCCTGACACCATCCCTGCTGACACTGGAGATATTCCAGAGAGGCCGATCGTCATTGAAAGGGAATGCTCCGTGAACCCTCTGAGCCCTCTTTGACTTCAGAAGCAATAGTATCACAGCTCACAAATTCAGTAGAAAGTCCGAGTTGCATCAGTTTGGAAGTCATGCGGTCAGGCTTCCTGTACCCAGAGGGTGATTCAGCCGCAGAAAGCTCTGGGCTGCACCCCACCCACCCCTGGCCTTCAGGGCCCAGCCACATTGAGGCTGCAGGCGAGCCTGGCCCCCATGCCTGAGAGCCAGATTCCATTCCCTGGCAGCCTCACCTTGGATCGGACAGGGAGGGATCCTAGGACACCAGCCTCGTCTATCCTCCCTGGGACACCCTAGAACCTCACAGCCTGTGGGAAACACCAGGGCATGGAGGGTCAAGCCTACAAAATCCCCCAGTAGGTGATTAGGATAAGGTGAGCACTGGCCCTAGCTGACTCAGGCCAGCCCCCCAAGCAGCCAGACCACGTGAGAAGTGATGGCCACACAATGCTCTGGGTGTCTCAAGGAAAGTCCAAGAGCAGTGGCACTCCGGGCTGCATCCTTGGAGTAAGCACAGAGCAAGACCCCAGCATGCTTTGCAGACCCCGCCTTATGAGCCCTGCACCCCACTGCTCCGGGAGGGGTCAGCACCCCCATGCCAGGGCTGGTTTTCGGGGTGGGTGCCTGGACAATCTGAAGGACCTTTCGGCCACAAGGTGTTGAGAACTCTGCAGAGGATGCTGGGGATTAGCACAACAAGCTCTGCTCCTTCAGGCTGTGCGAGGCCTCATGAAAGCTCCTAAAAATCAGAGGAAGGGCCATGGCAGAGCCTGGGACAAGTGGGCAGCTCACAGAGGGGACTGGGTGCTTGCCATTAGCCCAGACTTCTCCCACTGCTCCTGCCTCAACTGCTACTGCCCGGAGTCTAAGCCCACTTTGTTGACAAGTACCCATTCTATAGAGAGCCTCGCCTAACTCCAGGTAGAGGCAGAAAAGTGTGTGTAGATCAAATGGCCCAGCTGGCAGCAGAGCCAAAAGTCATGCTTACTTGCTGGCCAGCCTTGCACAAGGCACCAAGGGTCACCTCTGCAGGCTTCAGATCCTGCCCTCTGTGAACAGTCAAAAAGAAGGTGTCAGAAGGAGCTAGAGGATGCAAGGGTGGCCAAGGGGCACAGAGGAGGGTCAGGTTACACTGGGAGGGAAGAGAGGCAGCCTTTGCATTCTCTAGGAGAAGCAGGGCGGGAGACTTTGGAGCCCAGCTCCCTGATGGGACATATGGGAACCTGCGGGGACAGGAGAGTGTCTTTGATAGGCGAGCCCAGTGCCTCTTACCTTCAGGAGGGCGCCTGAGCTGTGAAGTCTGCCCCTGTTGCTCAGAGATAGTTCCCTCCAGCAGGAAAACCTCTTTGAGGTGAGTTACGGCTTCTGGAGGCACAAGGATGGGCCGAGGTCACCAGGCCTTGCCTGTCCACCTTACCTACCCTGAAGTGCATGACCTTTCTTAGGGACAGAGCCTCTCTAGTTAATCTTAGAGCCTGGCCAGGAGCCCAGGATGGGGCAGCATGGGGCACAACACTTACTAGATGGTCAGGCGAGGGGAGCAACTGGGACCCTCCCCTCCAGTTCGAGCCATGTGTGTCATGTATGTGCATGTACATGTGTGTATGTAATGTGAAGTCAGATGTGTGTATGTGTGCATATGCAAGGACATGCTAATGTGTGTGTGCATGTACACGTGTGAATCTGTGCAAGCACATACAAGTGTGCATGGGCGTGGACATGTATGTGCATGCATGTGGAAGTAAGTGTACAGGTACAGTCTGAATCTGTGTGTGCACACACAAGTGTGCATGGGTGTGGGCATGTGTGTATGTGCATGCATGTGGAAGTGTGGAAGTGTACAGGTACAGTCTGAATCTGTGTGCACACATAAGTGTGCATGGGTGTGGGCATGTGTGTATGTGCATGCATGTGGACGTGTGTGAGTTGCCCTAGCACATGTTTGTACATATGCTTGTGTGCACCCATGCTAGGCTGCTCTCCCTCCTGGTTCTCTTTCAGGACAGGCCAAGTGAACCAGGGCGAGCTCTTCTCTCCCTCTGACGGCCCCTCCACAGGAGAGGGACCTGGGACCAAGGTTCCTTCAGCCATCAGACCCTAAGTCTCAGGGCACAGGGTCAGAAAGCTTCTAAGGACCCATGAAAATATAGAAACTGGGTGAAATTAACTCTTATTGGCCCGACATATGAAAAGAAAATTGCTTTTGAGCTTCCAGGAGATCTTCTCAGGTTTTGTTTTGGGGATTTCCTGGGAAGGGCATGTTTCCAAACAAGACTCTTGCCGTCTGCTCCCCCGGAGCTCCCCAACCAGCCAGGAGAGGCCACTGGCAGGGAAGAAGGTCCAGCCCAGCACAGACTCCCCAGGGAGGGCCCCAGCCCAGTGGAAGGACCATGGAAACCATGTCAGTCTCCCTCAGCGGCTGCCCTGGGTTGACATGTCCCCTTAGGGATCTCAGGCTCTCAACCCTCTAGTCAATTCTGAGCTGAGTTTTTCTGGAGCTTTATATTCAACTCTGACTTTGCTTCCCTTCACCTCTACTCCCCACCCTAGAAATAGAAACCTGAGGTCAGGAAGTGCTGAGGGTCCTTGGGTTTGGTGTCGGGGAAGACACCGTGCTGACTCGAACCCACTAGGCCTGGAGCCCAAAAGTCCCTTCTCTGTGACCTGCGACAAGCCTCTACAGCCACGTCTCCTTCCCTGTGGTAACCGAGTGACACCAATTGGCTCCCAGCCACCGCTGGGCCTCAGGCAGTTGCAGTGGCTTCGGCACTGGCTTTGCTGAGCCAGTGACAGCGACGGCACCTCCTGGATGTGAAATGTGCCAACACCCTGGCCTCGGGGACCGTACGGCGTGGTGTGAAATTTCTGTTTTAACGCTCCATGACCACATAGGTCTTGGCTTTTTATGAGTAAAGCAGAGACCGTGTTGTACCCAAGCTCTCTGGGTGGCACCCACAGCTTCCTCAGCGGGGTAACGGTGACGGGTGGACAACTGGCCCACAGGCAAACTGCACGTCCCCCACGGCGAGCATCTCTGAGCTGCACTGACCAGTTCAGGCCCATGCGTCACCGGCATTTTTCTGAGCCAGCTCCTCTGGTTCATGAGAAGGTCTGAATTCAAGAAATGAACGCCCAGCAATTAGCAATGTCCACAGAATCAAAGGAGCATGGTTTTAGTTGTCCTCCCAGGCAGCTTTGCCAGTCCGGGTATGAGGTAAAGCCAGAGGGACCCTGCCTCACCCACGCGCCCCAAGAGGGGTCCAAGGACCACCGACTGTCCCCACTTCCCTGGAACTGAGGATGAGGCTGATTCATGTGTTTCCTGTGACGGCCACGACATCATCATATCCGCTCGGAGAACTATTTTTAACTGATTTATGTATTTCTTGTATGAGGAAGACACCAACTTCTCCTTTAGTCAGTTTTACAGGAAAGTACTGCAGCTGTGCTCAGCTCAGCAATATTAATCGCCACAGAGCACCCTCCGAAGTCTTGCAAAAATTAATAAAGTTGGAAATATGAGTCAGGTTTGGATGCCACTCATTCTGAAAAAGAAGAAACTCAATAATAGTTACCTTCTCCTGTAGAATCAACGAGCCCAGTTTGCGAAAGAGCACCCTGTGTCTTTAAATTTCCGTGGCGTGCCCACAGAGGAAGGTGTTCCGACCTCTGCTGCCGCTGCAGCTCCGGGGCACTGACCACACAGAGCTGGTTTCTGCACTTGCATCGCTTGCCCGAGAGCTAGTCACCGCGGGCGTGGGCGAGGCTGCCAGGGGCCACCTGCCTGCCAGAGCCAGGGTGCCTATCTTTAAGGCCAGGGGCTCCTGAGGACACAGACACTTCCCTCCTCTTTCAGACAAGGACAAGCTCAGGGACATGGGTGGTTTGGGCTCAGGCTGACCGGGAAAGACACGTAGAAAGTTTGGTGTGCGCTCTGGGTTGTGGGGGCCCGGCGGGAGGGTGGGCTTCAGGATCCCGTCCCAGGACGCGTTCATTCAGCGGCACTCACACCCCCAGCACCTGCTCCCGGCGGGTGCCGAGGCTTCTTTCACTCTTCTTAGCATCTCCCCATCACTCACTTGACTCCAACCAACAGCCACTTATGTACCAGCTACGCGCCAGGTTGCTGAACAGCTCTGAGCAATTAAAGGGCAGCCAGGAGCAGCTGGGAGAGGAGGGGCTGGAGGAGGAAGAGGGGTCCAGGACCCAGGGGCTCACGGGGCATCCCGAAGTCTTTGTGGAGACCTAGGGTTGGGGCTGCAGCAGGGGGTCGGGGGGCAGCCAGAGATCCCGGTAGACCCGGGAGGGGCCTGATCAAGGAGAAGGAGGGGCCACAGAGCCAGGGTCAGGACAGACTGTGAGGGGGCCTCTTGTTGGGACAGCGTCCCCTCGGAGCAAGAGCCCGGGGCGTGTGGCCGCCTCACTGTGACCTCCGGCCGTGCAGGCCTCTGGGGAGGGTGGAGATGTTTTCCCCTTCTCAGAGCACGCAGGTGTTACCTGCCCACAGAGTAGGAAGTGGGGTGCTGTCACCTGCACCGCACAGGTGAGGAAGCTGAAAACCCAAGACCCAAGCCATTTGGTCTCACTCTGGCTGAATCACCTGGAGGCTTTGGGAAACAGATTTTCTTCCCCCTTCCAGCCTTACCGCCACCCTCCTCTCTTCTAGAAGAGGCAAGAAGAAGCGGGGGTGGGGGTGCAGGCCGAATTGCCTGGAGGTTAGGGGGACCCTCAGCACCTGAGTCAGGGCTCTGTGAGACCCCCTGGTTCTTCGCTCACTGTGGGCTGAGACGCAAGCTGAGTCGTCCACAGGAAGATACCCTCTTACTCTGAACAACCACTCTTTCAAAGAGGACACTGAGGCTCAGAGAGGCTCCCCAAAGCAATGGCCAGCCACCATGGGCAGGACGTGGACTCCGGCCCAGGAAGCCTGGCTCCAGAATCATGCTCCAGGCCTCTAAGCTGTAATTTGTGTCCTCCAGGGCTCACAATATCTAAGATTTAATGTGGAAAAATGGTGCTATTCTGTCTCACCCCATGCCCCAAAATGAACTTAAAGGCAAAAAAAAAAAAAAAAAAAAAGAATAATTATAAAGTTTGGAAGAAAATACAAGAGCATTTTGGTATAAAAATGCAAAATCCAAAGCCTTAAAGGAAACCATTTGACTACTTAAAATTTAAAAACTTTTATGTGATGAAAAGAACAACCTTAAAAAGGTAAAATAATAAGCAGCAGACTGGGAACGAATATCTGCAATGTAAACACAAAGTACTGATATTCATCATATATAAAGAACTCCCACAAATCAACAAGAAAAAAGCAAATGACTAGCTAGAAAAGTGGTAAAGGGTAAAAACAGAAACATAGTCAAATAAACTAATGAATATCACAAAATATCCAACCTCCCTATTAATCATAGAAATAAGAAATTGAAAAATATTTTATGACTAAATCTAGTGTTGCTCCAGTGAGGAAGGGATCCACTGACATGCCGTATGCAGGGGTGTGAATGGGAACAGGCTTTTGAGAGGTGATTTGGAGTCTCTATCACAAGTTTAAATGCACCTGCCCTGAGACGCCCATCCCTGGGAAGAGATGTCCGTGCAGATGTCTAAGGCACACGTCTGGAAACGGTGAAGACCTGAGAAGAACAATCCTTAAGGGTCCCAGCCCCTGAGTGTTCACCTTCCAGGGAAACCAGTCCTCATGGAGAACTCAGAGCCCTGGTGGGGTGGTTGCTGTGGTCTAGGGCCTTTGTCAAGGTTCATCCCAGGCTGGGCTTTTGGAGGGCAGGGAGGCCGCTAGTATCTGGGTGGCTGCCTGAGCCTGCAGATCCCACACCCAGCTGCCCCGAGGAGCTACTGTCCACCTGGTGGAGACTCAGGCTGGGCCCAACTCAGAACTAGGAGCAAGGGAGTGAAGCAGGGATGGGGTCCTGCAGAGGGGCGGTAGGGTCTGGCCCTCCTGGTCTGGGGGCCTCCCCGGGCGGGACAGTCCCTGTGTCCCACCCCAACCGCCTGCTGCTTTTTCTGGACCACCCCCCACCCCGTCCCCCGTTCCCCTCCAGGCTGGGCTTCCCACTGTCTTCCCACTGACTCAGCATCCGTCCTTCCCGTGGGGGCAGCAGCATCACTGCCTTCTCACGTGGAATCCCAGGGAGCTGCAGCCTCCACCCTGCCTTCTGGAGAGTTCTGTCTCTAATTTTATACGCCCTATCAGCCTGTTATTCGATCCAGATGCCTGTGAAATTTGCAGCGGGATCGTTCTGTGACGGGCGGTGGGCAGCCCAGGCAGGGCTGCCGTTTCGTGCATCAGCCCAGAGGTCTGAGAAGGGTGTGGCTCCTTCCCTGGGAAACAACATGGGACTAGTTCCAGAGCCAACACCCATCACTTTGCAACCCCCTGGGTAAGTGTGCGTGGGGGGGGGGGGGTGCTGAGCTGCAGCGGGGGGCAGAGGGCTCAGGCTGGACCACCCCTGCACCTTCCACAGTGAGGCCATCCCCTCCTGAGCCTCTGGCTCCTGGCCTATCCTCGCTCCCTCACCCAAGCCCCATGAGGATTCAGTAGCTTGAGAAGGACCCTCTGCTCACCAGAGGTCACAGTGACTGTGAGAACACCCTCCTGTCCTCTTCCCCCCATTCCTTCCTGGACCTTGGGACACTTCTGGGAGGCAGCGCCCTCTCCCAACAGAGTCTTCTCCACAGGGCAGCCACGGGGACTTTGAGGATACCAGGTCCTCACCCAGGCCCCCGTCTCAGAGTCAAAGCCGTAACTCCCATAGCACAGTGGCCTTCGAGATGCCCTCTTGTCACCCGCCAAGGGGTGCCGGCACTGAGTGCGAGGATTTGACTTCCCACAAGAGGAAAGCAGGTTCTTTCCCAGGGGCCATGCCAGGCCCCAGCACCTCTGCTGACCTGGCTCAGTGCGTCGGGGAAAAGGGGTGCCCAGCCTCCTCTGTGTCTCCAAGTCAGGGGCATCCCAAGGCACCTCACTTGGGTGCTCTCAGAAAAGACAGCCCTGAATCTCAGAGCCACCAAAGGCAGGCAGGATTCGAGCCTGGCCTCAAGCATGACTCTGGAACGTAAAGAGGAAAAGACGATTTAGGTTAACGTGGGACACAGCCGGTTTCCCGCCCAAACCAAGGTCCAGGGGGACTTCTCATCCCCAGCAGGGGGTGTGTCTACAAAGAACAACCACAAACTGGGGTCATTTCCAAAAGAAACACTCCCGGCTTCCTCCAGGGGCAGAGACCGAGGGGTCTGGGGGAGGAGGCTGGGGTGGGCAGAGGCCCGAGGTAGGGAGGTCCAGGGGCACATCCCAGGTCTGGCAGCATGGGCCGGGCCCTGCTGGGAGGGGGCTGAGGACCCCAGAGCCTAGGCCTGTCCTAAGCCTGTCCTTAGCCGGAGAGCCTCGGCCCTGTGCTGGCAGCAGGGTCTTCACTCCTTGCCAGCTCCACATAGGCAGTCAGGCTCAGGCCAGCCCCCAGCCAACAGCGGCTCCCAACACGCCCTGCCCTGTGGGAGATGCCAAGCTGGCATCCCTCTCGGGCCAGGCCAGGCCTCCTGGTGGTGTGGCCAGCGCTGGCACACAGTCCTGAATTCCTTCAAAGAACAACAAACTGAAAATCCAGCTGAGTTCAAATTTGCCCAAATTCCCACTTGAAGTTTCCCTGTCCCAGAGGGTGGTACCCGCCCCACCCCGGTGGGATGTGGTGAAGGCAGTGGCTCCTCCCGGCCATGAGGCATAAACAAATACCGCCTGGGCCACAGGGGCTTGGCCGGAGCCCTTGACTCAGCCCCACCCAGGCCCCCTCCTGCACCTCGACCGGCTCCTGGGGCTCCATGACCCACAAGCCAGCAAGTTTCTCAGCTGCCCTGACACAGCCTAAGACGGGTCTCAAGTCCCTGTCGTGCCCGTCCCAGGAAACCGGTCTTCACCTAGTCAGTCCCAGAGACCTTGCTCCTCACGCCCAAGGTGAGCAGCCCCGTGTGATTCTCAATCTTTCAGGGTTGACCCTGACCTAACCCACATCTCCACCTCAAGTCTCCCACTCCAGTCTGAGAAACCCTCCCCGCTCCAGCCCCTAAGCCCAGCCCAGCCCAGCCCCGCAGGGCCTCCTGACTCACCCAGATCTGTCCCCACAAGAGGCCTCCTCACTCCTCAGTGGGAGACTCCGTGGCGTGCAGGCTCCAGGGGCTCTGTGGTCCCGGAAGCGAAGGTGGGGCTGGAGGAGGAAGCGAAGCGGATGTCACCTTCCTTGAGGGATTCTGGAGCCGCTTCAGTGGACATCTTTGCCCTCTGACCTGAGCCTCTGATTGGGTCATGGGTGGCCAGCAGCACAGCTGAGCCTGTGTCCTGTGCAGCCCCAGCCCCTCCAGCGGGATCACTGGCCCGTTGGGGATGACAGAGAGACACTCCCCGTCCTCTGGAGCAGGGGTCCCCAGGCTGTGGTCTGTTAGGAACCGGCCGCGCGGCAGGAGGTGAGCGGTGGACCGGCCTGACCCTGAGCTCCGCCTCCTCTCGGATCAGCGGCGGCATTCACTTCTCACAGGAGCGTGACCCCTATTGTGAACTGCACGCAAGGGATCTAGGTTGTCCGCTCCTTATGAGAATCTAATGCCTGATGATCTGAGAGGGAAACCATCCCTTCTTCTCTCCAACACCCACAGAATAAGTGTCTTCCACAAAACCTGTCCCTGGTGTCAAAAGGGTTGGGGACCACTGCTCTGGTGGGAAGGTGCCAGGCCCCTCAGCCCCTTCCAGGAGACTGAGAAAGGGTTCAGGAAACCTGGGGGGCCGGCTGGTTCACCACCCTCCCCCCACCCTTGGCTCACCCAAGTCAGGGGCTCCACCCCAGCAGGCAGAGCTGACAACTCACAGGGGTGTCTGGGGAGGGCAATGTCCACTGCCATCTGCCAGGTCACGGGGGGATGCTGGAGGTCTGCTCTACCTCAGTTCCCCTGGCGTGGGTGCCTGGGGCTTCAGATTCACCCTTGTGTGGAGGTGGGGAGGCAGGATTGGGGAGGACCCTGAGTCTCCCAGGCAGGCAGCCTG
The DNA here is from genome assembly GCF_000001405.40 of Homo sapiens. Classification (NCBI taxonomy): domain Eukaryota; kingdom Metazoa; phylum Chordata; class Mammalia; order Primates; family Hominidae; genus Homo; species Homo sapiens. The sequence continues at coordinate 83,194,295 of NC_000017.11, read as the reverse complement.
GCACCGGGTGGGGGACTGTGATCCAGCAAACCTGCTCATTCTTGTGGGCGGCTAACGGCTTTTATTTCAGGACACCCACATGTGTTAAAACAGGAAATAAAGTATACGAGAAACAGCACCCCCACACACTCCCGGGTAAGGAGGCTTTTCCTCAGTCCTCCACTCACACCCACACAGCCCCAGGAGGGACCCCTAGGCACAGCCCACACCTCCACATCCCATCCAACCCCCACGTTCCTGGGCTGCTCTTTCTCTGAAGCATTTTAACACACAGGCGTGAGTGCACATACACACACACGTTTACCAACCATGCTTGGTCCCTGTAGCGTCTCCTTCCACCTGGGGCAGGTGACATAAGGGGTCAGGTGCCCGCTGACTCAGGACTTGTGGTTCCTGGAACTCTCAAACTGTGGCTGCATGAGTCCCACCCTGAGGGCTGATGGGGTGGACCCACAGAGTGCTGGACCTGCCCCAAACCTCAGAGCATGTCGGGCTGAATGTCCAGACACCGAGGAGCTTCGGGCAAGGTCAGGGGCCAGGCATCGTGACAGTGTCCCCAGGCAGCTGACCAGGAGAGGACAAGGCAGCTGAGAGGGCCAGGGGAGGGGGTGTGGGAATGCAGGGCTAGTGTCAGCAGGCCCAGCTGGGTGTGTGTCTCCTGGGAATCTGCTACAGGGGCCCTAGCACTGCGCTGTGCTCCCCGGGGGACCCCCACCCACCCAGGCCAGGGCCAGGGTGGTGGCTCCGTGTAGTGGCCAGTGCTGTTCAGGGTCTGGGGGCTGGTACAGGGGAGGAGCTGGGACAGGGGAGGGGCTTTGTACAGGGGAGGAGCTGGTACAGGGGAGGGGCTGGCACAGGGGAGGAGCTGGTACAGGGGAGGAGCTGGTACAGGGGAGGAGCTGGGACAGGGGAGGGGCTTTGCACAGGGGAGGGGCTGGTACAGGGGAGGGGCTGGCACAGGGGAGGAGCTGGTACAGGGGAGGAGCTGGGACAGGGGAGGGGCTTTGCACAGGGGAGGAGCTGGTACAGGGGAGGAGCTGGGACAGGGGAGGGGCTTTGCACAGGGGAGGAGCTGGTACAGGGGAGGGGCTGGTACAGGGGAGGAGCTGGTACTGGGGAGGGGCTTGGTACAGGGGAGGGGCTGGTACGGGGAGGGGCTTTGCACAGGGGAGGAGCTGGTACAGGGGAGGGGCTGGTACAGGGGAGGGGCTGGTACAGGGGAGGAGCTGGTACAGGGGAGGAGCTGGTACAGGGGAGGAGCTGGTACAGGGGAGGGGCTTTGCACAGGGGAGGAGGTGGTACAGGGGAGGGGCTGGTACAGGGGAGGGGCTGGTACAGGGGAGGAGCTGGTACAGGGGAGGAGCTGGTACAGGGGAGGGGCTTGGTACAGGGGAGGGGCTGGTACAGGGGAGGGGCTGGTACAGGGGAGGAGCTGGTACAGGGGAGGGGCCGGCACAGGGGAGGAGCTGGCACAGGGGAGGGGCTGGTACAGGGGAGGAGCTGGTACAGGGGAGGGGCTTGGTACAGGGGAGGGGCTGGCACAGGGGAGGAGCTGGTACAGGGGAGGGGCTGGCACAGGGGAGGGTCAGTTCTGAGTGATTCTGACCAGGACTTGCGTGTGGAGGGTTTGACCCCCCCAGGTTAGGACCCCAAGTTTTGCCCACGGGTCCCCCACCCCATATGCACATGGGCTGAGGTCGGAGGGCTGCCTGCCCAACGGCCTGCAATGGCTAGTGGGGTCTGTTCCACTCTTGAGCCAAGTGCTGAGGATCTGCCTAGTGGGAGAGCCTGGTGGGGAACATCCTGTCTCTGGTAAATCCACTCGGGGCTGGGTGTGACTGTATAATCGAGGTTGGTCATGAATGTTTGGAGGTTTATGTCACTGTGCTCCGTGGTTGGTCACGAATGTTCGGAGGGTTATGTCACTGTGGCTCCGTGGAACTGGCACCAAGCTCATCTCGCCTCCTCTTCTGTTGAAGAAATGATGCCCCTTTCTGGGGTCACGTTCTTAGAGTGGGCAGGGGTGGCTGCCCCTCTGACCAAAGCTCCCGTAAGCCTGGAACCTGTCCCAGAGGAGGCCTGGTCTCTCCCTGGTGCTGCAAAGTGCCAGTGTGGGGCAGGCTGGGGTCCCCCTGGCCCTGGGGGAGAGGGGGCTCCTTCTTGGCCTGGGTCCCTTGGGGTCAGAAGAGGTGGCCCCTGCCTCTACTGAGGGACTCCCCATCAGTACCCCCTAACCTGGTCAGAGGGAGCGTACTTAGGTCTCCTGTTCCACTTTCCAATTTGAACACCTATAAACCCTTTGGCCTCAGCCTCTTTCCACCAAGAGCCAGCAACAGCTGTCCTCAGGGCCTGCCTTTGGTCAGGCCACCCTGAACAAACTTCACTCAGCCACTAATGGCCTGCCGTGGCTGTGGGATTCCGCTCCTGGCCAGGACCTTGGACGGAAGCCACTGCCAACCACCCAGGTCACACTCACCACCCACCTGGCCACGCAGGATTGCCCCCTCCTCTCAGAGCCCTCGGGGCAGCCCCAGCCGGGCGTCTAGCATTTGATGATGTCCCTGACCCCATGTCCCCACCAAGCCTCCCTCTGAGGGTCCCTAAGAGAAAGCATGCTTTACGGAGACCTTGTCAAGGAGGGCTGGAGTCAGGAGGAAAGGCCTTCCCCTCAAACCAGAAACTCACCCTAGAGCCTGAAGGGCCTTAAAAACAAACAAGAAAAATGACTTTAGTTTTGCTTTGCGTTCCACAAAGAGGCAGTTATGGCACCAGAAAAGTGAAGATGTCTCTCTCCCAGAATTAAGGTTGACTCTGAAGTTTATTACATCCTAAAGGTGTCACTAAAGCCACATGGCCATTTTGCAATCCATCCAAATGATCCCCTCACCCACGGGTACCTTCAGAAGGTCCTCACACCAGGTGCCACCGTGTGGGTCTGTGGCCTCCACACCCTCTTCCCTCACACCAGATGCCACCGTGTGGGTCTGTGGCCTCCACACCCTCTTCCCCTCACACCAGGTGCCACCGTGTGGGTCTGTGGCCTCCACACCCTCTTCCCCTCACACCAGGTACCACCGTGTGGGTCTGTGGCCCCCACACCCTCTTTCCCTCACACCAGGTACCACCGTGTGGGTCTGTGGCCTCCACACCCTCTTCCCCTCACACCAGGTGCCACTGTGTCAGTCTATGGCCTGCAAACCAAGGCCCTCACAAACCAAGGGACCCACGTGGAGAGGGTCACTGTGCACGTGATATGGCCCCTCTTTGGAAGGGCTGTAGTCACCGTGAGGGGCTAAGGTTTGCTCTTGGGGCTCTGATTTTTATTTAACTGTGCACTGGGCACCGTTTTAGGGCTTAAGACACTTCCACAAGAAACAGGCTCCTGCCCTGAAGGGCGCCTCCGGTTGGGGGGCCGACGGCGATGCCATCTGCTGTAAAGAACCCTTTATGGTGGGGCGTGGGTGACGAGGCTGAGCCCAGCACTGGATGGGAGCAGCTGAGCCAGGAAGTGGCACTCAGCAGGAACTGGGGGGCTTGGTGGGAAGGGGACAGGCAGGAGGCCAGGAAAGAGCATTCCAGGTTCGAAGCCCTAGTGAGGGTGGAGCCCACCGGGAGAGGAGCAGCACGGAGGCGGTGTCAGGGGAGGCTGGTGGGAGGGAGGCACAGGGTCCAGAAGGTCCCTTGCGACCAGAAGGGGCACCCCCAAACTCCTGAGATCCATGTGTCCACCATCCCAAGGGAAACAGGCCTCCAAGCTGGCCTCAGCTTGATTGAAAAAACAAAGCAAATGAAATAAAACAAAACACTACGTGTCTCGCCCACTGGAGAGATGGAATGAGACTCATGGTGGGTGGAAGAGTTTGCTTTCAGTTGTGCTTTGGGAAGTCAGGAGAGAAAGGAGACAGCCCCACCCCAGAGGCTCATGGAAGGCCAGGTGGACAGAAGGACAAAGGAAGGCACAGGGCACCTGGCCCCAAGAGGTTTGGGTTTATCAAGATAACAGACGTCTACACAGCTCGCCCCAGGACATGGCGGAGGGAACAGAGCTATCCCCTCAAATGCCTGTGTTCCTTGGTTGTCATGACTTAACTCCACGGAGAGCTGAACCATACAGACTGATCAGAAGCTGGGCCCCAGCGACGTGGCCAGGGCCGAGGCTCAGCCTGTCGGTGTGAAGTGTTCATCACCAGCACTTTACAGACCGTGCAATGGCAGCTTTCACGGGCGGTGAGCACAGCAATCCCGACCTTATTTTCCACAAGCACCAACAGATGTTTAAAACTGGGGAGAAATTTCAAGGACTGGAACATTTCTCAGGCAGGGCCCCTGGAGCAGCTCCAGGGAGCTGCACGCCCGTGGCCTGGTGGTGTTGTCCTAAGTGCGCCCTTCACACATCAGGAATGTCAAACAGAGCTGACCTCAGCACCGCCGAGAGCCCCACTCCAAACACAGCCGTCTCCAGCAGCAGGCAGGCTCCGGGGTGTTTGTCTAATTTAAAACAAACTAGTTGGGCGGTATATTATTTCTCCAACCAAACAGGATTGAAAGCCGCATGTGCGAGGCATGACTATTGCTTCCTGCTGAAGTCCAGGCATCCCTCAAGCCTGCTCAGCACATTTAGCAAAAAGGAGATGATTGTTTCCCATCTCACTGAGAAAATAGAAGCAATCAGAAAAGAATGTCCACGTGCTCCGACCACACCATCTTCCCACCCAACTGTGCCTGGCCAGCCAGACCCACCGCCGTCCCCCACTCCAGGCTGGCCAGGAGCTCTGGTTGCCCCCTCAGTGGGGCCACCCTCAACAACAGTCATGCTGTCCCCTCTCCTGCCGGCCAGGGCCCCCCAGCTGCTGGCTGTCTCTCTGCTCTTTTTCAAGATGCCCCTCTAAGAACACAGTCTTCCTTCTCCACTTCCTCTCTTCCTGGTCTTTCCTGAGTCCTCGCTAAGCTAGATTTTACCTCCCCTATTCCACTAAACGTGCTTTTGCCGATGTTACCGGCAAAGGCTAACCCTGGCATCAGTTCTCAGCCCTCATCTTGGCTGATCGACAACACCCAACAGGAGCAGTAGAAAGCGTGTTCTTCCTGCGACTTCCGGAATGCCCGTCTCCTGCTCTTTTGATGTTCATGCCTGTATTTGCTTCCTATTGCTGCTACGGCCGATGACCACAGACTTAGTGGCTTAAAGCAACACACACTTATCATCTTATGGTTTTGGAAATCAGAAGTCCCACATGGGTTTCACTGGACTAAACCAAGGCGTCAGCAAGAGTCTCTTCTTTCTGGAGGCTCTGGGGAGAATTCACTTCCGTGCCTCTTCCAGCTTCTAGAGGTTACCTATCTTCCATGCCTCTGGGTTCCTCCCTCCACCTCTAAAGCAAACTCATCACTCTGACTTTTGCTTCCGTAGTTACATCTTCTCTGATGCTAACAGTGTTGCTTCCTTCTTGTGAGGACTTTCATGATTGCACTGGCCACCTGGTTAATCCAGGATAATCCCCCACCTCAAGACCCTTAATTTAATCACACCTGCAAACTCCCTCTTGACATATAAGGTAGTGGGGAGTGAGATGTGGACATCTTTGGGGGCCATTATCCTGCTGACTACAGTTGGCCCCTGGCTTCCAAAGACTCACAAGGATGCCACTCCACCCCAGCATCTGTGAACATCTACCTCATTACAGCATTAAGTCAAAGTCCAGAAATCTCATCTAAATTTACTTAGTTCAAGTGTCCCAAATTTCATAATGTAAATTAGGGTTGGGTTAGGGTATAATCCATCCAGATGCATAATTCTGCTCCACCTGTAAACCTGCAAAACTCAAGAAACAAATGATCTGCTGTCAGACCCAACATTAGGACAGGCATCAGTTGACAGTTATAGACATTCTCATTCAAAAAGGGAGAAAATGGAAGGAAAAAAGGAGTCCTCAGTCCCAAGCACTTTGAAAAACCAGCTAAGCAAACATTAGATTTCAAGGCCTGAGAAAATAATCCTCTGTGGGTCCCAGGTCCAACATCTGGGCTCATGGCTCCACCCTTGGAGTCATCCTTCCTTTTTCATGAAAGGTAGCACATGTTTGCCACTGAGTGGTTTTATCAGCCTGCTTCCTTCCTGCAGAATTTTGGAGAGTCCAACAGTGCTCTTTCATCTTTCATTTCATACTTTCTCTGTTCCCTTCAGTCCAAGTTGGCAGTGTTTCTGCTGATATAACATTCTCAAGAACTTTGTGGTCTCCTGTGTATGTCACACACAGGATTCACTCTATTTCACAAGAAGGTCCTCCCTAGGCCTTTCACATAGTCCTATCTCTGTCTTCTGCTGAGATGACTGAGGGGCTCCTGAGTCATTCATCTGAAGTCTTCAAAGGCTCCTCTGTGTGACTGAACACACTGACTTTTGATAGTCTCAAGGGACTGGTAGAATGTTGTCCAGCCACTGTGTTGGCTTTCTTTTCAGAGCACAGATTCATGGCACATATGCACACATACATACTGCACACACATACATACTATATACAATACAGTGGGTATACATATAGACACACTACAGCACATGCACACACACACACATTCTGCACACAATACTGCATGCATGCACATACGGCACAGCACATACATGCACACATGCTGCAGCACACACAATACTGCACACAGAGCATACAATCCTGCAAGTACACCATACACAGTATGCACACATACCACATAAACCTTATGGATACCCTGTGTATACACCAGATATGTTAAACATGCCTTGTGCACACACAGAATGCATGCAAACATATGTGCTCTGTACTCATAGAGAAACACATCCACACACACACCATACAACATGTGCACACCCACAGGAGTGATAGAGAAGCTATAATATAAACATGCAACTGTGCTCTAAGATCTTGCCTGATCATATCAGAGAAGCTACCAAGGCAGGGTTGAGAAGTGGGAGCAATGACAGGAAAGCAGACAGCAGAAATTGAAGGACCCAAAGCCAGACACAACCAGGACCAGGTGCTCCCCAGCAGTCTGGAGCATGAGCAGCATGGTGCCCAAGGTCTGGACATGGCTGTGTGGCCACATCTCACTGTATCGCCCCAGCAATGACCACATGTCCCCCACCAAGGAGGACACTTGTCCTGGGGCTGGGATGGTGACTCTGCTGAGCCCAGGGAACAGGAGCAGGCAAATTGGGGTGGGGGGTGGGGGGGTCCCAGGGTTCCTGCAGGCACTACCTCAAAGGTTACAGGAAGAGGGAGAACCAGACCAGAGAGGCCCTGCTGCACCCTTCAGGAGCAGATTGCCAGGAACATCAGGGATTCACCTGGCCCTGAGCTCAAGTCGCAGCACCTTGTGACTTCAAGCAGACTTTGTAACCCTTAAGTCTCAGCATCTTCATCCATTAAAGGGAGTTGGGGAGGCCCACCCCAGAGAGCTGCTGTGAGGACAAAATGAGGGTCTGGAAGAGTAGGCCACTGACAGATGCCCCTTCTCTTCACCCGTGTATGGTGTACTTGCAGGATTGTATGCTCTGTGTGCAGTATTGTGTGTGCTGCAGCATGTGTGCATGTATGTGCTGTGCCGTATGTGCATGCATGCAGTATTGTGTGCAGAATGTGTGTGTGTGTGCATGTGCTGTAGTGTGTCTATATGTATACCCACTGTATTGTATATAGTATGTATGTGTGTGCAGTATGTATGTGTGCATATGTGCATGAATCTGTCCCCAAACTACTCTCCTTTTTCTTCTATGGGAAAGGAACAGGAACAATGGACCAGTCATACAGCATCTCAGGGGCCCTAGCCCCCTGCTTGTTCCTCTGGGCTCTCCAGCCCAGCAAGGCCCCAGTCCTCCCTGTTGTGGGTCCCTCACGAGCTGCCAGAGGGGGCGTGGCCCCTCACGAGCTGCCAGAGGGGGCGTGGTCCCACAGCACTCTAGCCTCTGCCTCTGTGGACACATGGCCTCCTCCTCTTCTGTCTTCTAAGAATACTTATCAGTGGACTAGAGCCCACCCAGATAGACAAGAATGGTCTCCCCAACTCAATACCCTTCACTTAATTAAATCTGCAAAGACCCCTTTTCCAAATAAGGTCACAGTCCCAGGTTCTGGGAATTAGGATGTGGACATATATCTTTGAGGGTTACCCTCAGCCCACTACAGATGTTGTGTTAGGTGTTCCATATGGAAGCGTCCAGCACAAAGCAAAGATGCAAGAAGACGGCTGCAGGTGTTGCAACAGATGTGGTGGGGTTGTTTCCAGAACCTGCAAGCTCCACAGAGCAGGGACCTTCTCACCTGTGCCACCACCAAATTCCTAGCTAATTAGACTGGGGTGGCCAGAAGGATGCTTCTTGGGTCTCAGGGAGTTAAATCTAGCTCCCTTCAACTGGGGTACACAGGCCCCAGCCTTCACCTGGTCCTCTGCTCCCACCCACCTGCCCAGCATCCTCTTGTCAGATAGTGCTAGCCATGGCCCCCTTGAGGCATGGGCTGTGCAAGGTGGGGCCATGGCTGGCACTCAGTATGGGAGCAATGTCAGGTTTGGTGTCCCTGTTCCTCCACCCATCCAGAGGGAAGATGAAGGCCCGGGAAGTGGTGCCTCTCAGTGTCTCTTACAAAGCTGGCTCTTCCCAGACAGTCACCTGTTAATCTTTAGTGCTTCTCAGTGTATAGAGTTGGCTGGAAATGCCCCTCCGCCTCCCACTCATCTTCTACCCTGGCATCAAAGCTGCAGCTCCAGGGACACCGAGGAGAGGCCAGCTGGCCACAGTGTGTCAGGGCAGCCGAGCTGGCCCGCCATGCACTGTGTCCTTTCCACTGCACCACATCATCTCTGCAAAGCCAAGGGCTTCAGGAGCAGAGGGACAGGGCAACTCCTGGTGTTAACTTTGCCTCCATCCTTGAGCCATTCCTGTGGCAGGTGGCATTGTACACTCACAGTCCTTCCTTCCCTCCCAGTCCCAGCACCATGGATTGGAAATGGGACTTGCTGTGACCACTGAAGTGTGGAAGGGGACAGTGGGGGCAGTTCTGAGTACAGGTAAGTATGTGCTTCCACTTGCCCTCCTGCACGCCTGGCCTGGGAAGTGCCCCGGGGGGACCTTCTGCCTCTTCCATCAGGTCTCAAAATGAGAGCCAAGCCACACACCTGAGAGGCACCTGCAGCCTGAAGTAGATGCTGCGGCCACTACACCGACATAGGCATGAGAGACAAACAGCTTCTTCTAAACCACTGGGATTGGTGGGGCCATTTGTTACACAGCATTATTATAGCAATAGCTGACCAATAGAGAATTTGGTGTCAAAAGTAGGTGCTGCCATAATAAAACCTAAAGTATTAATATGTGGCACTGGCTGATAGACTGGGTGGTGAATAAACTACTTTAGAAAGTCGGGGAATGGCAACTTGTGACATGTAATGGTAAAAAAAAAATCACTAACATGGGCTCCTGTAATAACTTAGAAAGCAGGAAACATACCCAATGTAATCCTGGCATTGGGTGAAAAGCTTTCCAAGCAAAATGTCTCTAGAGTGAATAATCATTGCTACTGCATTTGATAAAGTACCTCAAGAAAAAGATAAGCTCAGAAAGGAAAGCCAAGCTTGCAGCAGAATTGAGAGAAAACATAGGGAGCTCAGAAATTCTAGCATTTGCAAGATTAAAAATTTAGGCTTTTTTCAGCCAATAATTAATATATTGAGGAGTATCTTGAGCTAGAAAAGCTTTTTAAGAATTAAAACTTAGCATCAGGGCACCGTGAATTCGAGTGCAGACCCCAGGCCCCACCTCAGGGCTCAGGATGACACCCCCTGATGGCCGCCTGTTCACATCCGAGGCAACTAAGAACAGAGGAGGCGACTCTCAGAGCCCCGGCATCTGGGATGTGGGCACCCTTGGCAGCCTCAGGGATTTCTGCCACCGTGGGCCTTATCTCAGTGTTTTCAGTAGTTGGAACAGCCCCATAGCAGCCGCTGAGTCTGCCATCCTGTTATGAAGGAAATACGCTGAGGGAAAGGGGGTATGAGGCTGGCGCAGACAATAAACAGAGGTGTGCCAACCGGGAAACACAACACACAGGGAGGCTGCAGTCATCACCCGCAGACACCAACATCCCTGCCCTGAACTAACCTTCCCCGCGTCTCGATTCTCTGCCAACAGCGTTTTTACTTCAAACCAGCAGAGCCAGGTCACCCGCATCAGGAAGGGCAGAAGGTCATCCAGCCTGGACCTGGGGCCCTTCACCCCCACTCCTGTGAGGAGGCCTTCTGTGGCCTCAGCCCCCAGGGCCCTGCCAAGAACCTGCCATCCTGGACATTTGCTCAGCCTGCCTGGGAAACAGAGCTCATCCTGCGTGGCCAGCAACAGAGAAGCTGGGATTTGGAGCTAGATCAGGTCTAAATCTTGGCTCTGCCACTTCCTGTGTGGCCCTGGACTTCCCTGAGTCTCGATATACATGTATGTGAACCCGAAACACAACCACTGCAATCTTGAGGTGTTGTGGAGTGGTTGAGAGGTGTGCACATTCTCTAAAAGACCACTTGAGCAATAGCTGGTTCTTTGAAAGTCTTGCTGGGACAACAGAGGAAGAGCAGGGGAAGGAGGGGGCTGACGACGAGGACGATGACAGGATTATAAGGAACCAAGACCGCTGCCGGCAAACCCCCTGCTCCATAAATGTGCAAGGCAGCACGGGTAGGAAGCGTCACACACAACCCCGGCCAGAGCCAGGCGACACGCCGAGAAACCCTAACACGACAGTGGCATTGTCGGAAACTGATTTACTTTGTTCAAAAAAAATGCGATAATCTTGGAAAACTAGCAAAATCCCAAGTGTGACTTGAAGACAAAGCACAGGCACTCCAGGGATCAAACCAAGAAGAAACACGGTGAGGGGTTTACATTCTGGAATGCATTGGAAGCAGCCCAGTTTCATCACCTCCGATGGCCAACGGCGGCACAGATGGTCTGCGTGAAGAAACACGAGCCCTGCTGTCTCGGGCGTCGGTGCCTTTGTGGCAGCACTGGCATCTCTCTTTCCTCAAAGTTTAAATTCTGTTTTGATGTCAGCAACACGTCAACACTCATATTCTAGGGAGCAAATTTCTCCTTCTGCTCCTTATGGCTAATGCAAAAGTAAACGCCAATTTACTTTTGTCTAAATTATTGAAAATTCAAGTGGAATCACATAGGATTCAGATAAATAGGATTTTCCTGTTTTTGCTGTCGTCTTCTTAAAATGGCACATAAGCTTCCCTCCCCCTCCACTCACCCCGTGACTTCCTTCTGGTCCACACCCTCCCTCAGGGCCCAGCATCTTCTCAGAGGGTGTAGAAACTCGAACTTTCACAAAACACAGAGGCCAGCCCGGCCCTGTCCTGAGCCGGTCTCATTATTTCCTGTCTGCGGACAGGCCCAGACCTCAAGGAGACTACACACTGTGAGACTGTCTTTGCCACAGGCTACCCTGGCCCAAGGTGGAGGAGCAAAGCCACCCCACAGGCCTCCCAGACATACCCCAACCGCAGCTGGAGGTGAGCGTCTCTCTGCCTGGACCTGCTGTGCTCATCAAATCGACGGCAGCCTGCACGGACCACAGGGGCTTGTGAGTTCCTGACGCTGCCCCGCCAGTTACTTTAGCCAGGGCGTTTGCCCTCCTGTGGAAGTTCAATGTCTTCATGTAAAACAAAGGCAATTGATACCTCCAGGGCCCTGGCACTCCAGCTGTCTGTCTCTGGTGACTGGACCTTCTCTGGATAGCTGCACAGGACCTGGTTCTCCGGGCCATCTGGGACCCTCTGTGCTAGGCCCTAACTTCCAGAAGGCTCAGTCACACTTATTCCCCTTCTCACACACGAGCAGTGAGTCTGTGTGCACGTGGGAGAGCTCCGCTGGGTCCTGGTGCTAAGCTCTCTGGTGGGTGCTGCAAGGTTGTCCGAGCTCTCCAGGTCGCCCCTCCAAGGTGGCTGACAAACATAAGTTCTGTCCCAACCATGGCTCCTGAGTGCCTGTTGTCTACCCCTCACCCATCCCAGCAAACAGCAGCCACTCAGCAAGCCCTTCCTGGAGGGATCCACATCCTGAAATGGCCCCCCAGTGTGGGAAAAGCCCAGAGCGCCACGCTGACACCCGGAGCCCAGGGCCGACAGTGGCAGCTTCTGCTGGGGGTCATGTGGGTCAGGGCACTGCTCCCCACCCTCAGGTGATGCCCGAATGCCCTCCAGGAATGACACAGAGGTGGCATCTGGGTGGTGGACATACACCCCCAGGTGTGGAATACAGGCCCATCCCCGCTGTACCCCCCGGGTGTGGAAAGCCAGGCCCATCCCCCCTGCACCCCCCCAGGCGTGGAAAGCCAGGCCCATCCCCCCTGCACCCCCCAGGCGTGGAAAGCCAGGCCCATCCCCCCTGCACCCCCCAGGCGTGGAAAGCCAGGCCCATCCCCCCTGCACCCCCCAGGCGTGGAAAGCCAGGCCCATCCCCCCTGCACCCCCCAGGCGTGGAAAGCCAGGCCCATCCCCCCTGCACCCCCCAGGCGTGGAAAGCCAGGCCCATCCCCCCTGCACCCCCCAGGCGTGGAAAGCCAGGCCCATCCCCCCTGCACCCCCCAGGCGTGGAAAGCCAGGCCCATCCCCCCTGCACCCCCCAGGCGTGGAAAGCCAGGCCCATCCCCCCTGCACCCCCCAGGCGTGGAAAGCCAGGCCCATCCCCCCTGCACCCCCCAGGCGTGGAAAGCCAGGCCCATCCCCCCTGCATCCCCCAGGCGTGGAAAGCCAGGCCCATCCCCCCTGCACCCCCCAGGCATGGAAAGCCAGGCCTGTTCCCCACCACCAGTGCTCACTCAGGAACTGCACACATGAGGATACCCAGCTGCCAGCTGAATCCCTCAGACAGGCCACTCAGGGAGCATCTGCTTGTCTTCAGGGATCTGCAGAGTGAGCATCTGACCCCTCCCTCCAAGAAGGGCAAAGGGTTTCTCTCTGCATGTTGGGGTGATCGAGGAAGGTAAGCTCATCAAGGAGTGAGCAGACCCGCTGGGCCAGGATGTTTGGGGCCCTGGGTGGGTGGCATCTGGTCTTTGAGGGGGAGGCTGCACATGGCTTACCAGAGCTGAACCCTTGTCATCATGGCTGGAGAGTCTCAATCAAACCCAGTGTCTCAGTGTGGCTCAGGGGAGTGAAGATGCCCTAGTGGAGGTCACCATGACCTACAACCATCAGACAAGACCAGGGGCCTCCCCAGGTTTCAGGGTTTGCAGAGCTTTTCCAACACACAAATGTCTGTAGCTGGAGGCCCCACAGACACCTCGAACTCAAGAGGGCACAAAATTGAGCCCATCGCTGACCCCTCCAATCGGCCCCCTCCAGTGACGTGAATGTCAGCCGTCGAGGACTCTTCCGGATCTCCTTCTCCCCGCCTCACACCAACCAACCCCAAGCCAGTCCCACCCCCCAAGTCCTGATTGAACGGGCTGTTTCCCCCTGGCCCAGCTCTGGCAAAGCCGCCTCTCACGGCGACCAGCTCATTCCTCTGTTCAGAGCTCTATGGTGGTCCTGGGCTCAGGGAGGCCAGACTTGTCGAGAACCCCTATTTTAATTGCCCCCAAATTTCCTCTCTAAATACCAGCTCTGGCCCCTCTGCACATCACCCGTAAGTCCCAGCCTCACAGAAACAAGAGGAGTCAAGGTTCTGGGTCCACGCAGTGTACTCACGGTGGCGGAGTGCGGGCGACCGATGCCCAGGGTTTTGAAAAATGTGCTTTGTGTGTTTTCTCTGTTGTTGTTCTTTCAGAGGGGAGTGTAAATCTACTTCTGATCCCTGTCTGGGGCAGAGGCTGTGGCTCTCGGGTGCATGAACTTCAGCTTGGCCGAGTCCTAGCCGCCAGGTGCTGCCATCCCTGCTGCCCTCACTGCCTCCAGCAGGGTCACACCAGGCAGCGCACACCTGTCTGGCAGGTATGATGGATCTGTCTGCTGCTTTAAATTCCTCTGAAAATTGCCTATTAATATCATCTGTCCATTCATCCACCGGAGTTCCTGTCTTTTTCTTATGAATTGGGGGAATTTATTGTATGTTCCTAATTAATCCCTAATTGGGTTTAGAAGTCGTGCATATCTCATCCCGACCTGTCTTGGTTACTTTTGTGGCAACATTTTTATATCATCCATGACTAAGGGGGCACCACTGAAATGAAGTGGGTGCCACCGCTGAGCTCCCCGTGCAGAGGAAGAAACTAAGGCTCAGAGATGCTGAGCGCTTGCTGCAGGTCCCCTGGCCAGTCGGGGAAGGAGGTGGGATTCACACCAGGCCCTGTGCTCTGACTTTGCCAGTCCCTGCTCTACAAGACTCAATGCCAACACCCAACGGTGAGTCCCGTGAACCCCAGGTGGCCTTCACCCCAGCTCTGTGAGGTGCCCAGAGGGAATAATCGATGGTTGTTGAATCCAAGTTTTTGCATTGTGGAAGAGGTTTTGTTTTCACTGAAATACCCAAAAGGTCAAATGCGGCAAAATCACTTAAAACTGGTCTCTTCCACGAGTAGCTCTTGCGGGAGAAAGGGAAGCTTCTGGATAAACTCAAGCCGCAGGGACTCCTGAGCCAGCTGGAAAGGCAGGCTGTGAGGAGGACATGGGGCCTGTGCAACCTGCATCCGTGCGTCAGGGCCTCACAGCCAAAACCAGCTTCTGTGTCCTGTTTTCTCCAAAGGTTGGCTCTTGAAAGCAGGGTCACCTCCTGAAAAGCCAGTGTTTTCCACCATGCCAACAAAATGAAATAAAGAGTCTGGCACTGGGGCGGGAGTCACAGGCCACCAGCCGGGGGGGCTGAGGATGTGGCCCGTGTGTTGTCAGGGAAGGCAGGCGCCAAGCACCTGGCACCAGTAGCGCCTTTGTTGGGCGCCTGGGAGATTGTTGTTTAAAACGTTTAAAATAATAATAAAAAGCGAAAGTCCTTCCAAGAGGGAGGAGAAGAAAGCTGCGCCAAGAGGAAGGTGGGAGAACATCAAGCTCATCCATCCTTATCCGTGTAAATAAAAAGAAATGTGAAGTGGTCTTTAAGCGACAGAGGAAACTGAGAATAAAAGCACTTCAGAGCTGCCTCACTGTTAGCCTTTCTCCCAGTAAAGCACCTTTCACAGAAAACAAACGGTTTGTCATCAGCTCAGGGAACAGACGGACTGGGCCGCAGCGGCCTCCTCGCAGCTCCCTCGCCTGAGGCCCTCGCAGCTCCCCTGCAGCCAGCACTGAGCCTGCGTCCCTTGAGGGCTGCCACTCTCGCTCCGTGGCCTTCTCTCTCCAGCCCTCAGCCAGGAGAGGCGGCACAGGGAGAGGAGGCAGAAGCCGGAGTTCCTGGCTCTGTCCTTGCTGTCTTTGGCTGCACACAGGTTGCTGATGGTCCTAACACACTTGCCCAACCTGCTCCGTGGAACCCTGAGGCCTGGGGGCCCCCCGGCTGTGACTGCTGTGGGGGGTGACCCGCCACGGGCATCCGTCCTGAGCCCCATGCTGCCCGGCCAGGACCTCCTGCACGGGCTCCGTTTCCCTGAGGCAGGAGCCCTCCTCTCCTCCCTGTTGGCCTCTCCTCACTCCTGGGCCTGGGCACGGAACACAGATTCTGGATCGTCACAGAGAGAAACCGATCTGGAAAGCACCAACTCAAATAGAATCACAGCAGCACGGATGCAGTGTGCCAGGCGCCGTTTTAAACCCTTTGAATGTATCCACTCATGTCATCCCCACCAAAGCTCTGTGAGGCACGGCCAGGTTCAGGGGCTGGCCCAAGGCCTGCAACCCCAGTCAGTCCCCGGGATCTGTGGCCGGAGTCGCAAAGCTGCAGCGTGTCTGGGCCCAGGTGTGGCCAGTCCTGCCACATAGGCCTGTGGGTTGGCTCCGAGTTTGTCCTCAAGTGGGTAATAAATAGCACCGTGGCCTGAAGGTCCCGAGAGGCACGTCTGGGGCAGGGGGCGAGGGACACAAGGACACCTCTTGGTCAGGTGGCCCAGGGGCACTCAGCACTTGCTCCTCCCTTGTGGCCGGCAGCAGGTGCAGATTTGACCATATGCTCCTCACAGCAGCGTCAGGTGCTGGCCAGGCCAGGGGGGCCGGGACCCGGGGGCCCAGGTCCATGGGGATGAGCCATCTCTGCCTGGTGAGGCTCCCCCAGTGATTCAGGGCCATGCTTTCGGAGGGGCCAGAGGACAGCCCGGTGCTCTGAGCAGCTGCCGCCGAGACAGGACTAACCTCTCGAGGATTTCATCAGGGAGATGCCTGTTAGTGGAATGAGCAGGAGCCGGGCCGGCAGGAAGGACAGAGCCGAGGGCCTCCCCTGGACTCCTAGGTCTTGGCCTTGCGATCAGTCTTGGCTCTGTCCCCACAGAGGAGCTGAGGCTAAAAGGCTGCCAGCTGCCCCAAAAGTGCATCCCGGCACACAAGCGGCAAGGAGGGTTGAAGCCAGAGACCTGCAGAGAAAGTGTCCCCGGGCGGCACAGCCCCTCTGTGGAGCCGTGGGCTGCAGGTTACACAGCCCGGCTCTTGTGTGTGCCACGTACCCCAGAGACGGCTTGAAACTGGCTGTGCCACCAGCTTGAAGCCACTCGCTGGCTTATGGGGCCTCACCCAGGCCTTGCCCCAGGAGGAAGAGGTGGGAGAACGGAAGGTGCCTTAGCTAGGGCTTCTCTAGCAAAACACCAAGACGATTTAATAACAACACACATTTATTTCTCACAGTTCTGGAGTTTGGAAGCTGCAGACGGTACCAGCTGAGTTGGGTTCTGGTGAGGGCCCTCTTCCTGGCTTGCAGACAGCCACCTTCTCACTGTGTCATGTGGAGGAAGAGAGGGGCATCCCTTAGGCCTCTTCTGTAAGGGCAGTAACCCCGTTCATGAGCCTCCGCCCTCATGACCCCATCACCTCCTAAAGGCTGCACCCCCAAATGCCATCACCTTGAGGGTTGATTTCAACACATGAATTTGGGGGGACACAGGCATTCAGTCCATTGCTTTCCCAGAAAACAAGCTGCAGGGGGACCTGCTGGGCGCCAGGTGGTCCTCGACACCAGCCCGGCTCCAGCAGGCTCTGCAGGCTGCGGAACAGAAGCCCACGTCCCAGGCTCCCCTGTAGGCAGGTAGCGTTGGGCCTCCCTGCTCCGTGTCCACTGTCCATGCCTGCAGCCAATTCCTAATGCCCGGGGCTCAGCTGAGGCACATCTTCCTGAGTCAGTACCCCCAGAGCTGGCTTCCAATGCCCCACCCGTGTAGGCCAATTCTGCATTGTCTCTGGGAGGGGTCTTTACCACTTCCCTCCTGCATCCAAGCCCACCTCACCTGGGAGGGGCCTGCTCCTGTGCGGGACATTGATGGATGCAAAAAAAGAAAATGGTTTTGGGGGTCTGAGGGGCTGAGGAAGCCCACCAAGCTGCTGGACACGGCACCCGAGCACCTGCTGGGCGATGTCGGAATTCTCTCTACACAACATGGACCTGACATCACCCTCTCTGCAGCTCCTGCAGCCAAAGCACAGACATGCACACCAGCCTGCTTGTGCCAGGGAACCTCGTCGGCATGGGGAGGCTGCACCCTGGAGGGGCAGGCTGGGGAAAGGGCATGGAAGGTGGGCAGAGATCGGGCCTGAAGACCCCGTTTTCCCGGACATCCCAATCTCCAGTGTCCTTGGATGTCCCCACCTCTCAGAAACTTGATTTCTGAAGATGAACTCACAGAACTCTTTTGGGCTGAAAGAAACAATGCTAGAAAACGCGTTTGTAAAATCTGCCCTGCCTGTTGCTTATGGCAGAAGGGGTAACCCTTCTTCATGTCCCATTCAGGAGCCCCACCCTGGTGCCCCAGCCTCCGCTGCTGCTGCTGCTGTTGGTAACCGTGCACAGACCTAAATGGGCTCGGGAAACCTGTCCCCATTCATCTCACACATTTCTGACTTGGACCAAACCCAAATTTCATTTGGTCAATGCCCTTCTCACCTCCTCCAGCCCCGTGTCAAGAAATGAAGCCTGACTGTTTCTGAATCATTTGCGCTTAAATCCCCCAAAAGAAGAGCGCTAAGTGGTTTCATCCCCAGAGAGACCTTGCCCAGCCTTTTCTCTGAGTGACAGGACATTCCCATCTGCTAAGATATATTAAACCCCAGCTTCTAGAAAGGCTGGAGTAGGATCTGAGGTGTTCCAAAGGCCTGAGCTTCCAACATGGTCTGAGCATCCGGAATCTATGGTGCTCCCTCAAGGGGAGGCTGGGTGAGCTTGGACAGGGCCACACACTAGGCCCCAGGGGAAAACCGCTCCCCCCCATGGTAGAGAGCTATGTGAAACCCTCCCTCTATCTCTCGGTGGTCAAGTGTATGTGAACTTGTCCTCTTCCAAAACTTCATTTGTCAATTCATAAACATGCCCTGAACTGAGACACAAACATGCCCTGAGCTTGGGCAGCGCCGGAGACACTCAGCACTCGGGAGGTTACGATCTCTGACCTGAGTGCTGGCTCTCACGGAGGGTCAGGCATCACAGTGGGCACTGAGACTGGACAGCCACAAGGAATTCTGGGCAAACAAGAGCCCCCCAGCTAACCCCTCTGGACTCCAGGCAAGCAGGATGACATCACAGCTGAAACCCAAGACCCAGAGGGGAGAGAGCTGGGGTGGGGGCAGGACCAGCGGTCTCAGACCCAGGGAGGACTGTGTGCAGCTCAGCACGCTCCGAACATGGGGATGGGGGACAAGGGGTCCCCTCCTGTCTGAGATGGGCTACCTGAGGGTGACTGTGAGGAAGGGTCCAGGTCCAGCACCGTTTCAGCCCCTCAGGTCCCACGGAAGCCCAGTGTTCTGGCACCAGGAGACTCCGAGCACAACCTGGGGCTCAGTTCTATCACTCGCGGCCCAGCCTGCTCCACACCACTACCCCTCTGAAAAATCTGTTCTGTCTTCATTTCACTCAGCGTCTGCATGCTGTGTCACCACATTTGGAATTATGCAAACTATTGTTATAAATAAATCACAGGCATCAAAAAGGGACCAAGCAGAAAATGAGCCAAACTCTGGAGCCTGCCGAGTCGCTCGTGTGCCCTGCGGTGCTGACACGGATCCCACCTAGACCTGTCTGTGCTCTCAGGCCCTGGTGCACGTTGCCCTCTGGGCAGGGGCATGGGAGGAGCAGCTGGACTCAGCCTCCAGAGCAAGGAGGGGCGAGAAGGAGAAAGGGGCCTCCTTTCAGAAATCTCTCCTCTTACCAGATGCTATTTCACCACTAGAGATTCATTCCTTTGGCTTAGATTGTGTCTCTGCATCTTCTATTAAATGCAGGCATCTGGCTGAGGAGGGCGCCAGCCTCTCTGTGGGCTTTGTTTGGGTGCCACGCCGTGGGCAGGGAAGCCAAGTG
This sequence comes from Homo sapiens, assembly GCF_000001405.40. Lineage (NCBI taxonomy): Eukaryota > Metazoa > Chordata > Mammalia > Primates > Hominidae > Homo > Homo sapiens. Next base: position 83,174,920 of record NC_000017.11, on the reverse strand, counting down.
CAGAGACAGAAGTGGCCCAGGGGGTGGGAGGATGCCCAGTGGTCAGTGTGACCAGGGTGAGCACCAGCGACATCTCTGAGGCCAACAGAGACACCCCCGCCAGGTAGGAGAGAGGCACGAACAGAGAGGCAGGCAGAGCTGAGGCAACCCGTGCAGCCAGTCCTCTGGCCTTCATCGAAACCGGCGAGGCCACAGAGGCTCCCCAGGGACCCACGTTTGGCTGAAGGATGTTGCAGGCCCTGGGCCTGGCTGCAGAGGCATGCAGCTGCATCTTTCAGCACCCTGGGCTCATCTACAGAGTCAACAGGGAGGGATTAGGGAGGGGGCTGTTTGCAGAGGGTTTAGGGTTTCAAGTAAAGTAAACCCATGTGTGCACTGTTATGTAACCTGCTCAGCCAGCCTGCAATGCCTTCCCACACCATCCACTGGACAGTGGGGGCAGACAGACCTGGGCACCATCCCCCAGTCATCAAGACGGTAGGTGCTTGGCCCCTGATGCCTCATGAGCTGTGTTGCAGGCTGGGTCCTTCTCCAGCCTTGGTGCAAGAATATGGAGGCTGCTCGTGTTCACCGGCATTGGGTAAATACTGTACACGAGCAAAGGCCGGTGGTGTGCTGGGAGGGAGCTGTTCTCACCTATGGAACTCGCCTTTCAACACATGGAAGCCACAGTGCAGGAGTGAGGCGCAGCCAATGCCACGGAGGCAAAGCATGAGACAGGCCCCAGCTCGCAAGCCCACCTTCCTCTAGGCTGAGTGAGGCCTGTGGGCACTCGCACACACATTAAAGGAGGGCACCGAATCCCGGCCTGGGACTGGCCTCACTGTCGGGGTCTTGATGCCACACTCTGCTCAGGGGTCAGGGGAATACTGTCCAGTTGAACCTCAAGGGCCGCCTCGTCGGGGCCTCCAGGGGCCAAAAGTGAGGGTCCTCAAGCCCCCCACAGCAGCCTGACCCCCACGGGGCCTGCACAGGCTCTGGAGCCAGGGAGGGTTCACCGACGGCTGCCTAGGCCATCTGCCTCAGCCCGCTTGGGACAGAGCCTGGCATGGGGACACAGGTCAGATGAACAAAGGTCCTGTGGGCCTGCAGCCCTTGCTCCTGAGCACCGTGCCAGCCCTCCCCTCGGGAAGGGGATCACCTTTCTCTGGGCAGGACCCTGCCCCACCACCACTCAGGCTCAGATGCTGAGGTTGGCTTCTCCTGCCTCAGCACTGACAACTTTTCCTTCTTCATCTGATCCTTCACCAAGTATTTACTGAGTCCTTCACCAGACGTGGCAGCACTCTAGGTACTGGGCAGAGCGGGGAAGAGGCCAACACTGCTCACCCAGCCCTCCTCGCTGCACCCCGACCCCACTGCTGACCCAGCCCTCCTCGCTGCACCCCGACCCCACTGCTCGCCCAGCCCTCCTCACCACACTGCTGACCCCACTGCTGACCCAGCCCTCCTCGCCGCACCCCGACCCCACTGCTCACCCAGCCCTCCTCGCCGCACCCCTCACCCCACTGCTGACCCAGCCCTCCTCACCACACCCCTCACCCCACTGCTCACCCAGCCCTCCTCGCCACACTGCTGACCCCACTGCTGACCCAGCCCTCCTCGCCGCACCCCTGACCCCACTGCTGACCCAGCCCTCCTCGCCGCACTGCTGACCCCACTGCTGACCCAGCCCTCCTCGCCGCACCCCTCACCCCACTGCTGACCCAGCCCTCCTCGCCGCACCCCTCACCCCACTGCTCACCCAGCCCTCCTCGCCGCACTGCTGACCCCACTGCTCACCCAGCCCTCCTCGCCGCACCCGACCCCACTGCTCACCCAGCCCTCCTCGCCGCACCCCTTCACCCCACTGCTCACCCAGCCCTCCTCGCCACACTGCTGACCACACTGCTCACCCAGCCCTCCTCGCCGCACCCCTCACCCCACTGCTCACCCAGCCCTCCTCGCCGCACTGCTGACCCCACTGCTCACCCAGCCCTCCTCGCCGCACCCCTCACCCCAGTGCTCACCCAGCCCTCCTCGCCGCACCCGACCCCACTGCTCACCCAGCCCTCCTCGCCGCACCCCTCACCCCACTGCTGACCCAGCCCTCCTCGCCGCACCCCTCACCCCACTGCTCACCCAGCCCTCCTCGCCGCACTGCTGACCCCACTGCTGACCCAGCCCTCCTCGCCGCACCCGACCCCACTGCTCACCCAGCCCTCCTCGCCACACTGCTGACCCCACTGCTCACCCAGCCCTCCTCGCCACACTGCTGACCCCACTGCTCACCCAGCCCTCCTCGCCGCACTGCTGACCCCACTGCTCACCCAGCCCTCCTCACCACACTGCTGACCCCACTGCTGACCCAGCCCTCCTCGCCGCACCCGACCCCACTGCTCACCCAGCCCTCCTCGCCGCACCCCTCACCCCACTGCTCACCCAGCCCTCCTCGCCGCACCCCTCACCCCACTGCTCACCCAGCCCTCCTCGCCACACTGCTGACCCCACTGCTCACCCAGCCCTCCTCGCCGCACTGCTGACCCCACTGCTCACCCAGCCCTCCTCGCTGCACCCCTGACCCCCACACGGGGCACAGCCAGGTGGTGTGTTGGGGCCCGTCCCACCCCACCTAGGAGGCAGTGGTTTGGGACACATGTGCTGCCACTGCCCCCAGCATCCCCTCCTGCTCCCACTCCCACCCTGCTCTGCCTGCCCTTGGCCTGGGCTTCTCTAGACCTTTGCATCCCCAGACTGGCCCCCCATCCAACTCCAGGCTAGTCTGTCTCTGGACACCATTGGGTGCATCACTTTAGAATATGCGGTGGGCCCTAAACTAGGCTACAAGTAGGTACCAAAAATAAACAATGTACTTAATTAAAAAGAGGGGTGCAAATGAGGAGCTGGTCCCCAGGGACCGCCCTGCTTCTCCATGCCGGCTCCAACGTAAGGAACGCACCAAAAGCTCCCACCGCACACAAGGGAGGAGCCGTGTCTGCCAAGTCCACGCTCTGGCAAGGCCTGGTCTCACCATGGTCACATCCTGGCCACTGCCCACACCAAGTCCCAGGCGAGGCCCCGGCCCACACCGAGTCCCAGGCGAGGCCCCGGGCCACACCGAGTCACAGGCGAGGCCCCGCCCACACCGAGTCACAGGCGAGGCCCCGGCCGTGAGCTCCATCTGGACAAGCCAGGCTGCCCGGGCCGCCTCCAAGCACAGAGACTCTGTTCCTTGGGAGTCCAAAAATCTTTAGGCTGTGGAATTAGTTTAAAAAGATTTCAGATTGATGGGGCTACAGGAGCTTGGGAAAAGCAAATACAGTCTGTGAAGGGATGCACATTCATCTCAAACTCAAAGAATTTCCCCCAATAATTGTATAAGCAACATGAGCAGCTCACAGTGAAAAATAACTACATATACAAAGACACAAGGCACCATGAGTTAGAACTGGCAGAAAAAATAGTAAGCAAAAATCCACAAAGACTTAAAAAATGGAATTATCAGACACATATTATTTTTAGTTATCATTATGTTTAAAGAAGTAAAAGATCAACTTGAAAATACCTGCAAGTAACAGAAAACTATGAAAATGACAGATAGATTTGTTAAACAGCCAATTAAGATTTTTAGAAATCAAAAATCTAATGCACAAAATTAAAAATACATGTAGAACTTAGAAGTTGTCACTCTGTCCTAACAAGTAAACAGCTGAAAAAAATTGAAAAATCAACTCTTCTTAAATCTTTCAGAGAAATTAGGTCACAGGACAAACTGCTGCCCCCCGGCAAATTGAAGAGAAACACTGACAGATACAGAGAATCACAGCTTCCCAAGAGCAGAAACCTCCACTGGAACCAGTGCCGGCATAAGAAAACCTGGATGAAGTTGATGAATTGCGGTTCAGTGTGGACAACTTTGAGAGTTAAAAACTCGAGGGGACCCAGTTATGGGAAACACGCCTTTGTGGATTTTATCTCCAGGAGCCCTACCAGGTCCTCACAGTGAATATCAGAGAGAAATCCCCTCATGCTCTCAGCCGGGGGAGGGGGAAAGGAGTCATTTTAAAGTCTGCCAGAGCCTTCTGTTCTTAACAAGGCTGCCCCCAACAGAAACTATTCAATCAGCCTTGCCTGTTGAGGTTTTATCAGAGCCCAGACCACCTGGGAGAAGGGAAATACCGAACCCCAGGCCCTTCTAGTCATCCTGTCCAACCTTTAAGGGGGATAGAAACTGAAAAGCATTAGTGAAGTTCACAGTCCAGGACACAGGTTCAAAAGGCTGAGACCTGTTCAGAGAACTAGAGAATGCCTCTCCTGGCCCCATGTTGGACCAACACATTTCTTTTTTTTTTTTTTAGACGGAGTCTCGCTCTGTCACCCAGGCTGGAGAGTGCAGTGGCGCAATCTCGGCTCACTGCAGGCTCCGCCTCCCGGGTTCACGCCATTCTCCTACCTCAGCCTCCCAATTATCTGGGACTACAGGCGCCTGCCACCGCGCCCGGCTAATTTTTTGTATTTTTAGTAGAGACGGGGTTTCACCATGTTAGCCAGGATGGTCTCGATCTCTTGACCTCATGATCCACCCACCTGGGCCTCCCAAAGTGCTGGGATTACAGGCGTGAGCCACCACACCCAGCTTGGATCACTACATTTCTAAAGGGCCATTTACTGCAGTTTCTTTTGCCCAGTACATTATGTCTGCCTTTCAACAAAAAATTACAAGGCATACTAAAAGACAAAAGACATAGCTTGAAAAGACGGAATAGCATCAGAACCAGAGTCAGATATGGCAGGAATGTTGAAATTATCAGATCAGGAATGACAAGAACAGATGGGTAATGTAAGCAGAGATGTGGAAAATTCTGAGAAAGAATAAAGAAGAAATGCTAGAGATCAAAACCACTAGAACAGATATGAAGGATGCCTTTGATGGGTTCGTTAGCTGACTAGACATACATGGCTGTGGAAATGATTCTTAGCTTAAGGATATGACAATAGAAACTTCCCAAACCGAAAAGCAAGGAGAAAAAGGAAAAAAAAAAAACAGAATATTCAATAACTCTGGGACAACTACAAAAGGTGTAGCATATGTGTGATGGGAATACAAGAAGGAGAAGAAAGAAATTTGAAGCAATAATGACCAAGAATTTTTCCAAATTAATGTCAGACACCAAACCATAAATCCAGAAAGCTTTGAGAAGATTAAGCAGAATAAATGCCAAAAAAAAAAACTCCAAACAACCAAAAACACCACCTAGGTGTACCACATTCAAACTTTAGAGTCAAAGATAAAGTCTTGAAAAAAAGACAGAGGGAAACAATCACCTTACCTGTGGAGGAGCACGGATAAGAATCACATCTGACTTCTCCTCAGAAATTGTGTAAGCAGCTGGGCATGGTGACTCATGCCTACAATCCCAACACTTTGGGAAGCTGAGGCAAGTGGGATGCTTAAGCCCAGGAGTTCAATATCAGCCAGGGTAACATGACAGGACTCTATCTCTACAAAAAACACAAAAATTAGCCAGGTGTGGTGGTGAGCACTTGTAGTCCCAGCTACTTGGGAGGCTGAGGTGGGAGGATCACCTGAGCCCAGGGAGGTCTAGGCTGTGATGAGCTGTGGGTGCACCACTGCACTCCAGCCTGTGCAACAGGCTTTCAAAAAGAAAGAAAAAGAAAAGAGAGAGAGAGAGAGGGAGAGAGGGAGGGAGGGAGGGAGGGAAGGGAAGGGAAAGAAAGGAAGGAAGGAAGGAAGGAAGGAAGGAAGGAAGGAAGGAAGGAAGGAAGGCAGGCAGGCAGGCAGGCAGGCAGGCAGGCAGGCAGGCAGGCAGGCTGTATAAGCAAGAAGAGAGTGGAGTGAAATATTTAAAGTGCTGAGAGAAAAAAACACCAAACTAGAATTCAGTACCCTGCGAAATTATCCTTTAAAAGTGAAGGAAAAATAAAGTCTCAAACAAATAAAAATTGAGGGAATTTTTTGCCAATAGACTTCCTTACAACAAATATTAGAAGAAATTATTTAAGGAGAAGGAAAATAATGTAGGTCAGAAACTTGAAGCTACATAAAGTAAGGGAGAGCACTGGAACATGAATAAATGAAGTAAAATAAAAACTTTGTCTTTTTTTTAATTTAGCAAACAGAAAACAGTGCAAAATAATAGCGACAATGAACTGAATTATGTGTGCATCTATATGCTCACATATAAATGAAGTGAATGACAGTCATGATACAGGAAGAAAGGGTTAAGAATTAGAAATATTTTGTTATTATAAGATATTTGCACCACCCATGAAACTGTATAGTGTTATTTGAAAGTAGACTTACAGATTATTGTATAATGTATATTGCAAACTCAAGGGAAACCACACAAAAAAATTTTTAAAGAAGTACAGTTGATATGCTCAGAATGGAGAGAAAATGAAAGAATACAAAATGTTCAACTAAAACCATAAAAGGTAGAAAACGTGTGACAAAATTAGAAACAAAGATCAAGGGCAACAAATAGAAAGCAGTAAACAATATAGCAGCTATTAACCCAATTATGTTAATAATCCCTGAAATGTCAATGGTGTAAATACATCAATCAAAAGACAGATTGTCAGAGTAGATAGAAAACAATACCCAACTATATGTCATCTACAAGAAACCCACTTTCATAGAAGGACACGGATAGATTAAAAGTATAGTAAGTCTTCACTAAACGTCAGTGGTAGGTTCTTGGAAACTGTGGCTTTTTGAGTAAAGTGATGTATAACAAAACCACTTTTCCTATAGGCTAATTGATAAACACAAGAGTTAAGTTTTTTGTGACATATTTCTGGTCACAACAATATCACCAAACTTCTAAATATAGGCTCAAAATACTTATAATATTAAACATTGAAATAAATGTAAGATATACATACATTTAAGAAAGATTAAAACAAGTAAGATAATTATTTACTCAATTTTGAGGAATCATCAATGACAGTGGTCATAGTGGTGGTGGGTTAAATCAAGGAATAAATGCTTGTAAACTGAAAATTCTGAGGAGCACCTCCTACCACCACTCAATTCAAAAACAAACAGTAGCAAACATGGCAGGCTTGATGAGCACTTTTGTACCACATTATTTGTGGTCATGTATTTTTATGATTGTCATATAGTTTATGAATTGTTATTTTAAAATACTTTACTAATAATTCATTTATTTTTCAATCCACTTACTCCAGCTCAGGGTTGCAGGTGGCTGGAGCCTATCCCGGCAGCTTAGGGTGCAAGGTGGGAACCAATCCTGGACAGGACTCTTTTCCATTGCAGGGCACATTTCACACACACCCACACTCACAGTGAGACCATGGAGACACACCAGCTCTCCTAGTGTGCACATCTTTGGGGTGTGGGAAGAACTGGAATACCTAGAGAAAACCCACACAGACATGGGGAGAATGCACAAAACTTATTATCATTATAACAAAATAAAATGATGTTGAACAAAATGATGTTATTTGAAGATCTGCTGTAAATGGATGGAGAAAGATATACCATGCTAACACTAATCAAAGAAAGTGGGAGTGGCTATATTAATTTCAGACAGAGCAGACTTCAGAGCAAAGAAAGCTATCAGAGACAAAGGGAAGTATTACAGGTGATAAAGGAATCAGCACTCCAAGAAGATGTAACAATCCTTAATGTGTATGTGCCTAACAACAGAGTGCCAAATATATACGAGGTAAAAACATCACAGCACTGCAATGAGAAATAGATGAATCCAGTATTAGAGCTGGAGACTTCCACAGCCCTCTATCAGAAATGAACAGATCCAGCAGGTAGAAAATCAATAAGGACACAGATGAACTCAACAACACCATCAATCAACTGGACATAATTGACATCTAAATACTACACCCAACAACAGCAGATTGAGAATTCTTCTCAAGCTTGCATTGAATATTTACCAAGAGAGACCACATTCTGGGCCAGGAAACACATTTTAACAGATTTATAAATCAGAAATCACACAACGTTTGCTTTCCAACCACAACAGATTAAACTCAAAATCAATAACAGAAAGATAGCTGGAAAATTCCCAAATACTTGAAGATTAAACAAAACACTTTAAAAAGTACATGGGTTAAAGAAGAAATTTCAGCTGGGCATGATGGCTCACGCCTGTAATCCCAGCACTTTGGGAGGCCGAGGCGGGCGGATCATGAGGTCAGGAGATCGAGACCATCCTGGCTAACACGGTGAAATCCTGTCTCTACTAAAAATACAAAAAATTAGCCAGGTGCGGTGGTGGGCGCCTGTAGCCCCAGCTACTCAGGAGGTTGAGGCAGGAGAATGGTGTGAACCTGGGAGGCGGAGTTTGCAGTGAGCTGAGATTGTGCCACTGCACTCCAGCCTGGGCGATAGAGTGAGACTCTGTCTCAAAAAAAAAAAGAAATCTCAAGATAAATTTTAAAATATTTTGAATTAGCAGTTTAGGAGGCTGAAGCATGAGGATCATTTGAGGCCAGGAGTTTGAGATCAGCCTGGGCAACACAGCAAGACCCCCATCTCTACAAAAACATGTAAAAATTAACTGGGCACAGTTGTATGTGCCTGTAGTACCAGCTGCTCAGGAGACTGAGGCAAGAGGATGACTTGAGCCCAAGAGTGTGAAGCTGCAGTGAGCCATGATCATGCCATTGCACTCCAGCCTGGGTGACAGAGCAAGACCCTGTTTCTAAAAAGTTTTTTTAATTACATAAAAATAAAAATACAACTTATCAAAATTTATGGGAAACAGTTAAAGCAGTGCTTAGAAATTTACAGCATTGAATGCAAATATTAGAAAAGAAGATCTAACATCAGTCGTCTAAGCTTCCACCTTATGAAACTAGAAAAAGAAGAGCAAGTTAAATCCAAACTAACCATAATAAAAGAAATAATAAAATTAGAGCAGAAATCAATAAAATTGAAACCAGGAATTATAGAGAATATTAACAAAAACAAATGCTGGTTCTTTTAAAAGATGAGTAAAATTGGTAAGCCTCTGCCAGGCTAAGAAAAAAAGAGAGAGAGACAAATTACTAATATCAGAAATGAAAGGGGGACATCACTACAGATCCCATGAACATTAAAGGAATAATAAAGGAATATTTTGAAAAATGCTATGCCCACCAATTTGATAACCTAGATAAAATGGAGCAGTTCCTTGAAAGACACAATCTGCCAAAATTCACACAAGAAGAAACAAATAATCTGAATAGGCCTGTTTATATTAAAGAAATTGAATCAATAATTAATAACCTTCCAAAACAGAAAGCACCAAGCCCAGATGGGTTCATTGGTGAATTCTACCAAACATTTAAGGAAAAAATTATGCCAGTCCTCTACAATATCTCCCAGAATGTAGAAACAGCAGGAATACTTTCTAACTCATTATATGAGGCCAGCATTACCCTAATACCAAAACCAGACAAAGATATTACTACAGACAAATGTCTCTCGAGCATACATGTAAAAATCCTCAACAAAATATTAGCAAATTAAATTCAACAATATGTAAAAATAATTATATATTATGAAAAGTAGGGTTTATTCCAGGTATGCAAGGCTGGTTCAACATTTGAAAATTAGTCACATCAATAGGCTAAAGAAGAAAAATCTCATCATCATATCCATGGATGCAAAAATGCATTTGACAAAACCTAACACTTATTCGTGATTAAAAACTCTCAGCAAACTAGGAATACAGGAGAATTTTTTCAACTTGTTAAAGAGTATCTACCAAAAAACTAAAACAAACATCCTACTTAATGGTGAGAAACTCAAAGATTCAGTTGGCAGAATTCATGTTGCCCTGATAGGGGCTCTTTTGAAACTGCTGTCCTATTCTTCTTAGTGCCTCAAACTAGAGCCTGTTCAGATGTGTTATAACAAGGTAGTATGAGTTTATTTTGAAATTGAAATCTACGCATTTTTTCATAATATGCATTTTCCATGAACCTTTTGGAGACCCTCTCACATATTGTCGAGTCAGTTGTTCTAGATTAATCTGTAGATTGAACATACTCTCAATAAAAATCCCAGCAAGTTAATTTATAGACATTGACAAACTGATTCTAAGGTTTATAGAGAGAGGCAAAAGACACCATAATCAAGATACTGACATGAGAATAGGCAAATAAAGCAACAGAATAGGATAAAGTCCTGAAATAGACTCACATAATTTTGTCAACTGATCTTTGGCAAGGGAGCAAAGACGATACTGTGGCCAAAAATTGTCTTTTCAACAAATGAGGCTATAGAGCAACTGGACATCTGCATGCAGAAATTAAATCCAGACACAGACTTTACACCCATCACAAAACTAACTGAAAATGGATCATAGACCTAACGTAAAATGCGAACTATAAAACTCTTAGAAGTTAACACAGGGAAAGCCTAGATGACCTTGGGTAAGGTGATGACTTTTTAGATACAACATTAAAGGCACGATCCATGGAAGAAATGATTGATAAGCTGGGCTTCTTTGAAATTAGAAATTTCTGCTCTGTGAAAGACACTTTCAAGAAAATGAGAAGGCAAGCCACAGACACATCTGATAAAGAACTGATATCCAAAATACATGAAGAACAATCAAAACTCAACAATAAAAAAATGAACAACTTGATTTTAAAATGGGCAAGAGACCAAAACAGACACCTCATCAAAGAAGATATATAGATGGCAAGTAAGCCTATGAAAAGATGTTCAACGTCATACGCCACTAGAGATTGCAAATTAAAACAATGATACCACTCTACATCTATTAGAGTGGCCAGAATGTGTTTTGAGAACACAAAATGCTGGCCAGGATGTGTAGCAACAGGAGCTCTCGTTCACGGCTGCTGGGAACGCAAGACAGTGCAGCACCATTGAAGACAGTCTGGCCGTCTCTTCCAAAATGGAACATACCCTCCCCATAGAATCCAGCAATCGCTGTCTTTGGTATTTAGGTAAATGAACCGAAAAAGTATGTACACAGAGAAGCCTGCACACAGACGTTTATAGGAGCTTTACTCAAAATTGCCAAAGCTTGGGAACAACAAAGAGGTCCTTCAGTAGGTGAGTGGCACATCCAGACAGTGGAGTGTTATTCAGCGCTGAAAAGAAATGAGATGTCAAGCCATGAAAGAAACTCAAATGTATTACTAAGAAGCCAATCTGAAAGGGCTACGTGCTGTATGATCCCAACTATATGACATCCTGCAAAAGGCAAAACTGAGACCGTATAAAATCAGTGGTTGCCAGGAGCTGGGGGAGGGAGGGGTGACCTGGGAAGCGCAGAGGGTTTCAGGGCAGTGAGGCTGTTCTGTGACACTACCACGGTGGCTACACGTCATGATAAATTTGTCCACGCTTAGAATGGACAACACCAAGAGTAAATCCTGATGTAAACCACGGAGTTGGGTCACGATGCTGTGTCGCTGTAGGTTCATTCACTGTAGCAAATGTACCCTCTGATGGGAAATATTGATAAGGGGAGGTTGTATGCCTGTGTGGGGGTGTGATATGAGAAACCTGTGTAACTTCTATCCAATTTTGCTGTGAACCTAAAATTGTTCTAAAAATTAAAGGTTACTTACTAAAAACCAAGTAATCTCAGATGATCTCATATTAAGATCTCTTATTAAGATTACATCTGCAAAGACCCTTTTCCCAAATATGGTGACATTCAAATTCAGAGGCTAGGAGGCAAACGTTTCTTTTGCGGGGGCCACCACTGAGCAAACCTACCACGGAAAACAAAGTAAGAAGAAGAAATTGTCCAACTCTCCAAATCTCATTATTCCAAATGAACCATTAGTGATATTTTAACCTATTTCCTTTGTCTTTTTCCTATATATTTTAAGATGGAGGGAAAGTCTATATATAATTTTACATAATAGATTTTAATCAACTTTATGAGAACATAATTTATACACAATACAAAGCACAGACCTTTAGTGCAGTTTGATGAGTTTTGACAAGCGTGTGCACTGCTCACCAGCACCCCATCAGCATCTGGAATCTTCTTCCCCTCCTGGAAGTCACTCTCCCCTGCTCTGTCCTTGAGAGCCGCTGATGGATTTTCCCATCATGCTCTTCCTTCGATATGGCCACAGGCATCCCCGTGATCTTCAGACCCCCTCCTCCATGTGACTTACGTGCTACATCACAGTCCGCCATTCATTCTTTCAACAATTATATGATTCTGAGAGGCACTGGGGGATTTGCTTAACCACTGCTCTGATGTTGACTATTTAAATGTGCCCTAACTTCCCTGATTATGAACAATGCTGTGAGAACGTGTTTGGGCGCTGAGTTTTGTCCACTCCCTTGTCTCTGGGATGGCTCGTCCAGGGTGGAACACACAGGTCGAAGGTGTGAACTTCCTGGAGCACGCTGGCCGACGCCCCCCCAGGCTGTGGTGCCTGTCGGTCTCGGTGGCCACACCTCGCAGGTTCAGGGCCTGTTTCGCAAATGCCAGGGCCGTACTGTTTTGTTTTGTATTTCTTGGATTACTGGTGAGACCATGTTTTTCATGTTTTTAGCCACCTGGGTTCTCATAGCTCTGAACTATCTGTTTATGGCCTCTGCCCATCTCTCTGTTGGGAAAAAAAAATTGTGTTCTCTGGGGACAGTAACTCAGGGTCTCTGGAAAGGGGCCTCTCTCTGGGCTGTACCAGTCATGAGTGGAGCAATGTCCCCCCGAGGCCCGGAGAAGCCTGTTCCTGCCGGACGGCACCAGGGCCTGAGCACCCTCACCCCCCTCAGGAGCCTGTGATCGGTCCCCCAATTTAACGCTGAGGCAACGGCCATTGGTTCTGTTTCCCAGGGGCCGCCCATTTAGAATGACATCCTGGCTACAGCATCGACCTTGAGCTGCAAAGCAAACAAGGAGAATATGCAAATTTGCTGTCAATACAGGGATGGGAATGCTGAGAACTGCACTCATTTTTAAGCCGAAAGTCCAATATTTGGATACCAAGATTCTGTTCCCAGTCATAAGCCAGCATAACAACCACGTGGAAACCATTTGTGCTGGATGATAGATTGTAAACAGCTGGTGGGATCAGGCCTTCGCAGCCCCAAAAACTGCAAATCAAAAATCCACATGTTTAATAAACAGACGATGAATCACAATGAGAAGGGAAGGGAGATGGGGAGAGGGCTGGGCCTCCGGTGCTGAGCTGGCGGGATGCGGTGGGCGTGAGCCTCGCCCCAGGCACAGGACACCAGACACTTGGGTCAGACATGATTCCCAGGCGTGGGGCCACAGCCTGGACCCAGAGGAACACTGCAGCCACAAATCCATCTCAAAACATGTAAATCTGGGGCAACCCCTCCAACAGAGGCCAAAACCATGGAGAGCAGTTTTGTCAACACTGGGGAGGGGGAGGATACACAGTAGGCCTGGAAGTGTCTGGACCCAGCCCTGGTGCACAGTGGTGCTTAAGGTCAGCACCTGGCGTGGGGCAGCTGTCACTGAGGTCTGAAAAAGACGCTGAAGCTGGTGGTATCTGGGAGGCTGGAGCTTAGGACAGCTCAGGAAAGCCCCCCGAGATCTGTGTGCCCAGAAGAGGCAGGGGAAACAGGGAAACCTCAGGGGATCCCAGGACAACCGTGACAAACCTGGGCCAGGGTTGGGGCAGCCGTAAGGCCCTGATGTGAGAAGAAAGCCTCCGGCAGGACCGGCAGCTTCGGCTGAATCCTAGCTCAGCCACTGTCCAGCTGCGGGCCACAGCAGGGAGAGCTGCCCCTGCGATCGGGGACGCCTTGGCCACTCTGGCCAGCACTGGCTTGGGCCTGCACAGATACGCACCTGTCAGTCACCAGACCCTGCATGGCCGGCATTCCCAGTCAAGAGCCTCTGGTCCTCCACACCACCTTCCCTGGGCCCCAGCCCACGCCAGCCCCCTTCCTTCAATCCCACAGCCTCCTGCCACCCTCACAACCACCCCTCCTGTCTCTGCTCAGCCCCCTTCTCCGTTTAGGCCCGCCCTCCCCCACATGCCCCAGGCAGCATCTCCCCCAACCTGAAGACTTCAAGGCACATTGAGAAAGAAAAGGCCACAGCAAAGTGGACGGGGCACTGACAGTCATGAAAGCCGAGGTGAGAAGAGTTCCTAGAAGAAGAAAGAGTGAAGAAAGTTTACAGATAACACAGGTGAAAAGCTGCAGGGGTCTGTTGGCAGTCTGGGGGAGAGCAGAGCCAGCAGCAGAGCCAGCAGCAGGAGCTAGATAGAGGGACTGGTTAGGGTGAGGTGAAAGCAGACATATGAGGGGGTGTCTCACTCAAGGCACACCGGAGGCATGGGAAGCCCCACAGAGGAGAGAAGCTCAGGCAGTCTTGGAGGGACAGGGAAGGCCTCTGAAGCTGAAGAGAGGAATCAACTCAGACAGGGGCTGAGCACCCAGGAGTGAGGCCTGAGGGCCAGTGTCAGGAGCACCGGCAGAAGGTTCGGGGACAGAAGGAGACATACGGAGAAGGGGACCAGGAGTGCAAGTCCTGTGGAACACTGTGGAGAGAAGTCCCATGTTAATGTCCTTGGTTTTCCTGGATGTCAAGGAGATGGTGAGGTCCTTGCTCAGAGTGAGGGGTAGCTTTTGGGTAGAGGGTGCAAGGATTTAGGGAAGCAGTTAGCTAGGAGACGCAAATGACTGAAGAGTTATCAAGTAATTGAGTGTCAGTGGTTCAGACAAGATTAGAGATGGTGTGTATAATAATTAAAATGCTAAACTCTTAGATGAACTAAGCAGCAGAGTGGGCAAAAATAAAAAGAGAATTATTGAACTTGAAGATAGATCTAAATAAGTTACCCAGAATGCAGAACAGACACTCAGTGAGAAGGAATATAGTAACGTGAAATGAAGAAACATGAAGAAAAGACTCCCACTTTTGGCTACAACAGAGTATCTGGTATGAGACTATCCCTCCTACCACAAACATTATAAACTGGAGGAAAAAAATAGGAAACATTTGTTCTAAGACAATAGACAACAGACAGAGCTGTGATCTCCGAGACAAAGACAGCAAGCAAGGTGAACCCTACGACACCGCGGCGTTCTTCCTGGAGGCGCTTTCTGGCCCCAGCACAGGGAGAGGAGCTCAAGGAGAGCAAAACAGTTTAACTGAGCTCGGAAGACAGGTGCCAGAGCTCAGAGAGGCCAAGGCTCCTGAAAAGTATGGGCGAAGTACCAGAGATGGAAAAACCATGTGGAGAAAGAACCCCAGAAATCTACATGGTGGTCCTGGTGGTCCCCTTGTGCCTTTGGCTGAACATTAAGCCGCACATATGGGAGACCCCGTGCGGGCAGGCAAAGAGCACTTAGTGGGAGCTGTCATCTGAACGACGCCCAGAGCCCCACAGGCTAGGAGATGCGGTCTGACCAATCACAGCAAACAGACCTTGGCAAGACGCGACGATAAGAAATACTGCTGAGTTATTACCAGAAACAAGGAAAGGCAGAACCCAATGGCAGAACACCTGTAATAGAAGGTTCTGGGGAAAAAATACAACAGTCAACATAGAATCCAAGACTCAGCAAAAATCTTTCAAAAATGAGGTGATAAAATTATAGCATTTTCAGACAAACAAAAATTGAGAGCACTTGTCACCAGCAGATGTACAAGACAAGAGATGGAAGTGTTCTTTATGCTGAAGGAAAATGATTCCAGAGAGGAACTGGGTCTGTTCCGAGTAACGAGGAACACTGGCACCAGTAAATATGTGGCAAATACAAAAGCCCCTTTTCTCATTTTTAATGTCTTTGTCATAAATGTGTCTCTTTAAAGCAAAAATAATCACAATTTATTATGGAGAATTATAACACATATAGAAGTAGATGTATGACAATAATAGCAAAAAGGATTTCAGGGAGAAAATGGAAGCATACTATTGAAGAGTCTTACATTATAAGTCAAGTAGTATAGTAGCATTTAAAGGAAATGTTATTAAATTACAGAGGCGTGCCTTAAACCCTAAAGAAAGCACTAAAAGCATTAAAGAAAGAGGCATAGCTGATGAGCCAACAGAAGAGATAAGACGGAAAAATACTCAGTATACCCAAAGAAAAAAAAAGCGGAAAAGAAAAAAGGAGGAATAAACAATAAATGAAACAATAAGATGGAAGACTCAGTCCCAACTTTCAGTAATTATATTAAATGAAAATGGACCAAATACTCCCATTAAAAACGCAGAGAGATTGGGCCGTGCACGGTGGCTCATGCCTGTAATCCCAGCACTTTGGGAGGCTGAGGCGGGCAGATCACCTGAGGTCAGGAGTTCAAGATCAGCCTGACCAACATGACCCTGTCTCTACTAAAAATACAAAAAAATTAGCTGGGCGTGGTGGTGGACACCTATAGTCCCAGCTACTTGGGAGGCTGAGGGTAGGAGAATCGTTTGAACTCGGGAGGCGGAGGTTGCAGTGAGCCAAGATTGCACCACTGCACTCCAGCCTGGGTGACAAGAGCGAAACTCTGTCTCAAAACAAAAAAAAAAAAAAAAAAGGCAGAGATTGGTCTAGACACTGCCATAAACCAAGAAATGAAATGAAAGTCATACAGATTGGAAAAGAAGTTAACTGTCTTTATTCATAGGTAACATGATTCTATTCATACACAATCCTAAAATATGTATCTAAGAAAACTACTAAAACGAGTAAGTGAACTTAACAAGGTCACGGAATATAAAACTATACAAAAATTAGCTGTATTTCTGTATATCAGCACAATTGGAAAATGAAAATAAGTAACAAACAAAAACAAATATTTACAAAAGCATCCAGAAGCATGATATACTTAGGGATAAATTTAACAAAATGTGTGTGGGGCCTGTATACCAAAAACTATAAAACATTGCTGAGAGAAATTAAGAAGAACTAAATTAATGGAAAGACATACCACGTTTATGGCTTAGAAGACTCAATATTGTTAAGATGTCTTTTCTTTCAAATTCATCTATAGATTAGACTCAATCCCTATCAAAATCCTAGCAGGCATTTGTTTTTGTAAAAATTGATTCTAAAACAGATTCTAAAATTTATATGGGAAGGCAAAGGACCTGGGATAGCCAAAACAATTTTGAAAAAGAACAAATTTGGAGGATTTACACTACTTAATTTCAATACATACAATAAAGCAGCAAATAGTAGAGTACTAGTGTTAGGATAAGCATGTAGATCACAGAACAGCACAGAGAGTCCAGAAACAGACCTATATATATATATATTCTCCTACCCCAGCCTCCCAAGTAGCTGGGACTACAGGTGTCCACCACCACACCATGTTGGTCAGGCTGGTCTCGAACTCCTGACCTCAGGTGATCTGCCCACCTCAGGCTCCCAAAGTGCTGGGATTATAGGCGTGAGCCACTGTGCACAGCCCAATATATATATGTGTATATATATGTATATATGTATATATGTGTATATGTGTATATATATGTATATATACGTATATATGTATATATACGTATATATACATACAGCCAATTTTATACAGTGCCAAGGTAATTCAATGTGGAAAGGACAGTCTCAAGTCTTACCTCATACCATACGTAAAAATTCAGTCAAAAGGGATCATGGAGCTAAAAGTTAAAGTTAAAACCATGAAACTACTAAAAGACAACATAGGAGAAAATCTTTGTGACTTTGGTGTTCGCAAAGGTTTTTTAGCAGGACACAAATCATCAAGTGAAAAGAAAATGTTAATAAATTATACTTCAAAATTAAAAGCCTTTGTTTTTCAAAAAGAACTATTAAGAAAATTTTTAAAAAGACAGACTGAAGAGAATATTTGCAATACATGTATCGGACAAAGGACCTGTACCCAGAATATATACAGAACACTTGCAATTCAAAATAATTTTTATTGCCTGTAATCCCAGCTACTCGGGAGGCTGAGGCACGAGAATCGCCTGAACCCGAGAGGCGGAGGTTGCAGCGAGCCGAGATCGCACCATTGCACTCCAGCCTGGGCGACAGAGGGACACTCCATCTCAAAAAATAAACAAATACATAATTTTTATAAGCAACTCAATTCAACAAATGAGCAAAATATATAGAAAGTTTACAAAAGACGTATGAATGACCAATAAACACATGAAATAGGGACCAGTATCTTTAGTTATCAGGGAGGTGAAAATTAGCCTCAATGAGACACCACTCCACACCCACCAACGTGGCTAAAATTTAAACTACTGGTAAAATCAAGAGTTGCCAAGGATGAGGAGCAGTGGGAACTCTCTCCTCTGGTGGAGCATGAATCCATAACCACTCAGAAAGACGGTTTGGCGTTACCGACAAAAGTTGAACAGACACACACTCTGACTCAGCAATCACAGCCCTAGATACACACCCAGCGGAAACGCGTATGTTCACCCAGCCATGGCAGCATATTCAAAATGGCCATAAACTAAGCAACCCAAATAGCCATCAACAATCGAACAGACAGGTATAGTGTAGCCTATTCACACAATGGGCTGCGGCATGAGAACAAGGGGTTCCACTCACATACGTTAAAACAACATGCAAGACCGGCAGAGGTAGGGACCATCCTGACCTCGGGGAGGAGGAAAAGTATCATAAGTGGAATTGTCAGGACGTCCATGGCTCACTCTCTCCTTTCCTTTGAGTTTTGCTCAGATGCCTACTTCTCATTGAGCCTCCCTGACAATTCCATCTAAACAGCAGCTGCCACTCACTGTCATGCTCGATTACCATTGTCCAGAGAACCTTCCATCACAAAGTCTGTCTCTCTCCAACATAGACATAACTGCATTTGAATGGGCTTCAAGAAGGCAGATGCTTTTGTCAGTGACACTTTTCTTGACACACAGTAGGTGTTTGATTACTGGAGCGAGTGAGTCACTGAAGGGCAAGGCAGGAGAGTTTCCCAGGAGCACGCTGAGACCAACAACCAAGCCACAGGGTTGGCATGTGGGGGCAGTGGTGCAGGGACAGGCATGCGGCCAGTGGAGCCGACCACAGAGCCCAGAAACAGCCCGGCACACAGAGAAGGCCTGGGCCCGACAGAGGTGAGGTGCAGGCCTGCGCACGGTGCCAGGGACTGGCCACGCACATTAGGAAAGCGAAACTGGATCCCTATCTTCAACCAAACACAAGGAAATTGCTTCCAGATGGATGAGGACTTGTGATGGGGGCAAGATGATGGAAGTAAAAGCTACAGGAGAATATCTCCCACACTCGAGGCCAGGAAGGGTTTGTTCAGATACAAACGAGGAAAATTGTGAAAGACAAGGCTGACGCACGTCCTACGTCCAAATCTACCATCAGAAGACAAAAGACAAGGGCAAAGGCAGGGCATGAACTGGGAGGAAACATCTGCAGCACACACAGCTGATGAGGTTCATGTCGGGAGCCACAGGGAGCCGTGACTCAGAAAGCGAGAGGTGGCCCCGCCGGAGGGCACAGGCAGGCACTCTCGGGGATGCGTGAGGATGGCAAGTTCTACTTACAGTCAGGGAAACTCAAAGTAAACCGCAAGCAAGGCCACTTTATACTCACCAGATTCCCAAACAGAAAGAGCCGGGATGGGGCCAAGGGCTGCTGTGAGCACCGGAGGAACCTCTGCCTGGGACTGGCGGTGGGCACCTACCCGCTGGCTCAGGTCTGAGCTGGGGCAGGGCCAGGTGAGGGAACAATGGAAGGTTGGCTCAACTTCCGTTTCACGTGGGCTCTCACACCCGGGGTCAATACAACCACCGGATGCCTTCCTGAGGAGGTCCAGGGTCTGTGGGAAGTGGGACCAGCAACAACCCCACTGTCACCCGGGGTCTCAGGGTCTATGGGGAGGTGGAGCTGGGGACCCCACTGTCACCCAGGGTCTGAGGATCTGTGGGAGGTGGAGCTGGGGACCCCCCTGTCATATGAGGTCTGAGGGTCTATGGGGAGGTGGAGCTGGGGACCCCCTGTCATATGAGGTCTGAGGGTCTATGGGGAGGTGGAGCTGGGGACCCCACTGTCACTGGGGGTCTGGGGGTCTGTCAGGAGTAGAGCTGGGAACCCCACTGTCACCTGAGGTCTGAGGGTGTGTAGGGAGTAGAGCCAGGGACCCCACTCTCACCCAGGGTCTGAGGGTATGTGGGAGGTGGAGCTGGGATGTTCCAGGCTTTCTAACCTGCTCTCCCATGGAAGTACTGAGCTGGGGCCCTGGAACAGGTGCCTGGGAACTTGGTGAGCTCCTGGGGGCTGAGAGTTTCTCGGCTGGGAGAGGTTTTTCTTGTGAAGGAGGTCAGGGCTTGACTGGGAAATGGCGGCAGCCTCAGGACAGGCCGAGTGGTGCAGGAAGACAAGAATCATCTTTCACAACAGAGCGGGAGTGGGATTTTAACAAACCATCCCCTTGTCCCCAGAGCGGGGGGGCATCCCGGGGCCCAGAATTGTCCCCTTCCTGGGTGGTCCCACCCTCCCAGGCCCAGGGCTCTGTGGGAGCAGCGGAGAAAAGCCCAGGAGACTTGGCTGGTGACTCTCTGAGAACAAGTTCCTGGATTGGGTCCCAGAGGCCCTGGAAGGCCCCTTCCCACCCCACACATATCATGAGGGGTGCAGGGGACCCACGGGGACCCCACTCGGACCCAAGCTGGGGCCCTTCCTGACCCACAGCCCCCACTTTACTTGGGGAGCAGTGAGGGCCGTGACGGGAAGGCCTGAGGCAGCTGCTGGGGAGTTTCTTGGGTGGAAGAGTCTTTTCTTATGAAGGAGATGGACAGCTCGACTGGGAAGGGGGCGTGGGGACAGTAAACGGGGGACGTAGAGTGGGGCTCCCCTGCTCCCCACTGTGGGGAGGGACAGGCGCCAGGCGTGCAGGGAGGACCCTTGAAAAGGGCAGACGCCAAGGCCAGATCCCGCTTCGCCCCCCAAGGGCACTGGCAAAGGTCGTCTCAGCCTCGTTTCCTCACCCCCTCTCGAGGGCAAGGTCCCTTCGGCCTGCAGGATTCTGGGGTTCCCAAGTTCCCCGACTGACAGACCAGCCACGGTGGTGACAGCAAGGTCTCCCTGCCGCCCCTTGCCACAGGAATGCCTCGTGCCTCAGGAGGCGGTGGCCCCCACAGCCTCAAATCCCGGCCAAATCAGACATCCGGGAAGGAGGCAGGACAAGGGGGTCCTGCCTGTCACCCCGAGACGTCACCGGCGCCAGGGGCTGGCCTCCATGGTGTCACACCTGCAGCATAGGTTGGGGGGGCTCCCTCCCCCCAGCGGGGCAGGAGGCAGGCAGCACCGACGTCCCCACACAGCTGTAACCCGGGCACCAGGGCCAGCGGCTCTCACACATGCTCCTGAGTATTTAATAATATCAGGTATTTAATCATAAGCTCACAGAACTGCCCACAGGACTAAGCCCAGAATCCAGAGCCTGAGCAGGGGCCAAAGGAAGCAGCAGCCCCAAATTAACAAGAAGTGGTGAGAAAATAGGGAACAGAGAAACTGCGGGTGGGGCCGACATTTGTCCTCCCAGTGAGCCTTCCGCAGCGACACTTTTGGAAAGTGATGGTGGCGTGGCCGGGCACGAGGCCAGCGGAGCGGACACGACAGCTGCTCATAGACGGGGTTTGGCTTTGACGTTTTTTAAATCCCTCGTTCTCGGCCACAGTGGAAAAAGTCTCTTTTCAGTGAAGTATCCCGGGTGCCAAAGCACCCGGCCATGAGGTGGCGGAGCTCAGGCAGCTGATGGGTGAACGGGGGATGCCTGGCCACGGACGGGGACCACAGGCCGCCCCCACGGTGTCAGGTCCTCACTAGGTTCCGTCCAAGCCTGAGATCCGAGGCCAGGCTCGAGTCCCCACACCCGTGGCCTTTCGGGGACGGGGGCCTGAGGGGTAGCCCCTCGCCCGGGGCCGACTGTCCCCCCCCGAGGATGCGCGCGGCCCCCGCCTCAACCCGGACACCGCGGTGGGCCGTGAAGCCGCCGGACTGGGGCCTTCCCTTTGCCAGACGCGGTGCCTCCAGCCCACGGTGTTGCCGCCCACGGGCGCCTCCTGACCCCGAATGCCCTGCTGGGGACGCCCTCCCCATTCTCGGCCCATCTCCACGGCCAGCCTGGCTGCGGCAGGAAGGGTTCCTCACTCGACCCTGTGCCTCTCCCTGTGAGCGGAGCCCCACGGCCGCCCTGCTCCGAGCTCTGTGCCCCGAGCGACCCCTCTCTACCGGGCCCCATCGGCCTGCCTTGCACGCGTGGGTCTCCTGCCTGGTTCGAGCCTGAGGCCTGGGGCCCTGGACCATCTCCCTCTCCTGCCCCCAGGCAGCGTCCGCTGTCACTCCGTGAGTTCGCGACCCCTCTCTACCGGGCCCCATCGGCCTGCGTTGCACGCGTGGGTCTCCTGCCTGGTTCAAGCCTGAGGCCCTGGACCATCTCCCTCTCCTGCCCCCAGACAGCGTCCGCTGTCACCCCGTGAGTTCGCGACCCCTCTCTACCGGGCCCCATCTGCCTGTCTTGCACGCGTGGGTCTCCTGCCTGGTTCGAGCCTGAGGCCTGGGGCCCTGGACCATCTCCCTCTCCTGCCCCCAGGCAGCGTCAGCTGTCACCCCGTGAGTTCGCTCCAGGTGTCTTCTCCCACGGCCCGTCCCGGGCTCCCCTTGCTCCCCGTCCTTTCTGGCTGCTGGGACCCTTTGTGCGTCCTCAGCCTCTGTTCCCACTGAGATTTCCCGACCAGAACTCCGGCCCAGCAGCACATTCACCTCCTCGGGCACTTTACCAGCAGGGCTGCCTGAGTCCAGGGCAGCCCAAAGCGGGCAGCGGGGGGACACCCAGGACCAGGACAGAGGCTCCGGCCCTGGGACCCAGGCCAGAGAGAGACGCAGCTGACCTCACAGTCGCCTGCTTCCTACACCCGAGTTTTCTCTGGGGTAGAGGGTGTGCGGACGGTCCTTGGCCGCCTGTGGGGGAAGGCGGCAGACGCATCCTCCCCTTGACCCTGCAGGGCCCAGAGCCCCAGCTGCCCATGGGAGGGTGAGGTTCCGTTTTCGCCAAGGTCACCAGCTCCTTCTGCCCACTGTCTCCCTGCCACCCGCAGTTCCTGCATAAAATCCCCAGCATGTTCCAGCAACAAGGCTGGTGGCTGTGCAGACAGCAGGGGAGGGTTTGAACTTCGTGCCGATCTCACTCCCTGGTTCCCAACAATTTGAGGAATGTTGGAGGTCCGGGTCAGAATGTAAACAAGGAATCATCACAGAACGGGCCCAGGTCAGTGAACCTCACACTGAGCTGCAGGGAGCCCCCGATGCCTGACGACGTCGATGTGTCTTTGGTCTCATGAAAATACACAGCTCAACTTTTGCACACGGAAGCCTGTGTCTTAAGCCAACGGCTTTCAGATTCCAGAAACACTGCACATGATTGTTCCCGTTGTATTTTCCCTCCTCGCCCTGTGGGCTGGGTGAGCGCCTCGGGGCTGCTGTCTTGGTGTGTGAAGTTCAACAGTGTGCTGTGGCGACTTCCTTCACTGCCGGCCCAGAAGGGAGCTCGGACGCCCAGAGCTGCACACCCACCACGTCTGTCCTGGCGAGAACAGCGGCTCAGCCTCGACCGCAGAGGCCGGCAGACCGACAGCTTTGAAGGGGGCTGCGCCGAGGAACAGGCCTCATTGAAGAAACAACACAGAGCATCACACGAAGGTCCACGGGGAGGGAAAGAAGGAGTTTGGTAGGAAGACATGCCACAGAAAGCAGGGATTATGAGGAGACTTGATGATTCTGCCATAAGAAACAAAAGCTCCAACAGAGAAACATGCATATGGGGGTGCAAAAAGCTGGGTTGACGTCCAGCTGGGTGTGGGGGCTCACGCCTGTAATCCCAGCCCTTTGGGAGGCGGAGGCAGGAGGATCGCTTCAGGCACAGCCCGAGCAACACAGCAAGACCTTGTCTCTGCAAAAAGTAAAAATAAAACATAAACAAATTTAACCAGACATGAGGGAGTGCACCTGTAGTCCTACCTACCCGGGAAGCTGAGATGGGAGGATCACTTGAGCCCAGGAGGTCGAGGCTACAGTGAGCTGATTGCACCACTGCACTCCAACCTGGGTGGCAGGCTGCGATCCTGTTTAAAAAACAAAACAAAACAAAAAGAAAAACGGAAAAAGAAAGCCAGACTGAGGATGGCGGGAGGGAATACGAGCTTGCACTGCACATTTCATGCACTTCATGCTGTTTTCATTTTCTTAACATGATTACATATTATTTATAGAAAAATG
This sequence comes from Homo sapiens, assembly GCF_000001405.40. NCBI lineage: Eukaryota > Metazoa > Chordata > Mammalia > Primates > Hominidae > Homo > Homo sapiens. Next base: position 83,150,736 of record NC_000017.11, on the reverse strand, counting down.
AATACGAGAGAAGCAATGCAGTGTGGAAAGGGCCTAGACTTGCACGGATGCTGCTGTGTGGATGAGGCCATCCCTGCGGACCGTGGCCTATCCCAGACATGGTCTCCCAGGCCACAAGGTGAGGGCTGCAGTGACTGTCTTCAAAGTCATCTTCTGAACCTCCATGGCACCAGGTCCCTGTGCAGCCACAGCCATCCCCACCTTCCCTGTTCTGAGAGAAACACTCCCTTCTGTTGCCTTCAGGTTGAAGGGGGCCCCTGCTCCTGGGAGCCTGGGGTTGGGAGCTGGGCTGCACCCACTCTGTCTGAGGACAATGTGTCATACTCTTATCATCCTCCTTGATGTCTACAGGAGGGATTGTCCTAAACCACAGCAATGGAGTTCACAGGAGAGAAGGAAGGGAGTAAAGTAGATTCCAGAACAAAGGGAATGGTTCTGTAAGGCAGCTCCAGGAGAAACGAGGCAGAACCCAAGCTCTCAAGGTCTTAGGATTTCGTGGCAGTCTGTTGAGGGGCACAGAGCTACACCAAGCGGGTTCCACCACGGTCCTTGAAGGGGGCGGTCGCGGGCCATTTGGTCCCAGGGGCTCTGTTCGGCTCACACCTAGACTTCCCTGGGCACAGGCCTGAGAGGACGCCCGTGCACCCCATCTGAGTTCCTCTGAGTCTCTGGAGCTGGGCCACCAGCAGGGAAGGAGAGACCCTGAAATGGAGCCAGAAAGTCCCAGCATGAGACGCTGCTCCACCAGGGGAGGGAGGACTGAGCAGGACATGAGACCAGGAGGCCCGTGGAGAGTGAGCCTGGAAAACCACGAGGCTCCTCACAGCTCCATCATCGCACATGGGCCTGTGGGGAGCCCTGACTCATGCTGGAGATACCATGAGGAGCAGCTGCGGTGAGGAGTGGAGGTGGCCCTGGTGGAGGATGCACTGGCTGGCTGCGTCAGGCTGCTCTTGCATACATACCTGAGGCTGTGTAATTTATAAGAGAAAAGGTTTAACTGGCTCATGGTTCTGCAGGCTGTACAGGAAGCATGGCACCTGCATCTGCTTCTGGGGAGGCCTCAGGAATTTGCAGTCATGGCAGGAGGTGAGGGGGGAGCAGGCATCCCACATGTCAGGAGTGGGAGCAAGGGGGAGGGAGGTGCCACACTTCTACACAACCAGATCCATGAGAACTCACTCACTATGGCAAGGACAGCACCAAGCTATGAGGACAGGGCTGGACAGGCCTGCCGGTGATGGCCATGTTGGGGTGTGCCTTCAGCACTGAGCAAGACTCCGGCGGCTTGTCACAGAGCCAGCAAGACCCCCGAAAATCTTCTGCGGCAGCTCTGAAAGCTTGGAGTACCCGAAAACTCAATGCCCAGACAAGATCCACATTCCTTGTTTCTAAACTAAAGCACAACTTCTGCTCTTGCAAAAGGAATGAGATGAGCTCTGCAGGCGAGGCCTCCTAACAGGCCATTAGCATCTCCCATATTTGGGGAGTTTTTGTCCCTCTGTTTATGACTAATTAGTGTAGATAGGAACAAAAATGTTAACAAGGAGCACAAAAGCCAAAGCCTGCATGGTTCCAGCCAATCAGCACAGTTGGCGGGTGTGTTTCCAGGCCAGACGCATCTGTAATGAGATTGTACTTGATTCAGATACCATTTTCTGTGTGGCTCTTTAAGGGACAGGAAAGTGGAAAAGCAAAGCTATGAGGACCAGTCGGTGGCCCTTTCCCAGGTCTGACTGGCCCTCTTACTCCCATGCTAGGAGCTGGAGTCAGCAAGGGTGCACTGGGCCCCACGTCCAGCGTGCCTCAGGGCCAGCACAGGACAAAGGCACAGAACACCTGAGTGGCAACTGGCCCTGGCCCGTACCCGGGCTCCTGACCCAGGCCCCTCCTGCACCCTCACCTGGCACCAACTCCCGGCTCGTGCCCCCAACAGTGACCATCCCGTCACCCACACTCCAGCCGCAGCCCCCTCCAATCCTCATTCTGTGCAGGAAGCAGGGTGGAGGGCAGCCCTGTGTTGAAGCATCTGGACGTCAGCACTGCTGAGCATTTGTCTGTATGTGGTGGGGAGGATGCCTCTGTGACACGACCACACCCCAGTCCAGAGAGATGCTTGGGGCTTTCCTGTCCAGACCACGGGGGGAGTTTGCCAAACTCCTGGTAGACCCAGAGTCAAGGAAGGCGAACACAGACAAGAAGCTAACATTTACTGAGCCCCTTTCTAGTGCTAGCCACTGTGCTGCGGGGGTCACCATGTCATCACGTGTGACTGGGAAGCCTGAGTCAGATGAGCAACCACAGGGGATGCTGGGGGTCAAACAACAGGGCCCAGGGCGAGGGCTGGGATGTGAAATAAAAATCTGTTTACCCCTCCCGTCCTTTTACAGTGGGGTAAAAAGATGGGGCACAAGTGACTAAAACCAGGAGAGACTAAAACCAAGAAGGGAGAATCACTATGGATCCTGCACATGTTAAAAGGGTTATAAAACAATAATATTAACAACTTTATGCCAGTAAATTAGACATCTTACATGAGATGGACAAATTCGAAGAAATACACAAATTACCAAATCTGACTCAAGAAGACAGAGTATGTGAATAGACTTATAAATAGTAAAGACATTGAATAATTAAAATCATCCTATAAGGAAAAGCCAGATGGCTTCATTGGTGAATTCTAGCAAATATTAACAAAAGAAATAATACCAATCCTTTACAAACTGTTCAAGAAAACAGAGGAGGAAAGAAATACCTGTCAATTCACCTGATGAGATCAGTATTGTCCTTACATCCTAGCCAAAGACATCACAAGAAAAGCAAAGCACAGCCCCATATCTGTCATGAATATAGATACAAAAATCCTTAACAAAATATTAACAAAGGAGGATTTATATCCAAACATTGGTTTAACATCCAATACTTAACTAATGGAATACAGTAACCACAGAATAAAGAACAAAAACCACATGATTATCTCAATAGACTCAGAAAAAGCATTTGAAAATATCCAACACTCTTTCATAATAAAATATCTCCACAAACTACAAATGGAAAAGAAAATTCCTCAATTTGACAAAGGGCATCTGGGTAAAACCTATAGCTAACATAATACCTAATGGTGAAAGATTGATTAAAATGTTTTCCTCTAAGATCAAGAATGAGGACAGTATGCCCACCCTCATCACCTCTATTCAACATTGTACTTGAGGTTCTAGCCAATGCAGCAAGGTAACCAATAAAATGAAGGCATCTGTATTGCTAAAAAGAGAAGTAAAGCTCTTTGCAGTTATCTTTTTGCACAAAATTCTAAGAAATCCACCAAAAGTACAACTGAAACTAAGAAACAAGTTTAGCCAGATGACAGGATACACAATTTCAAAAATCAACTATATTTCTACATGCCATCAATTGTAGCTCTATAATAGCCATGAGTAGGAAAATTAAGAAAATAATTCTATTCATAGTAGCATCAAAATGTGAAAAAAGGTAAGTTAAATTTAACAAAGCAAGTACAAAACTTGCTGAGAGACTTTAAAGAAGATCTGAATAAATGGAGAGACAGCCAATGTCCATGGATTCAATGTTGTTAAATAGCTATTCTCCCCACATCAGTCTGCAAACTCAATATGATCCATGCTGAAATCCCAGCAGGCTCTTTTTGCAGAAAATAACAAGACAGTCCTAAAATTTATATGAAACTGCAAAGGATCCAGAATACCAAAACAATTTGGAATAGAAAAACAAAGTTGTAAGACTTACATTTCCTAATTTCAACCCTTACTACAAAGCCACAGTAATCAAGACAGTGTGGAAACGGTATTAAGAATGGACTTATAGATTAATGGAACAGAACTGAGAGCCCAGAAATAAATCCTTACATTTACAGTAAACTGATTTTCAACAAAGGTACCAAGGCAGTTCAATGGGGAAAATGATAGTCTTTTAACAAATAATGCTGGGAAAACTGGATGTCCAGATGCAAGAAAGGTGGATATAGAACCTTTCCTCACACCATACACACAAAATAACTCAAAAGGTATCATAGACCTTGATGTGGTTTGGGCATGTCCCCACCCAAATCTCAAATTGTAGCTCCCATAGTTCCAACCTGTCATGGGAGGGACCTGGTGGAAGGTGACTGAATCATGAGGGTGAGTCTTTCCCATGCTGTTCTTACGACGGTGAATAAGTCTCACAAGATCTGATACATGGGAGTTCCCTGAACGAGCTCTCTCTTGTCTGCTGCCATGTAAGACGTGCCTTTTGCCTTCCACCATGATTGTGAGGCTGCCCCAGCCAAATAGAACTGAGTCCATTAAACTTCTTTCTCTTTATAAATTACCCAGTCTCAGGTATGTCTATATCAGCAGTGTGAAAATGGACTAATACAGACTGAAACATAATAGCTAAATCTCCACAACTTTTAAAAGAAAATACAGGAAAAAAAATCTTTGTGACCTTATATTAGACAAGAAATCTTAGATGCCACACCAAAACCACAATCCTTAAGTTACAATCAGAAAATTAACAGAATCAGTGCCAAGGGGATGGGCAAAGTAACCCTAACAGGGACATCATTAATATGTAGAAGCTGGGGGCACCCACCTCCAACACAGGGACGTGCCTCCCACACAGGTCAGAATCCTGTGTCTGGGGCCAAAATGTCCCCACTCTCAAGCAATGCTAGAGACACGAGCCAGATTCGGTCTCCCTGGGCTCCGCTTTTATAAGATGCAATGCGGGCCACTCAGCCGCGAAACATCTTCTCTTCAGACAGAGCACAGTGAAGTTACTGAGATAAGCACTTCCATATCAGCCTGTATGAGGCAAGTCACCCCACAGTCTGGAGGTTCAAAGACAATCACCAAGGCTGTTTCTTCAGATGGCTTATGTCTTATATTTGGATTTGGATTTATTCCTTAAATCCATTTTTAAGGTCACTTTTGGGCCACTGTGTACAACATCCATGAGGTGGCTTGTCCCCTCCTCCCCCTAGGTGGACCCAGCCTGAGGCTGGCCAGAGTGTCCCCCTCGAATGCCCCCCACAGGGCCCAGCCTTCCTCCACATGGAGTTCCTCCAGCAGGTACGCCAGTGGCATAAAGCAAAGAGCTGAGTGACAGCTCAGACACAAAGGCTGCTCCCCACATCTCTCAGGGCCTTTGTTCCCAATCTCCCTGTCAGGTCCAGTGAACCTTGAGACACAGCACCTGGCACAGTGTCCAGGGCCTCCCCCAGTCCCCCGAATGCACATAAAGGATTCTAGGACCTGTTGAGAGTTAGCAATAACTCAGCCTTTACACGTAACAGGAGTGATAATAGAGGGCTTCTGTGGTGAATCGGGGGGGCAGAAGCTTAGGCTTTTCCTAAACCAAGCAAATGGCTAAGAGAGCAAATTCCAGAGTAGGCGTAACTTTGACTGGTGGAGCAGTGGGCGGTGTATTTCTGATGGATAACAGCCCACAGCATCACTTACCCAGTGCAACTGCAGAGGAAGGGCTGGTTCTACATCTCCTGGGACCACCGCGTGCTGGAGCAGAGGCTGCAGGGTGGAGCCCAGAGTTCCTCTGTGTCCCTGTATAAGATGCGTGAGCACCGCAGGCAGCATCCCTGGGGACTAGGCTTGGCATGGGCTGCTCCTCTGGTCACTGAGCCCCACAAAGGCTGCAGGCAGCACAGCCCTGGCATCCGTCCACTCTCCTAAATGACTGCAGCCTTGCCTCCTGGGTGTCTTTGCTTCTCAGTTTTATGTCACTGGAGGTAGCCAGTCAAGGATGGTTAGGCATGGCCTGTGTCAGACTTTGCAGATTATGCCTCCTCCGTGCTCACAGAAGCTGGGTGTGGACGGGGCAGAGCCTCCAGCAGTGTTTGCTGATAGCCAAAGTCAGAAACACCAGAGTCGCCAGCTGAAGTTCCCAGGCCTCTTCTAATCAAGGAAGAGAGAGACTATAACCCAAAGTGTCTGGGAGTGTGGATGGTGCCTGCCCTCCACAGCCTGACTCACTCAGCCCTCTGGCCCCCACAGAGTTCTGAGATCCACCAAGAGCCTCATAGCTGCCCAGGGCCAGGAGTGGCTTTTCCTGGCCTCCTGGCAGGAGGCTGCAGACTGTTCCTGAACCACTCTGCCGCGAAGGGAGCGGAGCAGAGGCTGTAAGGTGGGGCCCAGGGGCACGTTTCCAAGGTGCCCCGCTGCCTTCCTGCTGAGCTGTTTCTGGCAGAGAGGGTGTTACAGAGCAAGAGAGGACACAGCTGCACTTCATAAGCCCAGCAAGCACCATCACCAGCTCCTTGAGTATCACGTGCAGGGGTTTGGAAACAGGAGTAAGCTCTTCTTCTTTTAATTAAAAACAGAGACGAAAACTTTTTAAATACATACAACACACACTTAGGACCTGTTAAGATGAGGAATAAGGAAAAGGAAAAAAGAAAAGATTAAGTGGAGAGAGAAAGAGAGAAAATAGGCAGGGTGGGGAAAGGGAGACTGAAGAAAGAATGAGAGATTTCTAAAAACACAGAGAAATTGGGAGGCGCACCTGCTTTCGAGTAAGTGTGAACAAGCGAGTCTTCTCAGCTCTCCGTGATGCCCGGCTTCCCCATCATCTGAAAGGTTTACACCAGCAGATGGTCACATATCCTTAGCAGACACCCCAGTTCCCCAGATTATCTGAGCTGTGGCCAAATTCAAATCCAACTAGCTTTTATCAAGCACCTCATATGCAAAGTTTTTAAAAGATAATTCTGCCTAGGCCAGCCCCTCACAGATTCTGTGTGAGGACGTCTAGGGTGGGAGGAGACAGCATTCTTAGGAGTTCCAAAGTGGACTGTGACGTGCACAGACTGAGGACTGCCTGGCAGTAAACTCACATGTGCCGTCCGTTTACGAGACCCAAAGCTGCTCTGTGAGGCAGGTGCCCTTATGCAGATGGGAAAACTGTTCCTCAGATTAGAAGACATCACATTGTAGACCAGACAAATCCAAGGTCTACAGCAGATATGCTCAACTCCGGGGTGGAGCCACACGTGACCTTTAGGGGTATCTAACCCATCAGAATTCAATGGGAAATTGTGGTTTTCTGAGAAGGGAATCTGGGGCTTTTTCTTTTAATTTTCTTTTTAAAATTTCCCTTTATATGCACATGTATGTAAGCTTCGGGAACTGTGTATACATCATTATATCATGATACTGTTCAGGATTTTAGTGACGTCCATTTTGCTTCCTCTTCCATTTTTGCTTCCCGATCCAACTTTCCCTCCACCATGCCAACCCCAACCCCTTCCAGGTCACCTGGGCTAACAACCAATTGTATGCCCTTCCATGCTCGTCTTCATGTTTATATAAACCACGTACAAATACATAGTGGCTTGCCTAGAGAGCGAACAGAGAGGCCTTCCATCACTGTAGGGGACAGTATCATATCACTGACATGTTTAGAATGTATGCTGATGACAAAAAGCAGGCCAACTTCTAGCCATTTTTACTATCGTTTTTAAACACTTTACAATTTATCCAATTATGGTCAACACCTGGGAGAGACTGACCCACCTTCCCCCTTGGCGTGCCACTCAAATATAAACACACACACACACACACAAAGATAGACAAATATATTAGATTTTGTCATCCTATTTTTGTAAAACTATTTTTTACCCCTTCTGTGTCAACTGACATAGTCCTAACTCATGCTTTTTAATGGGAGCTTAATAGTACATATCTATGTCGTGGATGTACTATTATTTTTCAACCATTCTCCCATTGGTAGGATTTATATTGCTTGCAGTTTTTATTTTGTTTTCATTCTTGAATAATATTTTCTCCTGATACAGAACACCGGGTTGACAGTTTTTTGTTTTGTTCTCCCAGCACTTTAAACATAGCATTCCACTGTTTTCTGGCCGCCATTGTCTCTGAGGAGAAGTTAGTGGTTGTTCTATCATTGTCCCCTGGCTGCTTTCAAAATTTTCTCTTTACATTTTGTTTTCGGCAGTTTGACTATGATGAAGCTAGGTGTGATTTTATTTTTTAATTGACAAATAATAATAGTGTATATTTATGGGGTCAATGTAATGTTTTGGTACATGTATACATTGTGGAATGATCAAATCACACTAAATAGTATAGTCATCACCTCAAATATTTATCATTTCTTTGTGTTGAGAACATTTAAAATCCTCCCTTTTACTATTTGCAAATGTATAATACATGATTGTCAACTCTGGCCACCATGCCGTACAACAGAACACCAGAACACACTCCTGCTAACTGCAACTTTGCACCATTGACAAGTATCTCCCCTTCCTCATCCACATTCTCCTCATACCCAGCCCCACCCAGCCTCTGGTAACCACCAGTCTACTCTCTACTTCTATGAGTTTGACTTTTTAAAAATTCCACATATAAGTAAGATCATACAGTATTTTCTCTCTCCATACCTGGCTTATTTCACTTAACTTAATGTCCTCCAGATGTATTCATGTTATTACAAGTGACAGAATTTCCTGTTTTTTAAGGCTAAATAGTATTCCATTGTGTATGTATACCACATTTTAAAAATCCGTTCACCTGTTGATGGACACTTCGGTTGTTTCCATATCTTGGCTATTGTGAATAACATGGCAATGAACATGGGAACGCAGATGCCTCTTCCACAAATGATTTCAATTCCTTTGGGTGTATACCTAGTAGCAGAGTTGCTGAATCAAATAAGTCTAGTTTTAGTTTTTTTTACTAACCTCCATACTGTTTTCCAAAATGGCTATACTAATTTACAATACCACCAACAGTGTACCAGGGTTCCCTTTTCTTCACATCTTAGCCAACACTTATCTTTTATCTTGTTTATCATAGCCAATCTAACAGGTATGAGGAGATATCTCACTGTGGTTTTAACTTGCATTTCTCTAATGATTAGAAATGTTGAGCATTTTTTCATGTATCTGTTGGCCATTTGTATGTCTTCTTTTGAGAAATGTCTATTGAAGTCCCTTGCTTTTAATAGGGTTTTTATTTTTGTTATTAAGTAATTTGAGTTCTTTATATATTTTGAAAAGTAGCCCCTTATGCAATATACAATTTGCAAATATTTTTTCTCAGTCTGTGGGTTGCAGCTTCACTCTATTAATTGTTTTCTTTGTGGTGAAGATGCTTTTTAGTTTCATGTAATTCCATTTGTCTGTTTTTGCTTTCATTGCCTGAGCCTTTGGGGTCATATCCAATAAATCACTGCCCTTATAATGTCATGGAGCCTTTTCCCTATATTTTCTTCTAGTAGTTTGATAGTTTCAGGTCTTCCAGTTACATCTTTAATCCATTTTGTGTTGATTCTGGTAAAGATGTGAGATACGGGTTCACTCTCATTCTTCTATACATGGATACAGTTTTCTCAACACCATTTATTGAACAGACTGCCTTTCCCCATTGGGTGTTCTTGGCATCTTTGTTGAAAGAAAGCTATTTCTTTGTTTGTTGGACTGTTTTGTTTTTAAGCTATTGGTTTTTATACAGCTATTTTGTATCCAGCCACCTAACCAAATTCTTCATTAATTTTAGCAGTTTGTTATTAGTATCTCTTGGGTTTTCCAGATATACATTCATGTCATCAGCACAAAAGAGGTAGTTTTATGTTTCCTTTTCCAATTGTATACCACACATTTCGTTTTGTTTTCTTATGTTGCATTTTCTATAATCTCCAACACAATGTTAAATAATAGTAATTAAGGCATCCCTGTCTAGCTCCTAAATTTAACTGAAAGGGGGTTTGTTGGTTGGTTTTTGTTACATTTAAGTAGTCTCGTTCTGTTCCCATTTTACTTAGAGTTTTTTTTTTTTCTAATTAGGAATGGCTGTTAAGTTGTATTATGTGTCTTTTCAACATATATTGATATGATGATTTAAGTCTTTACAAATTATTGATGTGACGCTTTTGTTGATAATCCATTATTGAACCACCCTAACCCATTCCCAGAATAAACCTAACTTGATCAGAGTACACGTGATCGGCAGCTTCTGAAGTGGCTCCTAATGATCCCACCTCCTGGTATTCACTCCCTTTTGTTCTCTCCCCTTGTGCGTGGGCTGAGCCTAGTGACTTGCTTCTAACAAATAGATTATAACAAAAGTGATGAATGTCACTTCTGAGATTAGGTTATAAAAGACTGAGACTTCCATCCTAGACTCTCTCCTGCTTACAGGTACACACTCTCAGTCTCAGCCTCTTCCGCCCTTTCATGTTGATGAAGCCTGCTGCTGTGCTGTGAGCCACCCTCAGGAGAGCCTCCAGCAAACAGCCAGCGAGGGCCCGCGGCCCTCAGGCGAAGCCTCCAGCAAACAGCCAGCCAGGACCCACGGCCCTCAGGAGAACAGCCAGCCAGGACCCGCGGCCCTCAGGAGAACAGCCAGCCAGGACCCGCGGCCCTCAGGAGAACAGCCAGCCAGGACCCGTGGCCCTCAGGAGAACAGCCAGTGAGGACCCGCGGCCCTCAGGAGAAGCCTCCAGCAAACAGCCAGCCAGGACCCACGGCCCTCAGGAGAACAGCCAGCCAGGACCCGTGGCCCTCAGGAGAACAGCCAGTGAGGACCCGCGGCCCTCAGGAGAAGCCTCCAGCAAACAGCCAGTCAGGACCCGCGGCCCTCAGGCGAACAGCCAGCCAGGACCCGCGGCCCTCAGGCGAAGCCTCCAGCAAACAGCCAGCCAGGACCCACGGCCCTCAGGCAGCCAGCCAGGACCCGCGGCCCTCAGGAGAACAGCCAGCCAGGACCCGCGGCCCTCAGGAGAACAGCCAGCCAGGACCCGCGGCCCTCAGGAGAACAGCCAGCCAGGACCCGCGGCCCTCAGGAGAACAGCCAGCCAGGACCCGCGGCCCTCAGGAGAACAGCCAGCCAGGACCCGCGGCCCTCAGGAGAACAGCCAGTGAGGACCCGCGGCCCTCAGGAGAAGCCTCCAGCAAACAGCCAGTCGGGACCCGCGGCCCTCAGGAGAACAGCCTTGGGGAACCCCAACAACCCCTGCCAAGCCACTGAGCGAGCTCGTAAGCAACTTCTGCCCCAGTTGAGCCTTGAGATGACTGCAGTCTCAGCTGATTCCTGACAGCCTTGAGGGAGACCCTACACTGCAGAGCTCATGCCACGATTCCTGACCCACAGATACCAGGAGATAACCATCTACTGTTTAACCCACTAAGGTTTAGGGCAATTTGTCACACAACAAACATGAATACAGTGTATTCTATTTTTGATACAGGACTGAATTTTATTTTCGAATATCTCATTTGGAAGCAATGCATCTGTATTCATAAAATAAAGTGGGGTATAGAAATGCTCTAGATTGTCTGCAGCAGACTTTCATATTGAACTAATTAATAAGCTCATAAAATTAAGTTAGAAAAACTTGAATAACAATGGACTTAAAATTCAGCTGAGGCCAGGCATCGTGGCTCATACCTGTAACCTCAGCACTTTGGGAGGCCAAAGTGGGAAGACTGTTTGAGCCCAGGAATTCAAGACCACCCTGGGCCATATAGTGAGACCCTGTCTCTATAAAATAAAAAAATTAAAAATTTTAATGTAATTAAAACAAAATTAAAAATTAAAAAAATCAGCTGAGAAGACATCTAATCTTGATGTAATTTCTTCACAGCTCATAAGCCTGCATAGGCTGGGTGGGTGTGTTGAAGTCCTGAGGAGCAGGGTGGGGTCTACATCTGCAAACTGCTGTAAATTTCCCACCCAGTCCACGGCTGCCATTCTGGGTTCCAGCCCAGAGCTTTGAGCAGCCCCTCTCTATCTGAGTCTTCTGAAAACTTGGGATTCAAGGACCACGGTCATGAGGTGAGGTAGAGAGTGCCATCCTGGAAGAACAGAATAGAGCTTGTTAGAACCTGCTGCTGAAACTCAGACGAGCCACTTTATTCCAGACTTCAGTTTCCTCGTGTTCAAAAGGAAAAGGTTGGGTTTCTAAGATCCTGTCGTGCCTTAAGAGTCCCTGAATCTTCAAGATAATTAAACAGAAAACAAGGGCCTCAAGGGGTGATATAATTGGCGTTTTTGTCCCTGCCCAAATCTCATGTTGAATTGTAATCCCCAGTATTGAAGGCAGGGTCTGGTGGAGGCGACTGGATCATGGGGGTGGATTTCTCATGAATGGTTTAGCAGCACCTTGTGCTGTCCTCAAGAGGCTGAGTTCTCAGAGACCTGGCTGTTTTATGTGGCTAGCACCTCCTGCTCTCTCTTTCTCCTCCTTCACCTTCTGCCCAGACTGTAAGCTTCTGGAGGCCTCCCCGGAAGCTGTACAGTTGCTGGCACCATGGTGCCTATAAAGCCTGCAGAACCGTGAGCCAATTAAACCTCTTTTCTTTATAAATTACCCAGCCTCAAGTATTTCTTTAAAGCAAGGCAAGAATGACCTGAGACAAGGGTGGAACTATTGTTACCTATGCTGACGTCTACTTGTCTATATAGTTTCCAGCGATTGACCCTTCAATATTGAAATTTAAGGCTGCCCAGTTCACCATCAGGGTGATAATGGCCAGACACCGAAAGGTTCACAATTGTTACCTATGCTGACGTCTACTTGTCTATATAGTTTCCAGTGATTGACCCTTCAATATTGAAATTTAAGGCTGCCCAGTTCACCATCAGGGTGATAATGGCCAGACACCGAAAGGTTCACATCCCAGTTCAGAGGCTGTGGCAGGAGACAGAGCTGGAACCTTTCACAGAGTCGTCCCCACGACAAGGTGTTCATCATGGCGATAGGAGTTCTTAGCAAGATCTCAGCAGAGTCACCAGGTGCATTTCCTGAAGGTGGAAGCAAAATCCCAGGACTAGGAACCCCCAAAAATGAACACAGTCTTTTTACAGGATGATCAGAGGCAAATGTCTGTGATAAGGACTTGTCCTGGCTGCACTGAGGTGCTCATCCTTGCCAATGCCTGTCCAGGAAGCGTCTCTACAATGAGATGCACTAACAGGAGACGCTGGGGTCAGGCTCCAACGGACACATCCGGCTGCCCCAGCACCGTGCATGTGGCTGGTGCCCGACAAGCATGAGTGGGTGGATGGACGGGCATGGTCTCCCTGCATCTCTCTGAGTGGGCACAACCCAGTTGTTCCTCAGTCTTTGGAATCTGGGACAGAAAGCTGTATCCTTCCTTCCCCCACTCCGAGAGTAGGCATCTTAGTTCCCAGGACACCCACAATCCCCAGAAACCCCTCGAAGAGCCCCGGGGGTCCTTACACATCCTTCAGCGCTCAGGGCCTTCGGTTCTTTATGTGTTTACTTATTTTTCTTTCAATGGTTTTAGCTTTTTTTTATTATTAAAACAGTGAACTGGCATGAGGCGCAACGTTAAGAGAACATTTGTTCTGAGAAGAGGTTGAAGTCCTTTTCCTCCACCCCCTGACTGAAAGAAACAGACCATCTCCCTCCTTGTGACACCTGCCCCCGTAACAAGCCACCCACCGCGTCCCAAGATGAAGAGGTCACACTAAAGTTGGCCTGAAAAGGAAGGCTAAGCACCTTTTTGAAAAGTAACTGAACTGGAAAGTTCAGAAGAGGCCAAGGCCACAATTTGCCACCCTTTCCCCCACGCATGGCAGCGTCAGCCCAGCCCACAGCCCCGGAGCCCCGGTCTCCACACGTGACCATGCTACACGAAAACCCAGATCAGGACCCGGTCTTGGGAGCCCGGTCGCGCCGCCCCTGCCCATCAGGGATCTTTCACTTTAGTGCTGGGGCGTCCTCTGCCTGGTCTCTTCCCCTTTCGCTTTCCTGCTTGTTTTTCCTTCATAATCCATTCAGTCCCTCAGGACCTTCCCCCGGGTATTAATGAAGCGTGTGTTGATGGGGTGACCTGTTCCACCGGGGAAGAGCTGGAATACAGGGGAGTCACTAAGACGAAATTGTACTCTGCAAGGTTACGAGGAGGGCTCTGCAGCCTGAGACAGCTGAGTCGCAAGCACTCCTGAGCTTCAGTTGCTGCCTCTAGAAATCAGGGGCAGTCACAGTTCTCACCTATACAGTGATTCTCATCTGTGTGGTTTTTGGTACAGCAGCAGCCGTACTCACTGCACCAAGCACTCAGTAGTCAACAAGCGTGTAAATTAGGAGGCTTTTGTTTATAATTTATTATCAATAAGTTATGAAGTTAAATTTTATGGTGACCAGGGATCTTGATGGGGCCTGTGGACGATCTCTCGGGAGCAGAGAGCTGGTGTGCTTGCTGCAGCCCCCAGCTCTGAGACCCCCGGCCTTGCCAGAGCAGCTGGCGGGGATGAGTCATCCCTGGGTGCGTTTGAATGGACCTGCATACCCTACTTGGGCAACCCAGTCTCCTCCTCACCTGTGGCCAGTGACGCCGGCTCTTCCTCCCCTCGGGTGCAGGAGGCCTGGAGGTGACACCGGCTCTTCCCTCCTCTCGGGCGCAGGAGGCCTGGAGGTGACGCCGGCTCTTCCCTCCCATGTCTCTGCCCTGCTGGTCACAGCTCCTCCCTGGCAGAATCCAGTCACAGTTCTCTTGTGCAGGAATAGTTTCACTGTTTTTAAAAATTGCACTTTCATCTATCACAGGAATGAGAAAAACCTCTTTCTGCAGTTCTTGGATGTGCAGAGAGCAACACACACGTTTAATCACCAAGAAACCCCGTGGGTCTAATAACAGTAGATTGAAGGGTGCAGGCCAGGGTGAGGGCAGGTGGGTCTAATGACAGTAGATTGAACTGCCAGGGTGGGGGCAGGTGAAGCTGATCTGCAGACAGACATGCAGGGAGGGATCCTGCGTCCTCTCCCAGAGCCCTGCCCCGCGGCCCGGCATGGGAGGGCTTCCACCACCACGGATGCTCCATGCCCAACACATGTCTGCATGACCATCCCTCACTGCCAGGTTGTCACACCCATGTGGAGGCCAGTAACCCACCCGCCCTCAGCCCTAGGGGTGAGTCAGTGACCCCCCAGCATCCAGCAGCCCACCTGACACGGATGCTCACACAGCCGCCCTGAGCGTCGCCCGGCACACAGCACTCTGACACGGATGCCCACACGGCCGCCCTGAGCGTTGCCCGGCACACAGCACTCTGACACGGATGCCCACACGGCCGCCCTGAGAGTCGCCCGGCACACAGCACTCTGACACGGATGCCCGCACGGCTGCCCTGACTGTCGCCCGGCACACAGCACTCTGACACGGATGCCCGCACGGCTGCCCTGAGAGTCGCCCGGCACACAGAACGCTGACACGGATGCCCACACGGCCGCCCTGAGAGTCGCCCGGCACACAGCACTCTGACACGGATGCCCAGACGGCCGCCCTGAGCGTCGCCCGGCACACAGCACTCTGACACAGATGCCCGCACAGCCGCCCTGAGCATCGCCCGGCACACAGCACTCTGACACGGATGCCCGCACGGCTGCCCTGACTGTCGCCCGGCACACAGCACTCTGACATGGATGCCTGCACGGCCGCCCTGAGCGTCGCCCGGCACACAGCACTCTGACATGGATGCCCGCACGGCCGCCCTGAGCTCCGCCCGGCACACAGCACTCTGACACGGATGCCCGCACGGTTGCCCTGAGCGTCGCCCGGCACACAGCACTCTGACACGGATGCCCGCACAGCCGCCCTGAGCATCGCCCGGCACACAGCACTCTGACATGGATGCCCGCAGGGCCGCCCTGAGCTTCGTCCGGCACACAGCACTCTGACACGGATGCCCGCACAGCCGCCCTGAGCATCGCCCGGCACACAGCACTCTGACACGGATGCCCGCAGGGCCGCCCTGAGCTTCGTCCGGCACACAGCACTCTGACACGGATGCCCGCAGGGCCGCCCTGAGCGTCGCCCGGCACACAGCACTCTGACACGGATGCCCGCACGGTTGCCCTGAGCGTCGCCCGGCACACAGCACTCTGACACGGATGCCCGCACGGCTGCCCTGACTGTCGCCCGGCACACAGCACTCTGACACGGATGCCTGCACGGTTGCCCTGAGCGTCGCCCGGCACACAGCACTCTGACATGGATGCCCGCACGGCCGCCCTGAGCATCGCCTGGCACACAGAACGCTAACACGGATGCCCAGACGGCCGCCCTGAGCGTCGCCCGGCACACAGCACTCTGACACAGATGCCCGCACAGCCGCCCTG
Organism: Homo sapiens; assembly: GCF_000001405.40. Lineage (NCBI taxonomy): Eukaryota > Metazoa > Chordata > Mammalia > Primates > Hominidae > Homo > Homo sapiens. Next base: position 83,134,599 of record NC_000017.11, on the reverse strand, counting down.
AGCGTCGCCCGGCACACAGCACTCTGACACGGATGCCCGCAGGGCCGCCCTGAGCTTCGTCCGGCACACAGCACTCTGACACAGATGCCCGCAGGGCCGCCCTGAGCTCCGCCCGGCACACAGCACTCTGACATGGATGCCCGCACGGCCGCCCTGAGCGTCGCCCGGCACACAGCACTCTGACACGGATGCCCGCACGGCTGCCCTGACTGTCGCCCGGCACACAGCACTCTGACATGGATGCCCGCACGGCCGCCCTGAGCATCGCCCGGCACACAGCACTCTGACATGGATGCCCGCAGGGCCGCCCTGAGCTCCGCCCGGCACACAGCACTCTGACATGGATGCCCGCACGGCCGCCCTGAGCATCGCCCGGCACACAGCACTCTGACACGGATGCCCGCAGGGCCGCCCTGAGCGTCGCCCGGCACACAGCACTCTGACACGGATGCCCAGACGACCACCCTGAGCGTCACCCGGCACCCAGCACACAGCACTCTGCGGCGTTTCTTGTCTGCTGGTTGCTGTTGTCTCTGCCCAGATAGAACACGCATCCCTGGAGCACTGGGACGTTGCCTGTCTGCTCACTGGCAGCTCATGCAGCCCCCAGCAGGTGCCCAATGCTCTCGAGTGAGTGACAGGAAGCTGGGCACTGGCCTTCTGTCTTCAGGAGAGATGCTTCTGAATTGCTGCTCCATCTTTCTATGTTGGCTCAGACACACTTGCTGAAGTGTGTCTGAGTGAAGTGAAGGAAAATGACAAACAGAGCTCCCGCCACTGCCCAGGACTTGTCCCCGTGCCCCAGGGTGTATTCTGAGCTCCAGCCTCTCAGGCTCACGTGTTGGTTGACACAAGTGGACATGGTCACCCCAGGCAGCCAGCGGCCTGGGGCTCCACGGAAGGCCCATGAAGCMCAGGTCAGAAGAGAACGGAGTCTTAAGTCACCTCAGAGGAGGCAGGAGAAGGTGATTTGCAGAATGAGCTCCATGTAGTTCCACAGGGATGAGGCATCAAAGGTCTCCTAATCCCCAGACAAATTTCTCCCATTTGTCTGGCTCTGACTCAGATGTCCTTAGGGGACAGGGCACCCAGCAAGCATCGTTCACCAGGAAAAGCGCATCCTTGTTCATTTCATGTGTAGCTGCAGCTGCCCTCCAATTCCCCCTTTAATTCCCTGACGCTTTAATCAGGCAAGTCACAGAGTGGGACRTGGGGGTGCAGGATGGGGGCTGGGAGTGAATGGGCTCCAGGGAGCTTCCTGCCTGCGGCCAGAGCCACACCGGGCAGATCCCTCCCCTGCCCCAGACAAACTGCATCGCAGACGAGACCTTCGAGTTCTTACAGTTTTAGGGTTCCTTTATCTTGAAGGAATTTGTTGTCACTCTGTGCCATGCGGCATGGTGCTTTTAATATGACTGGGATGGAACTCCCTAACGAGATACAGCTAAGACAAACCGCTGTCTTACTCACAAAGCCGTTGCAATACAGCTTGTGCCCGAGCCTCCATCACGGCTACCTGGCATCTGCGCGTGACGCTGCAGCTTTGGAGCAACCCACAGGCGTGGAGAGGAGCCACGCGTGGAGATCCAYGGCATGGTGGGCTGTGCTTCTTCCGAGCCCACGGCTCTGCGGCCCACAGACTTCAGCTCATGCACCTCCTGGGTCTGCATGTGCAGTTGGTGAGCGTGGATGTGGGGCCCTGAGGAGTGGGTTGAGGAGGATGCCCCATTAACAAGTCGATTTACTCTCAATGACCCCAAATGGGTCCCGACCTTCAGTCCCCGGAGGCCCTTCCACAGCCCCTGGCCAAAGACCATGGGCAAACTTCAGACACCAGGGTAGATGGATTTGCCAGGCTGCACCGAGGGGAGCTGGGTGTCACGCACACAGTGCCAAGTCCAGCAGAGGGCATGGGCACGTTGCCTGTCCCCCACGTGTGGCTTCAGCACAGTTGACAGTTGACAGTTGGAGGTGTGTGTTCCTCTGCAGATCCTGGAGGCTCTCGTAAGTGCTGGCCTCGGCTTCACCGATATCAGTGGCTGGCTGGGGAACCTGGTGGGGCGGGGGTACTTCCTGATGTTCTAGGGTCTCCTGACAGAAAACAAATACCCCCAGGAAGGAAAAACACCCAAGCTATGAGTCACTAACATACCCAAGGGGTCAGCTGACCATGAGCTGGGAGAACAGGGGTGAGGAAAGAGACTCAGCAAAAGGTGCTTTGGGGAGAATGGCCAACCAATCTCACCTGCTTGGTAATTCTGCCCAGGTTGGGCCTCAGTGGGTGTAGGGTGTTGGGCACATAGGGATGTGGGGAGAATTGGGGCAGTGAGGAGTCAGGAAGGTCCCACAGAGACACCTCCAGTGCCAGACAACCCACAGCCACCTTTGATTGGCAGCAACACAGAAGTCAGACTCAGACAGAAGACCAGGTATTTAGAAGTTAAATAAAACTGGACATGCATGCAGCTTGTCCTGAGCTAAATAAATGTCTGCAATTCATAAAACAGTCTAAAAGCCATGAGGCCCCTCAGTCAGTTCCCCGTGTAGTCAGTCACCTGCGGTTCTGACCCCTGGAGACCCCGAGAAACAGAGCCCAGCCCTGGCTTCAAGGTGTTCTGGGCTCAGCTGGCAGATGAAGACATGCAGACACCTTATCTCAGTCCCACRGAAGCTGCATGAGGAGGCCAGTGGTCCTCAAGAGACAGCGACATCGACTCTGCCTGCAGGGTCAGGAGGGTCTCCGAGAGGACTGGCATGGAGCAGGTGCTGTGCGTCCACATGTGGGTGATGGGTGGGGAAATCCCAGCAAGGAGGGACAAACAGCACCCCAGATGTGCAAGTCCAGACAGCTGGCGGGGGTGTGGGAGAAGCAGAAGACAATGACCGCCTCGAACTTCCACCTCGAGTGAGAGAACCATCTAGTGAAGTTCCTTAACAGAAAACGGTTCCTTCCAGGGATAAGTATCAAGGCCTACTGGTACCATGCGGCGCCTCTGTGAGCCCCAGATAACTTGGTGCCTTTTTGGTTTGAGCTCACAGATAAGCAACAGGGATGCTGTGCCTTCTAGTCATTCCTGACGATGACCAATGAGAGGAAGAAGGAGCCCTGATGATAACACAGGGGCAGGAGGAGTGGGGCGCCTGATGGGACCCTGGGGTCTGAAGCTTGGTGCCACCCTACTTACTGTCTGTCAGGCCGCGGGCAAGATATTGCCTCTATCTCAGTGTTCCTGTCTGCAAAACAGGCACAAGGTATTAACTACTTCCTGGCACCTGCCTAGCCAGACTCACGGACAGAATAGAGTTCAGAAAAAAACCTAAATCCGTGTATGAGCTGCTAGCATGTGACAAAGGYGGCACCTCAAGTCAGTGGTGAAAAGACGAATTATTAGTAACGATATTCAAACACTAGGTGACCACCTTCAGTTACATGCACACCTCACCCCAGCCACCAGCAGGACCCTACAGGGCCACAGTGTGAATGCTAGGGAGCAAAACCACAAGAGCACAGAGAGCATGGGGCCCCCATGACCCAGCCTGGGGAAGCCCTTCCATACCCCGCCACAAAGCCCAGAAGCTGGAGAACAGATGAAAAGTTTTTRCCCGAAATATTTTTTTCATGGCCAAAACACCTACAACAAAACAAAGTTGAAAGACAAATGACACGGGGAAAACATACAAGCAATTCCTACCTCAGACGGAGAGCTAATCTTTATAGCCAAAGAAATCTAACAGATCAACAAACAAATTGTTCACAAAAAAATGAATAAAAATGACCCTTCATCATATAAGAGATGCTCARAGTGATTCATCAAAAGGTAAATTAAAGACTAAAACTACACTGAGATACCAGTTTTCATACATCTGCTCGGTGAAAGCCAAGCTTTCGACAACCTGCCGGAGGCCAGCCTCGCCTGCTGCTGGCGGGAGCACGGAACAGCACAAACTTCGATGGAGGAGAGTTCACTGCACTTAACAAAATTGCAAGCGCGTCTGGCTCTGACCCAGCAATTCTAAGAATTTACCAAATCAATGTAAAAATAATATTTTTAAAAGTATGTGTCTTCGGCCGGGCGCGGTGGCTCACGCCTGTAATCCCAGCACTTTGGGAGGCCGAGGCGGGTGGATCACGAGGTCAGGAGATGGAGACCATCCTGGCTAACACGGTGAAAACCCATCTCTACTAAAAATACAAAAAAAATAGCCGGGCGTGGTGGCGTGAGCCTGTAGTCCCAGCTACTCGGGAGGCTGAGGCAGGAGAATGGCGTGAACCCGGGAGGCGGAGCTTGCAGTGAGCCGAGATCGCGCCACCGCACTCCAGCCTGGGCTACAGAGTGAGACTGCATCTCAAAAAAAAAAAAAGTATGTGTCTTCAATGATACTTACATCCTAAATGCACATCAAGGAGAGGACCGGTCAAATGTCTCGGCAGATGCGTACAATAGAATACTATGAGGCGTGAAACAGAACACGAAGTTCTTTTTGTAGTCATATGAAAAGATCTCCAATAAATAATATTAAATTAAACATAAATACGCAACCCTCAAGTGTGGGCTGTGTAGACTGACTTCCTTCCCGAGAGTATGGAGAGGGAAGGAAAAGGATCACATCACCGTGGGGAGACCTGACCGACTCCCCTCAGCTGGGTGGCCGAGGCCAGTGTCCACAGCAAGCATCCGTGCTGGGTGTGTGAGTCCCTCACAGGATGGGGTGAGCAGGGCACTTCACCTCTGGGGTCATTGTCCCCAGGCCCCAAACCCCAGTCTTACCACGAGAAACACATCAGAACAATTCTAACAGAGACGCAGCTACCAAACACCCAACAGGCCTCCTCAAAACTGTCCCAGTCACCAAAAGCCAGTCTGAGAACTGCCCAGCCCCGAGAGGCCTACGGAGACGCGGGACAAAGTGTCATGTGGGACCCTGGATGGGTCCTGGGACAGAGAAAGGACATTTAGGGGAAACTAAAGACGTGAATAAACTTCAGACTTTAGCTAACAATCATGTGWCAACACTGGTTCATTGATTGTAACAAAGTATCATTCTAACATAAACTGTTAACAGTGCAAGAAACTGGACGTGGGTATGTGGGAACTCTCTCTACGATCCCCTCAATTTTCTGTAGACCTAACACTGCCCTAAAAATAAAGTCTATTATAAAAATGAAAGAAAATTTAAAAATTTTTAAGTAACAAGGAGAAAAGTGTATGTAACATCCTGCCGTTGGTGTAAAAGTCAGGGAATATGTATTTGTATTGAACTGTATGTGCTAAAGGACCTCTGGGAAGTCACCTAAGACACCAGTGACAATGGCTGCCTCTTCCAAGAGGCAGGACTGAGCAGACGGGAGAGGAGGTGGGAGGAGTGAAGATTTTTTAACACATTTTGAAGTTGGAAATTTGTAAACTCGTTATTTAAAATGCTTAAATAAGGGAGGAGCGGGGGCTCGCCTCATGGGACCTGTCGAGGTGAATAAAGCAATGATTGTGAGGCCTCCCAGTGACGGTGAACTCCACCTACGGGATCCGCACAGGAAACATCACCCTTCGTCCTGGCCTGACCCGGCCCCGGGCGTGGTGGAGACCAATGCTCACTCCCCCGTTGCTGCAAAACCTCGGTGGCTTTAAACAACAGCAACTTCATTTTCTCAGGAAGCTGCCTCTGGGCAGCACCCCTGGGCTTGCCTCCGCTCCACTCAGCGCTGGACAGTTRTCTGAAGCTTTAGCAAMCCCAGCCAGAGTCCATGCTCCTTTGAACACAGGTCCAAGAGCCCAGGGTCTGCGAAGCCCAGGTCAAGAAGCTCGGTGAGAGGTCTGAGAGGCAACAGGCGGGACCCACGGACACCAGCATGAATGTCCCGTTCCTCTCACTCTGTCTGGCGCTGGGATCCCGTAAACCTACAGCACATCCCACTGCAAATGTGAGGGCTCCACAGGAGACTCCTGAGTGGCACCGGGGAACGGTCAGCCCACAGGGCGTCAGGGGCCCTCCCCCAAATCCCTTCCCGGCTCCAGGATCTGCCCCTTTCTCACTTGGACTCCTCTTCCTAAGACAGGTCTTGCAAGGCTGATGGGGAATCAGAGAGAACGACCTGCTGGCCCAGCTCAGCGGTGTCGGGTGCTCTCCTGGGTGCCAGTTCCCAGATGCCCGGGTGTAGTCTGCAGAACCAGCTCCGTGTTATGCTTGAGAGTGACTGGTAGGTAGCAGGAATTCAACAAATACGAATCAAATGAACAAATGTTTCATAGCATTGTTCTGGAACCCCCTGGAAAGGGGCTCCAGGACCATGTGATCTCAAGGGTGCATTCTATGGGGGACACCCCTTTACGAGAAAAACTTGGGACTGTGACGTACCCCCTCCCAAACTGGGAAGGGTCAAAAGACCAAGAAATGACTCAGAAGGGTCCACGTTATCTGACGAGTCAATGTGTTGATCAGGATTTACCAAGGACACTGCTGCACAGTGGCAGGACAGCCCTGAGACCTGCGCCGCCTCCCGTCTCCAAACTATTTTAAGCTGATCTTCTGGCTTTGCCTCCTGTGTGTGTGTGATGGGGCTGTTTCCTCGGTGGGTTCTCAGAGCCTCTCCTCGATCTTTGGGTTCTCAGAGACACCAACTCCTGGCCTGGGCACCAGGGCCTTGGCTCACCACCTGGCTTTCAGGGCCCAGGCTGCGAACACAGGGCCTTAAGAACCTGGTGGGGGACCTGCCACCCTACAGATCCCACACCCCACCCTACAGATCCCGCACCCCACCCTACAGATCCCGCACCCCACCCTACAGATCCCACACCCACCCTACAGATCCCACACCCACCCTACAGATCCCACACCCCCCCTACAATCCCACACCCACCCTACAGATCCCACACCCACCCTACAATCCCACACCCACCCTACAGATCCCACACCCACCCTACAATTCCACACCCACCCTACAGATCCCACACCCCACCCTACAGATCCCGCACCCACCCTTCCAGCGTGGGGCTCTCGGAGAGGACGGCCTGAGCTCTTGCACTCAGCCCCTCGTGCTGTGGTGCCTGCCTTGCATTGAACCTCTCAGTGTCCTGTGGTCAGTGTCTGCCTGGGGTCGCGAGGACAGCTGTGGGCTGTGGTCTGAACATGCACAGGACCAAGGGCCACACACAGGGACATGGTCACGGCTGCTGCTGCTCAGGGAGACAGGCAGAGTCCAAAGCGTCTGTGCCCGGAGGGGCCATTGCCTGCCTCTGAGAGCAGCATCCTTCAGGCCGACTCTGTCGTCCCCAGGCACTTCCCATAAGTGACGATGTCTGCTATTGCTTGCTTTATTTTTTTTTTTATTGTTGGACAAAATTAAAAGTACATTTAAATCAGTCCTCAGCTATGGGGGGTTACTTAACCGGCCCATGAAGTCCAAAGCCAGCAAGCTTGTTTCTGGATTTACGGTTGAAGCTCGTGCCAAAGATGCCTCTGCGTTGGGAGGGGAATGTCCGTGTGCTACAAACCACACACACTTCAAACCCCCACAAAGCCCACACTGGGCTGCACGCATCAATGACGAGCCAGTATTTAACAAGGTGTCTGAATATCAGAAGGGTCTTCTCATTTATAACAGTAATGTAAATTTACAGACAGTTGTAAGAATTGCAAATTGTCCAAAACCTGCTTATCCTTCAAAAATGACAGTCTTCAGAATTCCATGAAAAAATAATGTCTCTTCCATAATAAACACAAATATTTGAAACACAGAAACAAACAGGTTGTTTCATAGAAACAGATGCCCAGGCGTCCACCAGACCAGAGGGCAGTGGTCACTCAGAGAAGAGCAGGGCCCTGGGAGAGCTGGCGACCGCCACGAGGCCAGAACTATGCATGTTCTTTATGAACTCCCAAAGGGTAGATTTTGCTGTGCTATGCCCTGGACTTAAGCCAGGATGACCCTCAACCTCCTAGGTAAATGACTAAACCCAAGCCCGCTGATGCAAGGTGGGTCCTGACCTCTGACCCAGACACTCCACCATCCTCTTTGAGCTCCTTGCGGTGACACACGTCCTCGGGGCCTGTCCAGACAGGGGTTGTGGCATCTGATGGCCATCAGCTTGTCTCAGAGACCAGGGGTCAGCCTCAGGTGCAAGCCCAGCTGAACAACAGAGGCCCTGAGCAGCCCCAGCCATTCCAGCCACGCCACTGTTCTTGTCCTCAGATTATTTTCTGTGCAAAGGGAAAGGGGCTGTTGCAAGAAGCAGACCCTCCCTGGTCACGGCACCCTACACTGCCCAAGGCTTCCCGGTCCTGACTGCCCCCSACAGTCGTGCGGCTGCCCCAATGGCCAGAGCTGCCTCTGCTGCCCCCAGCATTCAGTGGAGCAGGGGTGCAGGGTGAATGAATGGTAATCCGTTCAGAGAACCTGAGCAAACGCTGTGCAAGCTGCTGGCTTTGAAAGGAAGTTGTCATCACATGCAGGGAACCCTGTCTTACCAGCCGACAGGTGGATGACCTTCTCCCCTGGCAAATCCCCAGAGAAACAGACTCAGAGCTTCCCTCAGGAGTGACAGCCCCACAGGTTCCCTGCATGAAGGGACAGAAGGTCGGACCTTGCAGGTCACCAGGGGTCCCCTCTGCACCCAGGTCCATCGTCAGGGCTGGAGTCAAGCTGGGCTCCACCCGCTCAGGTGCAGGAAGCCAGGGGTTCGAGGGCGAGGGTGTGGCCTGCGTCACCTGCCACATGCACATATTTCCTACTGACGCCTGCACGCTCCTGATTTAAGGTGACGTCTTTATAGCACTAAGCGCGTGGTAAAAATAAACCCACACAGCCCATCCGCCGCACTGTGTTGCAATTTATTCTCTTAGGAAATTTCCAGCGAATGGCTACAGAGTTGCCGAGGTTGAGCTAGAATTTCAGTTCTTCAAGGACCCAGGTCTGCGCGGAACCCAGGGGTGTGGCAGGAAAAGGGACCAGAAGCCACATGTCAAGAGCCTGGGGGAGGCTTCTGCCAGCAAGTCTGACCACAGCCATTCTGATGCGGAATCATCTTTTTTCCCTGAAGCATTCCAAGGCCTGTACAGGATGCCAAAGAGCTGCTCTAGCTCCTTACAGAATGGATGCGGGCTTTTTTCCTGTGCAGGTGGGAAGGAGGCTGCAGGAGCCTGTCAGTGGGAGCTGCTCCTGCCGCAGCCGCTGCCAGCTCTGTTCTGAAGCACTGGGAACAAGAAGGCATCGACCTGTGTGTGTGCAGGAGAGAGAGTGTCGGCTTCAGGCACTACGAGCCCTTGGAGAGCAGAGATGCCGGGCTGTGTGCCCGAAGGAGAGCGGAGAGGGATAGGGGTTGCCAGGGCTCGGGGAGACCACAGCCCAGAGGTTGCAGATGCCGTCAGGGCTCAGGGAGACCACAGCCCAGAGGTTGCAGATGCCGTCAGGGCTCCCGGAGACCACAGCCCAGAGGTTGCAGATGCCGTCAGGGCTCCCAGAGACCACAGCCCAGAGGTTGCAGACGCCGTCAGGGCTCCCGGAGACCACAGCCCAGAGGTTGCAGACGCCGTCAGGACTCAGGGAGACCACAGCCCAGAGGATGCAGACACCGTCAGGACTGGGGAGACCACAGCCCAGAGGTTGCAGACGCTGTCAGGACTCAGGGAGACCACAGCCCAGAGGTTGCAGACACCGTCAAGGCTCCCGGAGACCACAGCCCAGAGGTTGCAGACGCCATCAGGACTCAGGGAGACCACAGCCCAGAGGTTGCAGACGCCATCAGGGCTCAGGGAGACCACAGCCCAGAGGTTGCAGATGCCGTCAAGGCTCCCGGAGACCACAGCCCAGAGGTTGCAGACGCCATCAGGACTCAGGGAGACCACAGCCCAGAGGTTGCAGACGCCATCAGGACTCAGGGAGACCACAGCCCAGAGGTTGCAGACGCCATCAGGACTCAGGGAGACCACAGCCCAGAGGTTGCAGACGCCGTCAGGACTCAGGGAGACCACAGCCCAGAGGATGCAGACGCCGTCAGGACTGGGGAGACCACAGCCCAGAGGTTGCAGATGCCATCAGGGCTCAGGGAGACCACAGCCCAGAGGTTGCAGACGCCGTCAGGACTCAGCCCCTGGGCCAGGGGTGCCCTCAGGCTGCTTCCCAGGGAGGAGCTTCATGGGCCCCATCCGGGGGATGCTCCTCTTTCTCGGGCTCCTTTGAACGGACTGAGGCACAGGCTTGCTCCACACACACAAGCTCTCCAAGGCCAGCCCCAGCCCAGCAGCATAAGCTCTGCCTGGTCCCTGGCGGGGCCCGGTCAACAGGTCTCCCTGTGCCCCCAACAAGCCCCCAGATGGTGCCACGGCTGCCCGAGCCCTCCAGGGGCTCCATGTCCAACCCACCTGGTCCACAGTCTCCCAGCACCAACCAGGGCTGGGGGGCCTCCTCCCCATTCCCCTTGGGCCATAGCAGCTCCAGTCCCAGCCATGGCCTCTGCTGTGCGGCTTCTTGGCTGGAACCCCACCCCTAAAGCGTGTGCTGTGCTTTCTCAGTGAGGCCACCCCTCTAACATCACAGCCCCCACGCTCCTCCCCAGCTTCCTCACAGCGTTTCTTCTGCACCACATTAGGCCGTCTTCTCGTTCGTTTCATCGTCTCACACACGTACAGGTTCATCAGCCTGTAGGCTCCACAAGGGCCTCAATGTTGATACATTTGTGTTATTAAAAATTTCAAACATAATACAAAAGTAGAGAAAATAGTAAGACAAACCCCAGTGTCCAGTCCCCTGGCTTCAGTAATTATCAATACTCGCCCATCTTGCTCATCCACATCCCACTCTCTCATACGTGGAAAAGCAAATCCCGCACATTATATCATTTTCCCTGCAAATGCTGCTGAAATGCAAGGAGTATTAAAGAGGGTAACCACAATAACACTGTCACACCTAAACACGAAGTAGCCTTAAAATCAAATAAACAGTCCAGGTGCGGTGGCTCACGCTGGTAATCCCAGCACTTTGGGAGGCCGAGGCAGGCGGATCACCTGAGCTCAGGAGTTCAAGACCAGCCTGACCAACATGGTGAAATCCCGTCTCTACTAAAAATACAAAATTAGCCGGGTGTGGTGACGTGCGCCTGTAATCCCAGCTACTTGGGAGACTGAGGCAGGAGAATCGCTTGAACCCAGGATGCAGAGGTTGCAGTGAGCTGAGATCGTGCCATTGCACTAGAGCCTGGGCAACAAGAGTGAAACTCTGTCTCAAAAAAAAAAAAAATCAAATAAACAGTCAATATCCAGAATTCTCCAATTAGTTGTTACCACTCTTCTCCCTTTTGATCTGCTGAAGGAGCTGGGTGTTTGCCCTGTGGAATCCCTCCCTCCAGCACTGCAGGCTGCGCCCCCCGGTGCCACCCGCATATGCTCCTCTGAGCCGGTACTTCCTGGGACCCTGGGACAGACCCAGAGGTTGGCAACATAAGCTTCGTTTCTCGGCAGGAGTGAATTCACAGGGCTGTGTGCTTCCCAGCGTGTCCTTCAAGGAGCTCTTGGTGTCGACGCCAGCACTCGGTCCTGGACTGTCCACAGCGAATCTTACCACACTCCTCTCGCATCCGTTAGCCGGGTTTTCCATGAGAACTTTCTGGTTGGTCACAATGCGTCCGGGAAAGGCAGGAGGAGCACTTGTTGCCTTCGCTGACGCATTTTCAGGAGAATGAGTTGGTTCCTGGCATCATTCTCTCTGGTTTCCAGCTTTTTCTTCTTTTTTGTTTTTGTTCTTTTCATTTTTTGCTTTTTTTTTTGCTTTTTTTTTTTGCGGGGGGGATAGTTATGAACCCATGAGATGTGAGTTGTGTAACACATTTCAACCCATTTCAGCCCCACCTGTGGCCAGCAGGTCCCTTCCCCTTTGGTGTGTGTCCTTTTGACGGACTAGAGTATTGGTGAGTCAGATGTCCAGGCTCTGGGCCGGCCATCTCTGAGGAGGAACCAAGATGTTTGGCTGTTGTGTTCACCCTGTACACCAGCAGCGTTCTATAAATGCCAGGTGAATGAATGGGCTAGCGAAGGCGCTGATTGAAGTCTCATGTACAGATACAACTGAGCAGCCGCCCTCCACCTGGTTCCCCTGCCGTCTCCAGGAGTTCCCACCTGGTTCCTGCAAACACGCTTTCATCTGGGGTTAGCAGCATCATGTTCTCCAGCTCCTCCTTCCTCTTCCTTCTGCATATGCTCCGGCGGCTCCTCCTGTGGCCCTGGCTTCAGTGCCCTGAACTTGGCACTGAACCTGCAGCTGGGGGACCCGAAGCCCTCACGGCACTGGGTCCTGGTCTCCGAACCCTGATCAAGTGGTCCTCACGTTGTGCTCCGAGCTTGCCCCGAGTCATGAGCTCTGTGCTCTGTTTCTGAGCTCCTGGAAGTTTTCTAAAAACCAAAAACAACTCCATGGTACAATTCTCACAATCCCACCGCCACGCACAATGCCTCCACTTAGTGGTGACTGTTCTCTCCCTGTTGGTGCCAAGACTTCGGGTAGCCGCGTTCTTCCCACTCCTGGGTCCACCAACAGGGACCCCCCGATTCTCTGATTTGCTCTAGCTTGACCCTTCAAGCACCAGTGTGTGTGGGGTGGGTGCACTGCAGCCCTGGGGGCCAAACACGTCTTCCCTGGACAGCTTGATAGAGACAAGGTTCCGGCTCTCTGACGAGTGGCTCGTTGGGAGGAGCCTACGCTTCTCTCCTTTGCTTATTCCTCCACTAATTAGTATATTTCCCACTTTGAAAATGTGCTTTTGGTCACCACCAGACATGAAGCCTCCGTCCTGCTGCCATCCCCTCTCCTCAGACAAAACAAAGGTAATTTTCCTGGCCTCCCAACACCACTTTCTTACAGGAAAGATAGGCTGCCAGTTTTCAGGAGTTTTTCTTGTTTCATTTGTGGAGCAGGCCATACAAATTCAGAAAGCAGAACTCCTCCTCTTCTGGATCCAAAATAATCTACGATCTGGACTCTCCGGGACACAGGATCCAAAATAATCTACGATCTGGGCTCTCCGGGACACGGGATCCAAAATAATCTACGACCTGGACTCTCCGGGACACGGGATCCAAAATAATCTACGACCTGGACTCTCCGGGACACGGGATCCAAAATAATCTACCACCTGGGCTCTCCGGGACAGCGGGTCCAAAATAATCTACGATCTGGGCTCTCCGGGACAGCAGGTCCAAAATAATCTACCACCTGGGCTCTCCGGGACACGGGATCCAAAATAATCTACCATCTGGGCTCTCCGGGACAGCAGGTCCAAAATAATCTACGATCTGGACTCTCCGGGACAGCGGGTCCAAAATAATCTACGATCTGGGCTCTCCGGGACACGGGATCCAAGATAATCTACGATCTGGGCTCTCCGGGACAGCAGGTCCAAAATAATCTACGATCTGGACTCTCCGGGACAGCGGGTCCAAAATAATCTACGATCTGGGCTCTCCGGGACACGGGATCCAAAATAATCTACGATCTGGACTCTCCGGGACACGGGATCCAAAATAATCTACGATCTGGACTCTCCGGGACACGGGATCCAAAATAATCTACTATCTGGGCTCTCCGGGACAGCGGGTCCAAAATAATCTACGATCTGGGCTCTCCGGGACAGCGGGTCCAAAATAATCTACGATCTGGACTCTCCGGGACACGGGATCCAAAATAATCTACCACCTGGGCTCTCCGGGACACGGGATCCAAAATAATCTACGATCTGGGCTCTCCGGGACAGCGGGTCCAAAATAATCTACGATCTGGACTCTCCGGGACAGCCTTGATGCACCCTCATCATTCTGGTTAGACAAAATGCCTGCAACACACACTCACACCAACACGCAGCCTCTCTGTCAGCTCCTTTTTACCAACTGGGAGGAAAAGCCCCAGACCTGCGCTTCATGCAAAATTCGTCTTTTCCTCTGTCCTGACACACGAAAGTGAAATTGCTTCCAGCCACGACGGCTCACCTGCAGGGCACAGGGCAGCACACAGGGGAGCACACAGGGCAGCACCAGGCAGCCCACAGGGAAGCGCACAGGGCAGCGCACAGGGGAGCGCACAGGGGAGCGCACAGGGCAGCGCACAGGGCAGCGCACAGGGGAGCGCACAGGGGAGCGCACAGGCAGCACGGTGCACGCTGTGCCGTTTGCACCGCAGGTTCCTGTTTTCAGTTGCAGTTCTACCTGCACTCTGCTCTACAAGGTTCCTCTTCCTCTTTTCCTCCCCAACTGGCACCTCTCTCTCTTCCTCTCTTTCCCTTTTTCTTTTTCAAACAGCTTCATTGAGGAAAAAATGCCTGTACTACAAAAATCAACCATTTAAAGTGTAGAATCCGGTGGTCTTTTGTACATTCCCAAGGTTGTATGACTCTCTAATTTTAGAATGTTTTCATTACACAAAAAGGAAACCCCATACATTAGCGGCCCCTCCCCCGCCCCTCTGAGCCCCTCCCCCAATCCCTCCCCAACCCCCCAGCCCCTCCCCAGCCCCTTCCAACGCCTCCCCAACCCCTCCCCAACCCCTCCCCAGCCCCTCCCCAACCCTCCCCAGCCCCTCCCCAACCCCTCCCCAGCCCCTCCCCAGCCCCTCCCCAGCCCCTCCCCAGCCCCTTCCAACCCCTCCCCAACCCCTCCCCAGCCCCTCCCCAACCCCTCCCAAGCCCCGCCCCAGCCCCTCCCCAGGCCACGCAACCAGTGTCCACTTTCTGTCTCTGGATTTGCCTCTTCTTACCTCTTCGTATAAATGGAATCATACACTACGCGGCCTTCTGTGTGTGGCTTCTTTCACTGAGCATGATCTTTTCACGGCTCATCCATGTTGTCATATGACAGGGCTTCATTCCTTTTTATTTTCACATAATAGCACACTGCACAGATATACCACTTTTTTTTTTCTTTTTGAGGCAGAGTCTCGCTCTGTCGCCCATTCTGGAGTGCAGTGGCGCGATCTCGGCTCACTGCAACCTCCGCCTCCTGAGTTCAAGCGATTCTCCTGCCTCAGCCTCCCGAGTACCTGGGATGACAGGCGCCCGCCACCACACTCAGCTAATTTTTGTATTTTTAGTAGAGACGGGGTTTCATCATGTTGGCCAGGATGGTCTCGATCTCCTGACCTCAGGTGATCCGCCTGCCTCGGCCTCCCAAAGTGCTGGGATTAAAGCGTGAGCCACCGCGCCTGGTAGATGTACCACATTTTCTTGTCTGTTGATGAACTTGGGGCTGTTTCCACTTTTTCGCTGTTATGAATAACACCAGGTACACGTGTTACGGGGGACGTGTTTCTGCTTCTCTTTGGCTACATCTAGGCGTGGATTGCTGGGTCGTGTGGGAAGTCCGCGCCTGTTATCTGAGGAGTGACCGGCTGTTTTGCAGTGGCTGCGCCCGCCCACGTTCCCGCCGGTGGTGACAGGCTGGTTCCTCCCCCGCCTCCCCAGCACTTGCCATCTGTCCGTGAGGAGGGCGGTCCTGCTGCCGAGGACCCTCGTTCACGGGCCGCTCTTTCCGCTGTGTTTCCCACCCCACCCATCTCTGTTCTTTGAGCTGGAACTCGGGGTCAGCCATCCGGAGCTTCCACCCACAGCTTCCCTTTGACTTTTCCAGGTCCACCTCTGTGCTTCTCCCATCCCTCTTCTTACAAAAGTGCCTTTCTGCTGCCAGTCTTGCGGCCACACCTGCACAGAACAACAACTTTTTCAGGATTCTTTAGTAAAATAATAAAATGATTAAGCATAAACACAAAGAACATGCTTTTATATCAAATATACTGCAATGGGGGGGGTCGCTATGCAAGCACAGGGGAAGGCGCTTTGTTCTTAGGTGCAAGCACCACTTTCTCACAGGCAGACATGTTAATAGTTTAGACGAGCAGAGCTAATCCCTCCTGGAGCCCCGGCTCTCCCGGACCCAAGCTTCACAAAGCACCTCTCCCGGCACGGCCTGGGCACGTGAGTGAGGAAGAGACGTCCTGGATGTGGGAAATTCTTCCCCGGGAGCTCTCCCAGCCCCTCCGTTCCCACTATCTTACACCCCTCACACTCTAGCTACTGCAGGGGCATCTCTGAGGCTTCACTGGCTGTTCATTGCGTCTCCTCCCCACACAGTAACCTCCCAGGCCTCCCCACATCCACCAGAACGGAACCCAACCTCCATGCCAGGTTCATGAGCTAGCTACGGCCACAGAACAACACTTAGTGACTCCCACAACAGTGAACGTTGATTATCCTCAAGGTCTTTGGCTCAGGGGTTTGGCGCTGCTCAGCTGAGCCTGTTTGGGGTCTGCTGTGAGGTTGCAGTCGAGAGGTAGGTCGACGGTAGCCCCCTCTCAAGGCTGGGGAGGCTTCAGTTCCCCACAGGGTGAGCCTCACAGGCTGCTTACAGGCCCTGCAACAGGGCAGCTGCTCCCCCAAAGTGAATGACAAGAGAGTGCACCAGGCAGAAGCCATCCTTTTCTGACCTCACCTGGGGAGTCTCAGAGCATCACTCCCACCATATCCTACTCACTAAAGGCAGGTCCGGAGGCACAGCCCGCGTTCAGGGGAGAGGAACCGGGCTCTACCTTTTGGAAGGAGGGCTGTCAAAGTAGCAGATATACTTTAAACCATCATGCCAGGTATCCAAGACCCCACAGCCTGTCCCAGCCCAAGGTCCCTGTTGCCTAAGGAGATGCACAATGAACATTTGCTCATTAAAGTTTCTGACAGTCCTGCAGGTAAGCAACCTGTTTGGTTGTGTTCAGTTCCAAGTTTATGTGCACATAGAACACGTACAGCAATATGTCCAAGGCCTTTGTTTGGTGTACGGTAATGAGGAAGCAGACGGCAAGCTCTTTGGGGGCCAAGCGGGTGTGTCATACACACAACCCCGACCACAGTGCACACATGGGAGGCTTCCAAAACTGTGGACCAAATAATAATACCTCAATAGTATACTTATTTCCTTTGCACATCAAGGTCAAATTCTAAAAAGGAAAATGTCTATATAACAGAGAGATTTCTAGGCTGTCCTTATGCCCAGAAGCCCGCATTCTATATGGTAAACGTTGACTCCGACCAGGAAGCCCCCAGAAGGTTTTTGTAGCCAACTTTGACCCAGACGACGGACAGTTTCCATTGAAGGCACACGTCTTCCATGAACATGGATGTTAAGATGACACCTCCTAACACCCGCAGGCAGGGGCCTCTTGACCTCTCTCCTGCGGTTGTGTCCTTTGCGGGTCAGGTTGCCGGAGAGACAACCACCCACGCTGTGAGCTGCAGAATTATTCACCTGCGTGGCTTACAGAATCAGCTAGGCCTGGTGGCTCAGCACTGCGGGAGGCCAAGGCAGGAGGATCCGCTGAGGCCACGAGTTCCACACCAGCCTGGGCAACATAGACCCCATCTCTATTTTTCAAAAACTAAAAATAAAATAAAACCATCTCCTAGACCTTGGGCACTAGGACAAAACACGAAAAGCTGGGATCTGCCACTGCCTGCGGGGCAACCGGACCTGGCCTCCCTGTTTGGTGAGCTAGCTTCTGAAAGCTCAGTCTTCAGTTTCTCTTTGCTGCCCCTTCAACGTCACCCTGAGACCTTCAAATGCTTTACGTCTGTCCTCCAAGTCCAGGCCCGCGTTCCAGGGGACCCATTCCCCACCAGGCTCAGCCTTTTCCAGACAGCACCTCATGTCAACGCAGGGCTTGTCAGTGCCTTTATTATCTGTCTCCAGTGATGTTCTCCCAGCTTGTCTCCTGACTGTCTGGGACAAGCCCTCAATCCTACCCAGGCTGATGACCATCAAATCTGGCACCTCCAAATTAAGCCCTGGGGTGGCCATGACACTCCAGCGACAGTGCCTGCTGCCCGAGCACGCTGGACAGAGGGATGTGTGGCTGGGCGGACGGGCCATGAGTCTCTGAGGACGACAGGGCCGGTGGCCACCCCCAGCTCATGTGTGGAGAAAGACTCCTCTCCAGTTGAGTGGGTGCTGCTTTCTGGACGACTCCCTCCCCGGTGTCAGCGTGGGACACCCCAGGACTCCCGGCTGCAGTGGGACTGGAGTTGAGCTGGGCCAGCTCTCCTGCGGTTTGCCCGTCCGAGCCTTTCCTCAGGCTCAGCACCTCCTTCCTGCACGTTCTGGTCAGTCATCTCTACGCCCATCACGATTTCTCAGTGTTTGCCCACCAGGGCGCCTGTCAGCTGCAGGAGGCCAGCAAAGCCGCCCGGCCCCACGAGGCCTCGAGGTCCTGGGCTCCTGGCTGCCCCCACAATCCACGCTCATCCTTCACCCGCCTTTAATTTACTCCTGACACTGGGGTCTTAAGCCTCCGGCCTCAGCCACCCTGCAGCTCCGAGCTCCACGGCAACCCCGAGCAGGTCCCTCGATACCAGGAGGACCCGAGAGTGGTGTCGGGAGTGGTGGCTGCTGTAGAGACAGCCTGTGGTCACCCAGCTGCCAGGATGCTGGCCAGAGTCTGGAGTCGGCCTCCAGGGCTCACAGCACCTCAGCGTCCTGCAAGCTGCACCGCTGGCCTCAATCTCACCGAAGCTCGGAGCCGAAGCCCTTGCCGGCCTCTGCAGCACCCGAGCCACCAAAGCTGCCGGGGCAGGCCCCTCCGAGCTCTGCCCAGCCCCCAGGACCAGGCACCGTCCCCTGAGCACAGAACAGATTCCCCCACAGGGCTGCAGGGAGAGGAAGCTCAGGGCTGTGACTCCACCCACGGGAAGGATGTGCTGGAGGAAGGTGTGGGGTGACGGTGGACCAAGTCCACCTCCATGGGCCCCGCGTCGCCTCCCCTCCCCTCCAGTCCCGCCCAACTCAAACCTGCCTCACCTCAGACCCAACCACAGAGACCCCTCAGCCCCTCCTGCCACCTAGCTGCCCATAGCCAGGCCCCAATGGCCCCACTGCTGGCTCCTGTGAGGCTACCGCCCTCCCATATGGTGGCCCCTGTGGCACCCCAGCCCCTCAGAGAGATGCTTTGAAACAGGAACCTGGAGAGGAAAGGGCAGAGGCTGCACAGCGCAGGGCCCAGCGAGGCCAAGAGACTTGTCCAAGATGGAGCGGCCTGAGGGTGCGGCCCCGGAGTGAACCGAGAAGCGTCTGAGCACCAGGGCCAAGCTCGTGCCCCTCACTCTCCCCACCGAGGGCATCGAAGGAGGCTGGGTGCCCACTCAGAAGAAAAATCGCAAGTCAGTCACCCCCTGGGATGCCGCCTCTGCCACCTGCCAGGTGTCCCACCACCCCACGCACACAACCCGCCACTTACACAGGAGGTGTGAGTCCATGGAGGCAGATCTGATTCTCCAAGGGACACCGGGCCCTGTGCCACCAGCTCCAAGCAGTGTGGGCACCTCGGGTCCATGCCTGGCTTTAGGCAGGTCGGCCAGCCGTACCCGGGAGCCACACAAGGGCTGTTTTCACCCATGGACTTCTAGCAAGCTCATCACGCAGCTCCTGACCCTGCAAGCTCTCTCCACCATTGGGAAGAACAAAATCACCAAAGTTGAAAAGTCTTTACCCACCACTTCCATACGTTTTGTGATTTTTAATGACACCGTGCAAACACTGGACAGGAGACCCGGTTCCAAGACAACCCAGCCTGGACGAGACTCGAGGCAACCATAAAAACCGTAGACCCTGAGGTTTGACTGCACCATCGGCCCCTGTAAGATACACCCTGCTCCCCTCTGCGACGAGTCCTGGGCTGCTCCGGTGTTTCGACGACATCCGGCCCTGGCCCCACGCACCAGAGACAGCACTTGCTTAAACCTAACACAAAGGGTGGACGCTGGCACCTCCCTCTCCCTCAGTGCTTCTGGGGGAGCACAAGCCCTCCCACCCACCACCCAACTCAAATTTCTTAGGGAGAAAGGGTGGAAATTGCTGGAGATAATTACTGTGAGGCTTTTTGGTTGGGGTTTTTGTTGGGGCAGGGGTACTGACTGAGACGAGAACTTTTCTTTTTGCTATCTCTTCCCTTCCCTAAACCCCTGTTGTGAATCACACACATAAAAAATGTGGCCAGGCGCAGTGTCTGACGCCTGTAATCCCAGCACTTTGAGAGGCCGAGGCAAGAGGACCACCTGAGCCCAAGAGTTCAAGACCCACCTGGGAAATAAAGAAAGACCCCGTGCTGGCCGCGCGGTGGCCATGCCTGGAATCCCAGCACTGTGGGAAGCTGAGGCGGGCGGATCACGAGGTCAGGAGATAAGAAACCACCCTGGCTAACACGGTGAAACCCCATCTCTACTAAAAATACAAAAAATTAGTGGGGCGTGGTGGTGGGCGCCTGTAGTCCCAGCTACTCGGGAGGCTGAGGCAGGACAGTGGCGTGAACCCGGGAGGCGGAGCTTGCAGTGAGCCGAGATCGCGCCACCGCACTCCAGCCTGGACGACAGAGCGAGACTCCGTCTCAAAAATATATATATATATTGCCCCGGGACCCCACCTGTGGCCGCGTGGGTGGCTGTGCCTGTCCTGGGACCCCCGCGTGCTCCCGTGTGGTGCCTTTCTCTGGGCTTCACGCTTTGAGTCCGTCAGGGGCTCCATCCCTTGCTGTGGCCAAGAGGACTCCACCATATGGGTGCCCAGCATGTCTGTGGGCGGCTGGTTTCCTCTGAGACACCCCGGCCTGGGCCCCTCTGTGCCCCCCACCACCAGCGGACCTGCCCCTTCAAGGAGGGTCGCGGGGTCCTGGTCCTGCGGACCGCAGCAGGGGGTACAGCACTGGCGTCTGTCTGTTTTCCAGAGGCTTGCGTGGCCCCTGGACACCCTTGTGTGCTCACGGCCAGCGTGAGGGAAACGCTGTGCTCGGCGGGACAGGCCAGACTCTCCAATGAATAAAGGGCAAAAACTGCACTTACCTCAGCTATGCAGGAAAAAATCAGAGCAAAACCTTCCCAAAACAACTGCAGGGGCCACCCAGGCTCCCGAGGACACTTCCTACCTGAAAGCGTGTGAGGCTCCAGGCCTTTCGGGTGAGCCCTGGCCTGGACAATGGCCCCTGGACACCGGCCCTCCGGCAGGGAGAACAGGCTCGGGCACCCCACCCTGACGCCCTGGCCTAGGCCTCCCGAGGGAGCTGGGTGGGAAGCCCCTGAGCCACCGAATCAGCATTTCCATGTCAAAGGGTCTTAGCCGTAGCCCCGGCTTCTGTCCCTGTGATTTCATCCTGGGACTTCCTGGGCATCAAAGTGGGGCTGGAACAGGCCTGAGCTGAGCCCCCAGTGCCCAGAACAAGGTGGGAGGAGTCCCTGGCCTCAGGGCCTATGCAGAGGACAGCGGCCAGGGGACACCCTGGGCCTCAGCCCGTGTATGGCTAGTATGGCTACAGCCCCCCATTGTCCCTGGCCTGTCACACAGCCCCCCATTTCCCCTGGCCTGTCACTCAGGCCCCCCTGCCCCTAGGCCTCTGTCCTGAGGTTACAGAGATTGGCATCCTGGCCTCTCAGGCTCCTGAATTCTAGTTTCCGTTTTATTCACATCCATGGACTGGGGCTGGGAACAGAGGGTGAGTCCACACTCAGACACGCTGGACCTGGGCTGGGGCGGAGATGTGAAAAGCAGCGCCAGGCCTGGTGGGAGGCGGGGGCCTCAGAAGGAGGCAAACGCTGGTCCAACATCATGCGGGCCGCGAGGCTCTTCTCCCCCTCCAGATCCTTTCTGTAAACCAGGAAGGGCCTTTGCACGGTAGGAACACTGCTAAGGGGCCACACAGTCTAGGAGAAGCTCCCCGTACCAGCCTCGTGCCCCGCCAGGACCCAGGAGCACGAGGCCCCAGCTCACTGACACTGCTGGGAGTGTATGCAAAGGGAGAAGGAGAGAAAAAGCATTGTTTATAATGCAAGGAAAAAGGGAACCTAAAATCTCAACATCCATTGATGGTGTTCACAAAATAAAAACCTTCACAACCATTAGCCTGATGTAAATCCACAGTTAAGGTCACAGAAGTCTGTCCACAAGATTCCATTTTAAAAATCAATCCAGAAAATTATACAAATATATAAAATGTGCTCCTAATTTGGAAAAGCCTGAAAACATACTGTCGTGTGCATAAAAGGAGAAAAGGTCCGCAGTGGCCTACACGAAGGGATGAAAACAGATCGCCCCTGGGTCGTGAAAATGGGTAATTTCATCAGTGGGAGAACAATAGTTATGTTTATTTTGTGATTTTTAAAAAACAAGCCCCCCCAGATCTGCTCTCAAAAGTAGGTTAAAAGGGGTCCCACATCCCCAGCCCAGGACAGGAAAAGCCACACTCCTCCTAGGGACACGGCGTCCGTTTCCCTGGACGGAAGATTGTCGTTGGCGATTTGCACAGCCACACACACGCACCCCTACACATACCCACTCAAGGACACACATGGGCACACCCCCACACACCCGAGTCAGGTCAGCATCCCGCAGGAGGTCAACGCCCGGGGGTGGAGAGAGGACCCTGGGGGTCCACACAGACTGTTCCAGGGACCCTCTGGTTCCACAAGCTGGCAGGGACTTAGGGCCCCTCAGGGAGGGTGCCGACTCCCAAGACCCCCCACAGCCTTTCCTGGTGTCCCCACCACACACCGCTGAGCACGGCCCGGCCCCCAGCTGCAGACCTCGTGGCCTTTCCCCACCGGCCGTCCTGCAGACCCGACTCCCGCCCCGCTCTATACACACCTGGGAGCTCTCTGTTGCCTTAGACCCTGAGAGAGCGGCTACTGTCGGGCTCCTTCGCTTCAATATTCTGCCTGGCCACAGCCCTTTCAAAAGAAAAAGAAAGTCAATAAATCTCTCAAAATAGGGTCCATCCCGGGACCTGGCTGCCCTGCGCGCACAGACAGGAGAACAAAAGGGCCCGCCCGGTGGGAAAATGGTTCCCCGAGGCCACCTCCCAGAGCTACGCTCCCAGTTTCGCGCCCGTCAGCCCTGCCCGCTGTAGGGGTGGAAGGCCGGGCTCTGGAACCCAGCCCCTGGCTCCAGGGAAACCACCGCCTGGACTGACCTGCCAAGAGGCCGTTTTCCCACAGGTCAGCGCTGGACGGGGCTGTCGGTGGGCTCAGGAGCCTGCACCCCATCCTCTTTACCGGGAGCCTTCACCCTCTTCTCTCAGGCAGCAGAAAAAACTCTCAGTGAGGAGAAAAGAAAACCTGCACCAGCCCCTCACTCTGAAGGAGGGGCTCCCAGAGGCCGACCCCAGCCCACCAAGGATCAGGGTTTGCAACCCCAGCCTCTGAAGGGTCAGCTCGTGGACTGAGAGGGCTACTCGCTCATTTGTCTGTTGTCAGGGAAAAGAAACTTGGACTCAGGATGGCCAGGCTAGAGAGACCCCACAGTCCTCCAAAGAGAAAAAATTCTCAACAGCCAACTGTGGGGAGGATGGCGTCGGGAGAGCACATACGGCTTGAGGCTCTTTCCAGCGAAAACCCCGGGTGTGATATAATGACCGGCTCCCCCAAACCCTGAGTCCAGGGCATTCCACAGGAAACATAAGGACAGTTTTGAAAGAATGAAAATGTGTGTTTTGCTTTGAACAGAACAAGACGTATACGTTCACAGCCACGTTATTCACAACAGCCAGAAGGACCGTTGCCAGATGAGTGAATAAAACGTGGTCCATCCACATGAAGGGCTGTGACCCAGCCTGGAAGAGGAAGGAAAGTCAGACGCTTGCTGTGACACGGATGAACCCTGAGGACACTGTGCCGAGGGAAATAACCGGACACATAAGGGCAAATCCTGCTGATTCCACTCGTACGCGGTCCCTGGGTTGTCAGCTTCATAGAGGCAGAAACAGAACGGTGGGTGCTGGGGGAGGGGGACTGGGAAGTTCGTGTTTAATGGGGACAGAGTTTCGGCTCGGGAAGATAAAACATCTGGAAATTGACAGTTACAGTTAATATGAATGTATTTCATGCCACCAAGCTGTAGATTCAAAAACAGTTAAGACGGTAGGGTTTGTTATATATATATACACATATTACACAAGTTAAAAAGTAATTTTTACAACACATACAACATGACCCCAGCGATGTGAGGACACACATAAACAGACGTGTTTGTACGCACAGAGAGACACACACAGACATGTGGCTTAAAATTCTGAAAGAAATGCCCGGAAGGCTGACGTGGTCTTTGGGTGGGGAGATAGCGCAGCCCAGAGATAAGACCCCTCCCCCATGGCGTTGTTTCCCTGCTGGAGACTTGCTGTGATTTCCAAGTTTTCTAAAAGGGGCAGGCAGTCCTCTCACAGTGGACTGAAGTTATGAAATGTGCTTCTTTCCCTGCCCGTCCCACTTGGCCTTTCGGCCTCACTCCACACAATGGGGTCGTTCAGCCGCCCTGCCACGCTGCCACGCACTTGCGGCCGCGCCCTGGCTCCTCAGCCATCAGCCAGGACAGCGCTGCCCACGCCCTCGCCCGGCCTCCTTCCTCCTCCCCCAGGCCAGCGCCCCCACGGTTGTGCCCACCCATGCCCACGCATCCCTCAGTCCTCTGCAGGACGGTGGGCACCAGCCAGCGCCCTCCCCTCCTGAGGGTCAGTGCCGCACTTTGCTGTCCTCTCAGCTCTCAGTAAAGTAAGTGGAGTCGGTGGCATCCACCGGGTTTGTTACGCCGTATTCCCCCAATGCATAATTATGTCTCTACAAGGCACATTCTTGGCGCATGGCCATGCCTCTCTGCCAGAGCCCCAGACGTCTTCCTGCATTCCTGGGCCGTGACACCACCCCGCAGCCTGGTGTGAGTGCTCAGCCAGATGTGTGTGTGGAGCTGGCCACGGTGGCCCGGCTGGGCTTGGGGCAAGAGGGGCCCTGTCAGAGAGGACGTGGCTGCAGGGCTGAGGGGCTGCTTGTGTCTTGTGGCCAGTGGGAGGCCTGCTGGGAAGCTTCTGGCCCCCAAGCCCAGCCTTGACACGTCCAGCCCAGAGATAAGAACCTGCCCCTGTGATGCTCATGGACGGTGGCCTGAGGGTGGCCGTCCTATTTTCCTGTTCTGCAAAGGGAGGCCCTGCATGGTCTGAGGTCCAAGGACCCCTAGCGATCCCCGAGCGAGGGTGGCCAGTGGGACTGAGGCCAGGCCAGGCCCGGAGAGGACCCCACAGGCACAGGGGGCGTCTGCACGCAGGCCAGCACCTCCAAGTGCTGTGACCGCAGGAGCAGCCACCTGGCCAAGAACTGTCGGCCCATCCCAGGGCCTCTGAGCTCCTGGGATGTGGGAGAGGGGAGGCCTCTCTTCTGAAACCCACTGAGGGACAGGGACTCAATTGTCAGCGTGGCTCAAGATCCGTCACATCCAGTCCACATGTAATTTTCCTGAAGGCTGGATGAGAATTCCTAGTTCTCCCCTCACAGCTATGTGGCCCTGGGCGAGTGGCTCACCCTCCCTGTGCTATAGTTTCCTCCCTTGTGCAGTGAGGAATAATGGTGCAGCGAGGAATGATTGTGCAGCAAGGAAGGATCATGCAGCGAGGAAGGATCGTGCAGCGAGGAAGGATCGTGCAGCGAGGAAGGATCGTGCAGCGAGGAAGGATCGTGCAGCGAGGAAGGATGGTGCAGCGAGGAAGGATCGTGCTGTGAGGAAGGATCGTGCAGCAAGGAATCATCATGCAGTGAGGAAGGATCATGCAGCGAGGAAGGATCGTGCAGTGAGGACTGATCCTGCAGCGAGGACTGATCGTGCAGCGAGGAAGGATCGTGCAGTGAGGAAGGATCGTGCAGCAAGGAATCATCATGCAGCGAGGAAGGATCGTGCAGCGAGGAAGGATCGTGCAACCAGGAATGATCGTGCAGCGAGGAAGGATCCTGCAGCGAGGAAGGATCGTGCAGCGAGGAAGGATCGTGCAGCGAGGAATGATGGTGCAGTGATCATCTGCAGTGATCGTGCAGACCTCATCGAGCGCTTGTGCCACAGACATAACATGGGTGCCAGTGCACTCAGCACCAAGCGGGGCCTTCCAGTCACTCAGAGTCGTAATCCCGTTTGCCCGAACACAGTTCAGAGGCTGAGGGGTCTGGTCTGTCCTGAAGGCAGAGGCTGGGACCTGCCTGTGGCACTGTGAGCCTCCCTCTGCTTGTCCTCACCCAGAGCCCCGTCCCCCCTACGCCCACCAGTGCCCACACTGCCCTCGTCCTCCTCCCGAAGCAACAGCTTCGTCACTAAACTCCCCACTCAGAAAACTAGAGAGTGCCTCATCTTCTGAGGATGCTCAGAGCCACTGTTTAACTCGGGTGCAACTTTAAAATGTCATCTGTGTTTATCTCCAGGTGATGGGATTTTAGCTAACTTTAAAAAATTTTTCTAACCTTTCTTTCATAGCATACTGTATGCTGTTTGAAAATTACAAAGCCCTATTTTTAAATCCTTCTGCATCTTCCTCTCCCATCTCTCTTCATAGACCTTCTCTGCTCTGGTCAGCCAGGTCCAGTGGCCACTCCACCCCCTGCACTTGCCCTCAGCCCACTTCCTGTCCAGCACCCGTGCAACGCCCCCTCCCCGTCTGCACCCCACCTCCTGCACTTGCCCTCAGCCCATTTCCCGTCCAGCACCTGTGCAACACCCCCTCCCCGTCTGCCCCCCACCTCCTGCGCTTGCCCTCAGCCCATTTCCCGTCCAGCACCTGTGCAATGCCCCCTCCCCGTCTGCCCCCCACCTCCTGCACTTGCCCTCAGCCCATTTCCCGTCCAGCACCTGGGCAACGCCCCCTCCCTGTCTGCCCCCCACCTCCTGCGCTGGCCCTCAGCCCACTTCCTGTCCAGCACCTGTGTGTGACACTCCGTGCCCGTCTCCCCCCGCCCCCGAGCCTGCAGTGGTGTTGCTGGCACAGACCACCTGGAACGTTCCTCATTCTCAACGGCAGCTCCCAGAGGGGCAACAGGTGACAGTGAAGGAAGAAGACTCAGGCTGGGGATGAGCCGCATCCCAAGCTCCCCGGGATCCCCTCCTTTGAGACCTGGATATCATAAAGGCCACCTCGGGCCCTGAGTCCATATGTTGTCCCGAAGCTCCTGGACCCTGCCCCCAGCAGGAGCCCCAGGCTGGAATGGGGGCAGGATTTTACAAGTAGCTCTGTGTCCTGGGCAGCCCCATGAGGGCCCTCTCTCCAGAAGGAGAAGGGGACAGAGGGACCCCCATCCCAGCAGGGGCACCTTCCACTCCTGCGCCGACACCCCCCGCAGCCCTCACAGTCCCCTGTCCAGCAGCCAACCCAGTCAGGTTCCCAAAGCCCTCAGTGCAAGGGTCTAACCCAATACAGCAGTGAATGGTGCACGTGTGACCGTCCTGGGGCTGCTGGCACAAATGACCACAAACAAGGTGGCTTAAAACAACAGAATTGAACTGTCTCACAGCTCTGGAGCCCAGAGTCTGCGATCGAGGAGTTGCAGGACCGCGAGGTATCTGCCTGAGGGAGCTCCCCACGACCACTCTCGGGGGACCCTGCCCTGCCTCTTTCAGCTTCTGGTGGTTTGGACACTCCTGGCCTTTGGCCACAGTGCTGCAATCTCTGCCTCTGCCTTCACGTGGGTCTCGCCCTCTGTGTCTCTGTTTTCTTCTCGGAAAGACACCAGTCATACTGGATTAGGGCCTGTCCTCATGATGTCATCCTAACTTGATTATGTCTACAGAGACCCTGTTTCCAAATACGGCCACATTCACAGACCCCAGGGGATCAGACGCAAACATGTCTTTTCAGGGAGCACAGTTGTCATACATAATTTCATCCCATCACCATGTTGAATAGAAGATCCAGTGACTAGTGAGTTTTAATAAAATGAAACATCTGTAAAAGGTACAATTTAGGCAACTACAAACCCCTACCACTGGTGCAACGCTTTATTCTCTTGGATTTTTGGTCTTTAGTTGTAAACAATTAACAATTCTTAAGGTCGACTAAATTCTATTTTAAAGATCTTCAAAACTGGTTTCATGAATGAACTAAAATTTGCACTTACCAAATGAAAAATCACATCTCACAGTTTACACTGCCTCACTGTTTTCAATGTTAAGCACAAACAAAAGTGCTGAGGCCACAACAAAAGTCAGAAAGTTGAAATAAGTTGTTTCTTCGCTTTTCTCATCACAGTGCTGTCACTGTTTATTTCTGCGTGACTGTTTTGACACAGAAAACGTGGTAGGCAAGCCTGGTCCCCGGACCCGACCAAAGACAGGCCAAAGCTGGAAGAGGCGCCAAGGGCAGTTCCCGTTGCTCTCACTGCCTTGGCAACACCTGGAAGCAACTGCCCATCCTCCAGCTATATCTGAATAACCCGCCCCCTAATTAGCATGTCATTAAAAGTGGTTATACATATGATGGCAAGTTGGCCCCAAGCGGCTGCACTCTGCACACTGCCCGAGCGGCAGCCCTGCTCTGTGGGAGCAGTCGCGGAGCTGGACCACCTCCACTGCCGCCTCAGCCAAGCTGCTGGCTTCCCCACCACCTCGCTCCTGAGTCCCTTCCCGAGTGAAGCCGAGAAGCTGCCCAGCATCAGTGCCCCAGGGCTGAAGATGCAGGCTGCACCCAGAGCCAGTGCGAACGCTTCTGTTGCTTCGGATTTACTCCTAAAACCAGTGCACGTCGCTGAGCCCTGCTGGGCTGGGGCAGCAGCTCTGACTGGGAGTTCCACAAATAAACCCCCACGGAGAATGTCATGTTTACTGAACCCGGAAAGATGAAATCAGGTCTTCTAGCAAATTCAGATTTGCATTCAATCAAATTGAAATTAGGTCATTAGAGTGAGCCTAAGGCAGGGTCCCAGGCAGGAGGGGTGGGGGTCCTTCTTCTCAGACAGGACCTGCCTCCTTCTCAGACAGGACCTGGTCTCAGGGCCAAGCCTATGAGCTCCCTGCCCGTGCTGGCCACTCGGAGAGTCTCCGACACACACTGGTCAGCCCCTGCTCGCCAGCCTCTGAGTTAAACCCAGGAGAGACAGTGAAGGGAGCCACCCGGCTGTGGGTGGGGCTGGGAGGGAGGAAAGGCCCAAGGGAGCTGGTGGGGAGGGTGGGTGCGGGGACGTCTCTCACAGCACGCAGCTCCCTTTGCCCTCGTTTTCTGCCCATGAGGCCACTTTCCAACTCGCCAGGAATGGGGTACCCTTGGTAGGAGATGGCAGAGGTGTCCCAGAGCCAGGAGGGTGACAAGAATGAGCAATCGCAAGCTCAGATTCCCTTCTGTCTCCTGTGACTCGCGCTGTTTTGAACCCAAAGGCCCACAGACGGCTGTGACTGTGACCACATCTCCCAGAGTCACCTGGGTTCCAGGCCCAACCATGCGTTGGGAACCGGCGGCCACCCGTCCACTGTCATCAGTTCAGACTCAGCAGCCTCTTCACCCGGGATGAGCCAGGGCGTCGCGTCGGGGGCTCCTGGAGGGCTGCATGAGCCCCAGCCCAGTTCCGCTAAGAAGCTCCTCCTGGTCCCCACGCTCCAGTCTCTAGGCTGCGGGACTCAACCTTCAGGTGGCCAACGTACCCATGGTCGCGTGATCCTTTCCTCTCCCTGTGCAGGCAGACGGCACACGGACCTCGTGCAGGGCCATCACCGCCCAGAGGAGAGTCTGTGCCTCGCTGCTGACCGGGGGCCCTGAGGCATCGGGCGTCCTCCCATGCACCCCTCTCGCCCACGCCCGGGTCTGGAAGGTGAGCCCCCGCCTGGACCGGTGGATCCCTCCCCATCGCCCCTCTGATCTGCAGCCAGCACAGGGGGAGGCCCCTCCAGAGGGTGGAGGCACAATTGCCCAAGTCCAGCTGCCAAGAACAACAAGGAGAAGGGCGAGTGGGGTTCCCCTCCCCCGACTCTCCATCCCAGACCCCCCTCAAGGGCCAGGCGCATTCACAGGAGACAGGAAGCACCACATCTGATGTCTGCTGGGCCTGCTCACCGCTTCCCGGAACGTGCCCGCTATCTCATCAGGAAACACCAGGCCAAGCCTCTCCTGTCAGCCCTCTCCGAGTGGGAAGAGGCAGGAGCTCCTCTCTCAGGGCCGGGGCCCATGAGCAAAGTGCTTCCCTGGGGACCGTGGCGAGGAGCCCCCTTCTGGCCAGCTCGGCTGACCCTTCCTTCAAGTTTCTGCCTATGCCTCGATTCCTCCACTTCCAGCCTCCAACCCAGGACCCCATCAGCCCTCCCTGACAGTGTGATTTCTAAAACCCAGGACCCCGAGACGCCGATGACTTGTACTAGTGTAGTCAGGGTATGTCCTGCCTGTTTTCTTCGATTCCGTGTCAAATGCTGGTGCTGGCAGGTGTTGCACGGCCTCAAGTCATCCGCCCCCCTTGGCCTCCCAGAAGTACTGGGATTACAGGCGTGAGCCGCCGCACCCGGCCTCCCATATTCTTTTGCAACGACCATCCTCCTGGTGCCCTCGGCCCTGAGTAGGGAGGCTGGACTGGGAGCACAGGGAACCCTGGACTCAAGACAAGGAAGGACCACAGAGCTTGCAGGCAGGAAGTGGAGGGGAGGGTAGGTCCTGGACTGGGAGAACAGATTCCAGACCCCGGCCAGGAACCGGTGGGATTCCTGGGAATGGGGCCAGGGAGTGGACAGAAGTGAGCCTTGGTCTGCCTGGGGCCCGAGTGACCAGTAGCGACCCCAGCTCCCTCTCATCAAGAATGGGGAAACTGAGGCATAGACAGGCCACCCATAGCGCCCCAGGCAGAGGCCACCAAGACACGGCCGCTTTGCTGTACGTGGGGCTTTTCAGGCGAGGCCGGGTGCGTGCAGGAGATCAGAGGGGCGGAGCCCCGAGGAGACGGAGATCCAGAGGGGCGGGGCCCCGAGGAGACGGAGATCCAGAGGGGCGGGGCGCCGAGGAGACGGGGATCCAGAGGGGCGGGGCGCCGAGGAGACCGAGATCAGAGGGGCGGGGCGCCGAGGAGACGAGATCCAGAGGGGCGGGGCCCCGAGGAGACGGAACTCCAGAGGGGTGGGGCGCCGAGGAGACCGAGATCAGAGGGGTGGGGCGCCGAGGAGACGGAGATCCAGAGGGGCGGGGCGCCGAGGAGACTGGAATCAGAGGGGCGGGGCCCCGAGGAGAGGAGATCAGAGGGGCGGGGCGCCGAGGAGACGGGGATCAGAGGGGTGGGGCGCCGAGGAGACGGAGATCCAGAGGGGCGGGGCGCCGAGGAGACGAGATCCAGAGGGGCGGGGCCCCGAGGAGACAGGGATCCAGAGGGGCGGGGCGCCGAGGAGACGAGATCCAGAGGGGCGGGGCCCTGAGGAGACGAGATCCAGAGGGGCGGGGCCCCGAGGAGACGGACATCAGAGGGGCAGGGCCCTGAGGCGATACCATGGCCCATGGGGTCAGTGCCACAGTCCTCCCCAGGCTTCCTTGCGTGACAGCCCTGGCCCGAGGCATCCAACCCATGGGCTTCCATCTTCACAGCCAGAGGGAGGAATGAGCAGGGCTGGTCTGCAGCAGGACAGGTGGATCCTGGGCCAGGGCGTTAAACTTAGCAACTGTTCCAGGGCCCCCTGGAGCAAGCGACCTTCCCATAGCAACCTCTCAGACCCCTGGTGCTCGGTTTTGGGAAGCAGGTGGCACATCTGTGACAACAAGGTCCAGCAGCCACCACCCAGGCCCATCTTCACACCTGGGATCCCAGCCTCTGCCCAGCCTCATGAGCGAAGCTCACACCACGCAGCAGCTGTCTTGGGCCACCCAAGGAGCCACAGCTGCCCTGGGAGCTGTGGCTGAGTTGAGGGCCATCATGCATGGGGCCGACAGGCCACGGGGCCCCCCTGGGAAGCACCCACCTGCTCATTTCTTTTCTTTCTTTTTTTTTTTTTCTTGCTCTATCACCCAGGCTGGAGTGCGGTGGTGCAATCTCAGCTCACTGCAAGCCCCGCCTCCTGGGTTCACACCATTCTCCTGCCTCAGCCTCCCAAGCAGCTGGGACTACAGGTGCCCGCCACCAGGCCCGTCTAATTTCTTTTTGTATTTTTAGTAGAGACGGGGTTTCACCATGTTAGCCAGGATGGTCTCGATCTCCTGACCTCATGATCTGCCTGCCTCGGCCTCCCAAAGTGGTGGAATTACAGGCGTGAGCCACCGTGTCGGGCCCCACCGGCTCATTTCTAACCTTCAGTATCGGCCACAGCAGCGTTTGAGGTGGAATTCTACATTTTTATGGTTTCTCAGTAAAGCAATGCTTCCTGCCCTTGCTTTGGGCTGAGCCCCTGGGGTTTCAGGGCGTCTGGGGCCTGTGTTGGGACTGGGCAGGGGTCCACACTATCTTCATCTGAAGTGTTCTCGCCAGTGGACGTCAGCCTGACCTCCCATCCCTCCTGCCGCCCTGCCACCAAGCTCCTTCCCTCTGCAGCTGGGGCCACTCCCCCTTCCTACTGCCCTGAAGCTCTTCCTGCTGGACAGGCACCAGGCCATGGTGGGGAGTGTCCCTGGACGAGGTATCCCAGATGCACCCCAGTCGTGGCTGCATCTGGGCCCTCCCTGGAAGTTGCCCATTCTCTGTCCTCGGTGTCCTCCGCCCTCAGCAAACACCACAGGACTCTCCCAGACAGCAACCCACGTGCAGCAGCCATGACCGGCACTTCCCAGCACTGCCGGGCCACTGCCTGGAGTACACACCTGGCCCCAAGGGGCTGTTCCGTGGCAAGGAGCACGCCCTGGGAGGCGCCAGCCGTTGGGAAATCAGACAGAGTCTGCTCCACCGGGAAAGCCACACGGAGCTCAGCTGGACTCAGGCTCGGGGGAGGAAGCTCAGGCGCCTGATCGCTGGGGCAAAGCAGCTGGAGGCCGGAGAGAAGGGCAGGCCCTGACAGCAGGCAAGGGTGGCCTGCACCCACCAGGCTGGTCTCCTCACCGGACTGAGGGCCTCTCTTCCCCAGGCACCCACCAGGCTGGTCTCACAGGACTGAGGCCCTCTCTTCCCCAGGCACCCACCAGGCTGGTCTCACCAGACTGAGGCCCTCTCTTCCCCAGGTCCCTGGCCGGCCTCCATGTCCTGGTCCCGGGCCGGCCTCCATGTCCTCCACCACTCAGCCTCAGTGGATCACTGGACAGACTGCAGGGAGTCTTTGCCAGCCTTGGGGTTTTTCCTCCCCAGGTTCCAGTTCTCCCACAAATGCCCTCTGCTCACCTCTGAGAAGTACAGGAAGAGCCGTGCTCAGAGGTCCCACTGGAGACCCCTCCAAGGCACGGCAGGTGCCAGCAACAGCAATGCCAGGGCACCCTGCCCAGAAGCAGAGCCAAGTGAGCAAGGCTGGGGGCTCTGGAGGTCCAGACAAGACCCTCTGGGGGCAGGAAAGTCAAGTGTCCTGGTCGAGGTCACACAGTGGCTGGGACCAAGGACCCCTCTCCACGACCCTGGGAAGCACAGCTGCCCGTGCAGAAGTCCAGACCCTGGTGGAGCTCGGCTCGGCCCCACGGCACGGGAGAGGCAGAAGCTCCAGCAGTGAGTTCTCCCTGAGCTGCAGCTGCAGCGAGGCATCCCCGGCACAGCCCCACGGCTCCAGGTGGAACCGGGAGGAGGAGGAGCCTGGGGACCACTCAAGAGTAGCCGGGCGGGGAGCACAGCCCCTGCAGCGTCTCCTGGGCAGAAGCAGGTGTGGTCAGGACGAAGGAAGCACCTGGTCTGTGGCCCAGACAGTGTCTCCTTCTATCCACATCCGGAGCGACACTGAGGTGGGCTGAACAGAGGCTCCGGTGGACAGAGACCCGTAGGCACCGCCCAGCCTGCCCCTGCTCAAGCTGCCCGGGTCGCTTCTTACAGAGCCCCACTGTGCTGCACTCACATCATCTCACAGGTCCTGCCACCCTTGTCCACCTGCCCACAGACCCGCCACCCCCCTCACGGTCCTGCCAACCTTGTCCCCCCTCCCACAGACCCGCCACCCCCCTCACGGTCCTGCCACCCTTGTCCCCCTCCCACAGACCCACCACCCCCCTCACGGTCCTGCCAACCTTGTCCCCCCGCCCACAGACCCGCCACCCCCCTCACGGTCCTGCCAACCTTGTCCCCCTCCCACAGACCCACCACCCCCCTCACGGTCCTGCCAACCTTGTCCCCCCGCCCACAGACCCGCCACACCCCCTGTCCGGCCCAGGGAAGTGCAGTGCCTATGGGTGGGACTGGCAGACCCGCCGGCCGACACCCAACCTGGCAGCCGCTGTGGCCAGAGAC
The DNA here is from genome assembly GCF_000001405.40 of Homo sapiens. Lineage (NCBI taxonomy): Eukaryota > Metazoa > Chordata > Mammalia > Primates > Hominidae > Homo > Homo sapiens. The sequence goes on along the minus strand of NC_000017.11, from coordinate 83,100,505 downwards.
CAGTTATCTACCATCAAGAATGTGCCCTTGACTATTTTTATGTCATGTGTGTTTTCTTTCTTGCCTCAGTTTTTAGTAAAGTTCCTTGTTGGGCATTTTAGTCCAGCTCAGCAGTGCTAAAAGGGGAAAGAAAGGGGCGTTGGGCTGTTTCTGGGCGGAGAGTGCCGGGCAGAGTGGCTCCCGGCCCCTCACCCTTCCCTGGGCCCTCCACCCCTCCCGCAGCGCCCCTCCCCCTCACCGGAGCCCCCCGGGTGTATTTTTGTTTCTTTGTTTTTTAGCATATTTTTCATCTTGCCTCTGATCAAACTGATGGCTAGAAAAGTATGTGGCTTGGTAAGCAAAATTCTTCTGAAGAAATTCCAGAGCCCCCGGCCGCCGTGACCTCACCGCCCCGACACCAGCCAAGCCTCCGCTGTCTTTATAAATCACGGCCCGCCCGGCTGGCAGCACACAGTGGCCCAGTGTTGACTCCGGATTCCTCACGTTCCCTGGCGTCCCCCGTGGGGCCCCTGCCCCGGCGGTCGGGGAAGCAGAGCGGGCAGGCTGGGGGTCCCTGGGCGGCCATCCCCTCCCTGCTGGGTGAGCCGGCGTCCTCCCTGCAGGTCTGCGTCCCCACGTCCCGCCCCTGCCTTCCGCCCCTCAGAACCCCTGCCATAGCCGCACTGCCACGACCTCCTGCTGTTAGTGGCCGCCCCCACCTCCGGAGCCCGACCCACTCTGCTCCGAGGCTGCTGGGATGGGCACCCACCTGTAACCAAGTGTGAATAGCAGAGCCGGTGCTGGCTGCAGGCCAGACACCAGCAGGGCTGATCAGGCCCCAGGCCGCTCCTCAGGTGGGGGCAGGACCCAGTGTGCACCGGCTGAACCGGTGCCCACTGCAGGCTGGCACAGGGGCTGCACTGGGAACCAAGGCTCTGCCCTTCTCCCAGGACTCAGTCTCTGTGGGAGACCAAGACCCACAGCCCAGGCTGATGTCCTAGAGGGAAGACCTGGGGGTAGGGGGCACTGGGGAGGGGAGGCATGGGGCCTGGTGGGGGAAGGAATGGCAGGAGGGGAGGGGGTGTTGGGGGAATCCCACAGGAGAGGAAGGAAGAGGCTGAGGTCACAGGCACAACAAATCCCAGGAGAGCAGGGCCCAGGAGCACCCGGTGCCGCCTCAGAAGGCTCTCGGGCCTCTGCTCACAGCCCCGTGCCCCTCCTGGTATTGAGTGACCCACCTGCCGTCCTTCACAAGGGCGGGTTTAATCCCAGCAGGCAGGTTCCCAGGAACATGCCCGTGCACAGTAGGCCTCCCTCCATGCTCGCCCAGTGAGTGGTCAGGGAGGAGAGGACCCCGGGGTCTCACCAGCTCCTCTCAGGACCCTCACCATTTTGACCGCACAAAGGAGCAAAGAAGGGTTCCCGAGGGCAGCCAGGGCCGGGACCCCACCAACCGGCCTGACTGATGAACTCCGGGGGCCGCTGCCTGCACAGAAGGGGAGCGGACAGCCCGGCCGGGGCCAATTCCCACCACGCCGGCCTGGTTTCTAAACAGTTTAATCAATTAGCGAGGTGGAAGCCCTCAGTGTCAGCTGCAGTGCTAATGAGGGGCCCCACCCCCACCCGTGGGACCTGCAGCCGGACTCTGGCCCCTCAGCAGGGCCTCCCAGTGCGGTGGGGTGGGGACAAGGAGGGGGGCTGGGAACCCAGCTGTGCAGCCCCCGCCACAGGCTCAGCCACACGGTGTCCAGTGCCCGGCCCTCCCTGCAGCCAGCTTTCCTTCTGGAACCGCAGGGAACCTCTGACAAAGCCCTCCCAGCAGAGGAAGCTCAACTCACAGGATAGCCAGGAAGGGGGGGCTCCTCATGTGGAGGGAGTCGAGGTCGAGGGAGGATGAGGGGTGAGCCAGGACTGTCCCTGCCACCCCAGCGTCCCAGCTGACCCCTCTCTCTCACACACACAGAGACACATGTGAACACGGACCACATTCCTGCCCAACCTGAGATGGCTTGACATGCCGGGGCCTCGGCCAGCCCTGTGACGAGCTGGAAACCGAGTCACAGCTCCCATGGGGCCCAGCGTTTGCAGATGGGGGACCAGCATGGAGCTGTGGGCTCTGGTTGCTCTCAGCTTCTCTCTCATGGCCATCAGCCGACTGGACCCCAGGGTGAAAGGTGTAGGCGTCTGGGCATCCAACAAGCAGGAGGCCCCCCGCCACCCCACATAGGCTGCCCCCTCGACCCGCAGAGTTCTTGGAAAACCTCCAGGGCTTCCCGGAGGGAAAAGGGCAGGTGGAGGGGGCAAGTGGGGGCCGGAAAAGTAGGGGCAATCCTCACGCTGGGAGCAAGGAGGAGCCTTGCCAACTCCCCTCCCCTTATGGGGGGACTGACAGATACGGGGCTCCTGGGAGAAGCCACCGCCCCCGAGAGCTCCAAAGCCTCTGACTTGTCTTGGGTAAGTCTCACTGCTCTTGCAGCACCTGGGGGACGATGGGGGCCGCCCTGGAGGGGAAGCAGTTGCTGTCCGGTGCAGGTGGGACAGGACCAGGCGTTCAGCGAGGACAATGCAGGCTGCGTTGCAATCCGACGGCCTTTCTGGTTGCTCTCCGGGGATGAGTTACACCCTGAGCCCCAGCCTTCTTGCCTTCATGTGGAGCTCCCCAACCTTCTCTAGTAGCAAAGTCCAGTGAGCCAGGACCCCCTGCATTGGTGATGACCTAGTGAATCCAGGCTCCAGCCAGGGCAGTGTCTCCCCCTGGCCACCCTGCACCTCCCCCGCTGGACTCCCTCCCACCCACCCTGGCCTGCCCAGGTCAGATGCCCCCAGCAGATGGAAACCCTCAGGGCTGGGTGCAGCATTCACCCCTGGGGTGCCAGGCAGGGTCATGATATCAAGTCCCCAGGAAGGAGCTGGGGGTGCAGATCTGCAGGCAGGGGTGTCCTGCAGGAGAGAGCTCAGGGAGAGCCTGGAAGCCACTTCCAGATGCCGGGCTGCAGGCCTGGCTCAAAACCCACCTCCCCTGTGAAGCCCGCCTCAACCCTCATAGTTAGAAGTGAGTTCTGCACCCCCTAGCACCCACACACTCAACCTTGACCCTCTCTTTTTCCTCGGGGGACATGTGGATCTGCCCGTGTGCATGTTCACGGCCGTGGGCTCCTGCAGGAGGACAGGTCCCAGAGCTGAGCAGGCAGCTGGACCTCACAGCCCTGTCCTGGCCCAGCGGAGAGACGAGGCCCCAGTCCCCCACCCCGGAGTGGACACTTTCTGTTTGGTAAGCTTTGCCTTCCCCTAGACTCTGGACCAAAAACCCCCCAGCCCACAGGCACTTCTTAAAAAACAGAAGCCTCCCGTGAAGCGTGACTTCTACTCCACCTGACACCGGGTTCTGGCCTACCCCAGCATCCCTGTAATTGAGGAGAGGCTGCCAGCCTGAAACCCGACCTTCTTGTTCTGCAGCCTTCTCCTGTCAGTCAACACCCCCGGGAGCCAGCCCAGAAAACCCAGGTTCCAGGAGCAGATTCCCTGCCGCCCCGCTGTGGGCTGGGCACCTGTGCTGTGGCGCCTGCTGGCAAAGGTGTGCTGACCACCAGCCACAGTGGGACCTGGCCCAGCCCCAGCCTGCTGCTTCAGGTCCTCGCCCAGAAACACCTGCTTCTTGTTGTGACCTGTGGGAGCCTGCAGACCTGTGCTGGCTCAGATCTGAGCTGGTGCACACCTGAGCCAGTGCACACCTGAGCCGGCACACATCTGAGCCGGTACACACCTGAGCCGGTGCACACCTGAGCTGGTACACATCTGAGCCGGTGCACACCTAAGCCAGTGAACACCTGAGCTGGTGCACACCTGAGCCAGTGCACGGTACACACCTGAGCTGGTGCACACCTGAGCCGGTGAACACCTGAGCCGGTGCACACCTGAGCCGGTGCACAGCTGAGCCGGTGCACACCTGAGCCGGTACACACCTGAGCCAGTGAACGCCTGAGCCAGTGCACGGTACACACCTGAGCCAGTGCACACCTGAGCCGGTACACACCTGAGCCAGTGAACAGCTGAGCCGGTGCACAGCTGAGCCGGTGCACACCTGAGCCGGTACACACCTGAGCCGGTGCACACCTGAGCCAGTGCACGGTACACACCTGAGCCAGTGCACACCTGAGCCAGTACACACCTGAGCCAGTGAACACCTGAGCCGGTGAACATCTGAGCCGGTGCACACCTGAGCCAGTGAACATCTGAGCCGGTACACAGTGCTTACCCAGAGTGCCTGAGCATTTGGCAAGGCCGGCATGGTGCCCACTGACCACATCACCCTCTCCCAGGTCCCCTTTGCTCTTAGCGGCTGCACGGGAGGAACTGCCTGATTCATCAATGGGGATGCAGGCTGGGGTCTGGTTAACTGACACTCCCAGGGACCCCCTGTGCTGGGGCATGGTGTACCCCAAATTTCATGTCCACCAGGAACCGCTGAGTGTGACCTTATTTGGAAATGGGGTCTTTGCGGACGTAATCGGTTTAAGACGAGGTCACTGGTGTGGGCCCCAATCCAGTGACCAATGTCCTAGAGAAAGATCTGGACACAGACACAGGGAGAAGCCGTGTGGCCACGGAGGCAGAGACTGGAGTGATGCAGCCACCATCAAGGAGCACCTGGAGCCCCCAGAGGCCAAGGAGAAGATGAAGAGTCCTCCCCTGGCAGAGGAGAAGATGAAGGGTCCTCCCCCTGGCTGAGAAGATGAAGGTTCCTCCCCTGGCTGAGGAGAAGATGAAGATCCTCCCAGGAACCCCCGGAGGCTGAGGAGAAGACAAAGGGTCCTCCCTGGAACCCCCGGAGGCTGAGGAGAAGATGAAGGGTCCCCCCCTGGCTGAGGAGAAGACGAAGGGTCCCCCCCAGCTGAGGAGAAGACGAAGGGTCGCCCCCGGCTGAGGAGAAGACGAAGGGTCGCCCCCGGCTGAGGAGAAGACGAAGGGTCCTCCCTGGAACCCCTGGAGGCTGAGGAGAAGATGAAGCGTTCTCCCCTGGAGCCCTGGAGGGAGAGGCTCTGCCCACACCGTGACTTTGGATTGTGGCCTCAGGAACTCAGAGAACGAGGTTGTTTCAGCCCCGCAGTCGGTGGTGATTTGTTCTGGTAGCCGCATCCTTTGGGGACATGGGGTCACCAACCTGGGTTCAGACCAGCTCCTGGGCGTCTAGAGACTAGCTGTGGGCCCCTGCACTGTGGGCAGGCTGGGGCCACAGGGCAGGACCTGCATTAATGGAAATGCAGCAGCAGGCGCTGAGGGACAGTCGCCGGGCGGAGCAAGCGTGTCTGCCGAGGCAGGGTGGCGCCCTGGGGTACGTCCAGCGAGGCCCTGAACACGGGCCGTGGGCACCGGACCTGGCGAAAGACAGACTCCGGCTTCTGGCTGGTCGGATCCTCGTCTTTATTCTCGGGAACGGAAACAACCGGCGGCCTGAAAAGGACCAAAGCTCATCCTTTAAAAATAAAATGAAAATAAAAAACGTATTATTTGGCTCCAAAACTTCCGTCATGAGAATAACAACTCTGAATGGCACCTTTTCACACATCCACTGTGCCCAACGGCCAGTGCTTCACCCAACCGCAGGCCAGATGCCGTGACTCCTAACGTCTTTAGAGAACAGTATCAGACGGCACACCAAGGCGTTTTAAGACACGGGAATTTGTTTCCTATGGACATTTCTTTTTTACCAAAAAAAAATATAATAACTTAGTTTGCATTTTACAGCATTTCCAATCGGCCAGGGCATCCTTGGCTGGAAGCTCATGGGGTTGAGTGTGGCGAGAACGTCCACAGCTTCGGTACCAGGGTCAGGCCTGGGCCCAGGGCATGCGGCTCCCAGCGCGCGGCCCTCACCGCACGGCCCCACCAGGACCGCAGCGCCCACCGCAGCCTGTGACTCATCAGGAGAGGAAGGGCAGCGGCCCACGGAGTCAGTCCGTGCCAACCTCACAAGGGTTCAGCCCCCTCTCCTGGGCATCCCTGTACATCCTCTGGAAGTCCTTGAAGCGTGGGGCACAGCCGAGCCGCGCCTCCCCGAAGTGCATGTGGCCAGTGAAGAGGAAGTCGCCATGCCCCGGCCGCACGCCACACTCCAGCAGCGTCCTGACGCGCCCCTGCCAGTGGCCGTCACCCTCGGGCACCGGCTCGAAGACCCTGCTTTTCTGCCGATAGAGTCTGCTCACGCGCAGGTGGATGGCTGAGTCCTGCCGCTCAGGCTCGTGGGTAACTTGCTGGATGGAGCCTCGAACGGCTGTGCGGGGAAGGAGATGGGGACAGGGAGTGAGCAAAGGCAAGCACACAGCAAGACCACCGCACCTCCCCCTGCCCCCGCATCGATGGGCACTGGAACGGGCAGCTGACCCCCGACTCTGCCATCTAGCGTGGAAATTCCCAGAGAAAAGTACAATGTAACAGCAGAAAGCTGCCAAGGGGTGTCCCAGATACTTAGACATCGTCAGAGAACAGGTGCCCTTTCTACCAAGGGCCAGACCTGTTAAATGGGAAAACAGAACAAACAAGTCCAGCTGATACACAGGGTGCCCCTGCAGTTCTGTGTCCTGATCAGACAGACCCGGTGCAGCTCACAGGAGAGGGTGGGCATGGGGACAGCCTTCGCGCCACACTTGGAGACCCCTGCCCAGCCCCAACTCCATGCCAGGGGCCGGGAAAGCAGTGAGAAGGGGCCTGTCCTTGAGCTTGGAGGTGGGGTGCAGAGCCGGGGCCTGCAGGACATGGCTTCCACGGCACCACACGACGGGAGGCCAAACCTTTCCCACAGGGCGTCTGTGCAAACGCCACAAGCAAAGGGGCTGGAGCCCTGGGACCCCAAAGCTCCTCCTGCAGAGCCGCAGAGCCGCCGGGGGCCTCAGGCCTGGAACAGCGTGAACTCTGGTGGGGGGCAAGGAGTGTCCAACGCCAAGGATGCTCTGGGCTGCTGATAAAATGCTGTTTACAAAGCACTTCAGCAAGAAGAGCTGCTGGGAGACAGTGGACTTCAAGAGTCCCCTCGAAGAGCAGTGATCTCATTTACAAAATGGGAAAATGTTTGACAGTCACCAAAACAACCCCCAGCTCCCTCCAAGTGTGGGCGGTGGCGTCCCTGTCCCCAGGGCTGGTGGAGGGCCGAGCCCAGGGCTTCCACAGCGTGTGCCCCTCCAGGAGGGTCCACGCAGCACCGGAAGGCTGTCCTGGGCCCTGAAGAGGGACTCCTGGGCCCAAACAGCTCCATGTGGCAGAAACCAGGAGCACAGGAGGTAGAAGCTGCCGAGGAGACACTCACCGAAGTCGCTGGTGCAGACGGCTAGGAGCACCTCGGTGTCACTGCAGGGACGGCACGGCGCTGGAGAAGAAAGGCAGAGTCAGGAAGCAGCCTGGACGGGACAGGCTCTGGAACGCCGCCCACCACCGTCAAAGGATCCTCACACTCAGCAAAGCCAAGTCAGGGAGGGTGTCCACGTCAAGGCACCTTTGTGACCAACGCCACTTCAAATGTGAGTTGGCGGCACGTGCTGGAGGGGCCGGCAGCACGGGAGACAGAAAACACAACCTCGACCACGACGGGGTCTCACCCAGGGGACCCCTCGGCCCCACCTGGACCAAAGGCACCTGCACCTCGGCCATGATGGGCACATGTCCGAGAGCAAGACCCTCAGTCCGGCCATGTCCCAGGGCCTTCGTGGGGAGGGGTCTTTGTGCTCTTTCCCCACTTATCTCCTCAGTGCGGCTGAGCCGGACTCACTGAGAAATCGCTCACGTGCCTGTTGCAAATGCAAAGCCCACTGGGGCTGAACCGAACCCACCAGACAAGAGTCACCCCCAACCCACCTCCACAGCCCACGGCGCCGGGAGCACCCCCACCTCCCAGAGTCGCCCCCAACCCACCTCCACAGCCCACGGCGCCGGGAGCACCCCCACCTCCCAGAGTCGCCCCCAACCCACCTCCACAGCCCACGGCGCCAGGAGCACCCCCACCTCCCAGAGTCGCCCCCAACCCACCTCCACGGCCCACGGCGCCGGGACCACCCTCATTTCCCAGCTTCCTCGAAGGGCAGACACTCCCCACAGCTCTGCTGCCCACTTCCCTGGGTCGCGACGGCAGCGGCACCCAAAAGGAGGATCCCATCCCGCGGGACCCCCCATGTGGCTGGAAGGGCCAGCGAGGCCAAGATTCCAGGAAGGGGATCCCTAAGCAGGCAGCGACGCGTCCACCTGCCACCGGCGTGGGGCCTCACCCAGCAGGGCAGTGAGTTCCAGTCAGGGCCATCGGCCCGGCCCCTTCCCCGGATGCCACCTGGCCGCGGGATGAGGTGCATGCCCCAAATGGCTTTCAAGCCAAGCCCTGCTCACAGAACCCCCTCTGAAGCCCCTGAACCCTGCGGGGCCTGGCCTCCCCCAGAGAATGCGGAAAGCACGGAGGCTTCTCAGAATGAGCTCCCGTACCGGCCAAACCAGGCTTTCCCAACAACCTTCTCCCCTCGGCCCAGCCCTCGCCCTGCCCTTCGCCCCAGTTTCTTAGATGGGCGGGCCACTGTGAAACAGAAACCTCTGCACGCCCCGCATTCCTACACTCGGGACGGACTTGGAAAACATGGTTTTATTATTTGCTCTTATTGCAGGTTTCAAGGCCTCACCTGTTCTGAGCCTCTAGGTTTTGGCCCCAAGTCTCCTAACGCAATAGAAACTTTGAGACGTGAAATCTCAATGGCACTGGTTTCGCCGGTGCCATTTCACGTTCTGAAGGCTCTGAAACGTCCCTGGCCAAGAGCTGGGACGACCTTGACTTGGGGTTCGCCGGCCCTGGAAGAAGCTAACGCCGTCTGCACCCCTGGCCGGCTGCCCTTGCTGGGCTGAAGTGAGCTGAGCTGTCACCTGCCTGATGAGTACAGGCCCGAGCCAGCTGCTGGTGACTGGGGGTCCCAGGGGACAGGGCAGCACACATATCTGGCACCTTGGCCAAGGCGGGGACAGCTGCTCAGAGGCCTTCTGGGGTCAGGAACTTACATGGACCCTCAGGGCCTGCACATGTGGTCAACGGAGACCCTGGAGTCTACGGTGCACTGGGCAAGCGCAGGTCTTTGTGGACCCCGCAGGGTGGAGGTAGGAGGGACCCAGAGACAAGGCCAGCACTTTCCGCCAGGCAGGGGTGAGGGCGCCTCCCAGCCGGGCTCAGTGCCTGACTCACCGGCCCACCCACCTCCTCCTGCATTTGCTTCCATTAAGGTATCAGGAAAAAGAAACTGCACAGCCTGCTGAGCGCCTCGAGGCCCGGTCCAGCCTGGCACTGGGGGCGCCTCGAGGCCGGTCCAGCCTGGCACTGCTGAGCACCTTGAGGCCGGTCCAGCCTGGCACTGGGGGGGCACCTCTGCCATCCCAGCAACCCTCCAGAATGGGAGCTTCTGGCCAAATCCCCTTCCTGCTGATGTGTACAGACTCACACTGCAGCCCCCACCACGGGGGCCTCCTGACCCCCAAGCTGGAAGCCGCCCGGTGCGCTCTCCTATGGGGGCCCCGGGGTGTGGCCCACCCTTGACACTTAGTTCACCTATGTGGACCCCCATCCCACTCGCCGGCTGGGGGTCTGCAGACCATGCTGGGCCTGATGCAGGCACGTGCTGGACAGAGGCCAGCAGCACAGACCACCACTCACGTCCGGAAGCAACAAGGAGGGAGCACTGGGGGATCTCAAATTTCAGGCAGCACTTTTATCCTCCACAGGTGAGACTGCACGCCAGCACCTGCCCCGTACCACAGGGCCAGAGGTCCCAGCCCAGGGCGCCTCATGTGAGTGGAGGTGGCCTCGGCTGAGAGAGAGCTGGTCAACGACAGAAGCGTGGTGACCCCAGTCCACCCGAGGGTCCCCTCACTGAGCAGCACCCTCCGGCTGGGCAGCCATGGCAGCTGGGGCTGGGCCAGGCGGTCCTGCAAAGGCAGGAGGCAGGAGGTGCCGGAAGTCCATCCTCACAGTCAGCAGCACAGTCGGGGGTGTGTGTGGGGCGGGGGTGTGTGTGTGTGGGGCGGGGGTGTGTGTGTGTGTGGGGCGGGGGGTGTGTGTGTGGGGCGGGGGGTGTGTGTGTGTGGGGCGGGGGGTGTGTGTGTGGGGCGGGGGGTGTGTGTGTGGGGGGGTGTGTGTGTGTGTGGCTCCCACCCTGGGGCGGGGGGTGGGGGGTGTGTGTGTGGCTCCCACCCTGGGGCAGGGCGGGGGTGTGTGTGGCTCCCACCCTGGGGCAGGGCGGGGGTGTGTGTGGCTCCCACCCTGGGGCAGGGCGGGGGTGTGTGTGGCTCCCACCCTGGGGCGGGGCGGGGGTGTGTGGCTCCCACCCTGGGGCGGGGCAGGGGTGTGTGGCTCCCACCCTGGGGCGGGGCGGGGGTGTGTGGCTCCCACCCTGGGGCAGGGGAGCCCACAGGCCCAGCCACATGCGTCCCACCCCGGGGCCTGGGCGCGTGAGGGTATGCAAGCCCTAGCACTTCGCCCTCTGTGAGTCACGGCCCCACGACCTCAGCGGACGGCCGAGGGGGAGGATGGAGACGCTGCCCTCACGTGCCCTGGGTACCCCGCCCTGGCTCACCCGGCTGACGGCAGGGGTGTGGGGCCGGGGACGGTCAGTGCCTGCAGCCTCGCCTGCTAGAAGCCTCTGGAGACGACCCAACGACAGCTGAGCTCGTAAGGAGCACCCTGGAGACCTCCCTGTTCTGATTCTGAGCTTTACAAAGCAGAAGTCACCTTCACGGAGAATGCAGGGTGGACGCCGGTGGACGCCGGGAGACAATCGGGAGACAATTATTAACAGGAGCCAGGCTCATAAAGGCTGCGGAACGCGCTGCTCACGGACACATTGCACCTCGTCTCCAGGGCGGTGGGGAGGGTCGGCAAAGGGTTGGAATCCTGGTCCATCCTCCTCGGAGGGGGAGGGCTGGGGTGTGGACATCTCAGGCAGGTCTCTCAGGAGCTAGCATGAACAGGGTGGGAGGGACCGGCAGGGTGGGGTTGGGGACGCTGCTGCGGGGACTTAGATTGCACGGCAGGTGTTAAGTAGAGAGGCAGGACCGGCTGGTTCCGAGGAGAGGCTGAGAATGACAGACACCGACCGGTCCGGCAGGACTGCCCAGGTAAGGACAGCCAGAGGGACTCACACAGTTCCGACGGGAAACCTCTGTGGCCACGATTACTGGGTCTCCCACACAGGTGGTGACGGGGTAGCGGGGGGACACGCTGCTTTTAGAGGAGCCGGTGACGGGGATAAGGTGCTTTCAGAGGAGCCAAGAACAGGGAGCAGTGGGTAGGGGTGGAGGGTGGGCTCCAGTGGGCTCGAGGACCCAAGGCTGAGCTCCCAAGGCTCCCCTCAAGGCCACCATCATCACCGTCGCGCTGCGGCCGCACTCCAGGCTGCAGTCCATTGCTGGGGTGCCCCGGGGGTGTTGGCCCCATAGCCCCTGCCCTTCCCCCTGCCTCCCTTTCTCCCTCCCTCTTCCTGGTGAGGAAGCTGGCGGGGGCCACACCCTTCCTCTCCACAAGCCCAGAGATGGTTAAAATGAAAATTACAGTGGCCGGAGAGAAGGCACCAAGCAGGAAGCCAAAGATGGACGAGAGATGGGACGCCTTGGAAAAATCAGCCCCTCTCCTCTACTTCCAGGAAATAATGAGAATTATCTTCCACACTTTTCCACCCATCCCTCCCACCCATCAAGGACTTCTCCAAACTCTGAGGCTCCTGGAGGGGGCTCATCGGCAGGGGCTCTGCGCCCGCCGAGCTGGTCATTCACCTACGGGCTCAGCCAGGGGCAGGATTTTAAAGGGGGGAGGCGTTGAGGCCCCTGAGACGCTGCAGGACTCCGGCGTCCTGGAGAGCCAGGGACGGCACCACGTGCTCATGATCAGCATCAAGGCAGCATCCCCTCCCCTCCCACTGCCTGTGTCCACGATGCTGCTGCCCGGCCCTGGGCACCTGCTCACTGGGGCCTGCATTGGGGGGCCTTACACAGAGCCTGCACCCCAAACCCCAAGCACAGATGTGGCCAAGCCAGGAGCATCTGACACACAGCCCTGGGAGAAGCTGAAGAACAGACTGGAATCCTGGGACCTGCCTGGACTGTCTCGGGTCTGTGTACCCCAGAACCAGACAGCCCCCACCCACATTCCCCAAGCCACTGAACGGTGCCCGTTTCCCGGATTCCCTGGCCTGCAAACAGCAGCCCCACACGGCCTCAGCCAGGTCTGCTGGGCACAGGTCTGGGCACGGCCGGAAGCTGCACCTGACCACTCTCTGCCACCCCCATCCTGCGGGGTTTCCTCAGCATCCAAGGAAGGCGTCCGTGTCGCCTGCAGAGGCGGCTGGTGCAGGGCTGAGAGGTCCTGCCCGTAGTCAGCCAAATCCCAAGGTCCTGGGGCCGGGTCCCCTCCCGCCTGGCCCCCAGTGTGTACCCCTGGAGGAGCAGCCTGCCCCCGTGTTCCGGCCAACTCTTGGTCATCGGCGTGTCTCAGTTTACTCAAGGAAGCCGATTATGCAGCATGAACGCACCACGATCACACCAACGAAACCCACCGGAGCGGGGGATTTCCTCCTGGCTGGGCAGGGGACGGGGCTCACACACCCTCTCCTGTCCGGGGTTCCAGCCCACGGAGCCTCTGTCCTCCTGAGTCAGCACAAACTGGAACTTCTGACACACAGACGAGCTCGTCCACCTCCCGTGGGTCGTGCTGCCAGGCCAAAGGCTCAGGCTCACCTCAGGCTCGGCGGGGCTGGCGCTGCCCGGCTCAGCCTCCGTCGGCTCTCGCAGCTACAGCAAGTGCAGGAACGGGAGGCAAGGGAAACCGCGGCGCTGGCCGGAGAGTGCTGGGGAGCCGGCCTGGCCCAGGGGATGGCGTCACTGCTGCCAGACGGCCGGCACCGACATTCCACATTATGTACCCATTCCTGCAGCATTAAAGGCTTAGGGGCCCCCGTCCCCTGATGAAAGGCGAATACCCTGGGGAGAGGAGAGGTATCAGCCTCCTCGGATCCCTCCTGCCCCTCCACCCCATCAGGATAGGAGAGGCCTCTCGTGAGGGCCCTGGAGGTGCTCAGCCCAGGGAGGGGCCTGCATCTGTGCCCGTTCCCGTGAGATGCCAGGCGTGGGTCCCAGCTCCGGGGGCCCCCGGTGAACCTCAGAGTCTGGGCCCCTGTCAGTTCCGAGGATCCCTGCATGTCTGCTTCCTCGGATAAGCAACCCACCACCCACAGGGCACTGGAAATCACCTCAGGCTCGGTTTAAGCAGATGCCGCAGGGTCACCAAGTGTAAACAAGGAAACCCAAGCACCTGCCTCACAGGACACAGCAAAGTTCTGGGACCCCAAGCCAGCCTGACGTGTACTGGGGCCACAGACCTGCGCAGGACCCCACAGGCCCAGGAGGCACACGGAGGGTGAGCGAGGACCCACCGCCGAATGCCTGCTCTGGTCCCTTGGGGCTCAAGTCACTCCTCACAAGAGGCCGCTGCCTCCCTGCAACCCCACAGGACCCCAAGGCAGCTCAGCCCCTACCATCCCATGCCTCTCCCAAACCCACCCACCGCCCCAGCCTACACAGGGCCTGTAGGCCTCGGACCCCACCCCCAGAGGCAGGAGAGACAAAGTCTCTGTTCCCAAAGGTGAGGGCACAGGCTCCGTAAGGGTCGCCCCAGCTGACAACTAGAACCATTGAATTTCCCCTGGAAATGTAGAAATCGGGCCTGTGCCAGTGTGGACGTCCAGGTGTGCGTGGCAGGGACGGACTACACCACAGCCTCTCTAAGAATCTCACCCAGAAGCAGAACAAAGCTCAGGCCACAGAGCATGTGACCCGCAGCCCAACGTCTTCAAGACCAATCACCACTTTAATCAGCAGAAAGAATGTTTGCAAGTTCCTAACATCTGGCCCGGCACCTTCTACCTCCGGTTAGAAAGACTGAACTTGGAGCTTGGATTTCTCCAGGTTTCGCCTCATTGTGAGTTTTTCTCCAGGGCCCCCAGAGCAAGGCTGGTACCCCCTCCCCCAGGTCTCCCACCCACCATAACTGTTGGTGACCAAGATAAAGGCCGCCGTGGTTAAAGTTTTATCCAGCGTGCAACCAACCACAGCACAGCTGAGTTTACATCAGCGTCCAGCCCTGCGGGTGCTGAGGCCCAAGGGGCAGTCTGAGCTCATGGGCCAGCTGGGACTCGGGGCAGTCAGGACTCCAGGCAGACGGTCCTACACTCACTCTGTAAATGACCAGTCTACCTGGGAGAGATTTCAGAGAGAGATGAAAAGTAATCTAGGCCAAGAACATAGAACACAAAAATGTGGATTCCCATTCAGGATAGAAGTCTGTACACCCGAGTCCGAGGCCACACAGACCATGGAGGTCACACGGCCCACAGGTGCCTCCCAGGACCTCATGCCTCCTGGTGTCTACCCACAGAATTTTCTAGAGACCAACACAGCCCTCCACGAAGGACCTCTCCCCCAAGCACAGGCGTCCAGAGACGCCACGTGACACCTCCACTCCCTGCCGGCCACACAGGGAAGCTGTCTGTTTATCGTACCCACAAGACCCCTCTGGGACGGGGGTGGCCCCATGTTCTGGGCGTCACAGCTCAGCACCGCTCAGGGCTGAGCCAGCCTCAGCTCCCACCCAAAAATGGACGTTTCAGGGTCTTTAGCCGACACCACAGACACCCAGCCAATTCCCAGGGCAGTTTGAATGGCAAAAGCACCCGTTTCAAAGGTGCTACACGATCCACAAGCATGGGGGCGCGTCCGACCCAGCACTGGCCCGGCCGCCACAGGGGGATGCTCACCATGCTCCCCAGACACACCTCCAGGGAGAGAGGCCCCGCTCGGCCAAGGCCATGCCGCCCGAAACACTAACCCAGATGGGCCAGTCTTTTCAAAGGTGGTTTTAGTTGGAAAGGCTGCATTTCCAAGATGGTTTAGTTTAGACATCCCACACCCCCCTACACCATGTCACACCCCCTAGGAGGGCCCCTCTGCGGGCGCCAGTGTCCCCCAACCCCAGCCACCTGGGGGGCTCTTCAGGCAAAACAGTCATGTCCGAAGCACAGACACAGAAGGGTTTTCACCAAGGCTGAGCAGACGAGGGGACAGGAAGAAATCAGAGACACCTGCCACATCACCAGCCCCGTGATGACGAGGCCCGCCGCCCCCGCCCCAGGCAGGACACTCACCAGACAGCTCGTGCAGGTCCGACGCCCTGTGCCTCCTAACCAGCTCGTACTGGAAGCCTGTGGTCCTCCGGCCGATATCCTGCTGCGGCGTGGCCTCCACGAACAGGCCGCCCTGCTCCAGGCCAAAACACTGCACCCGGCCGGGCCTGCCGTCCCCGTCTGGTACCAGCAGTCTCAGTTCTCCAGTTTTTTCCAAATAAATATTGGCCCCCGAGGAGTCCGTGAAGGACCTGATGCACACGGTCAGGTGCCGGGCAGGCGAGAAGGTGTTGGGCCGCAGGTTAACGATGAGAGCACCTGTTGGGTACATCCACTCCACGGCACCCGCCGCACAGCGCAGATACACCTGCTCCACCTCCTTCCTGTGTGCCTCGTGCGTCAGCCCGCTGCAGAGGAGAGACACTGTCAGCCAGGCCCGGAGCTCCCGTCACACACCCCACCCGCACCCACAGAGAGTCAGTGAGGACGATACCCGCTCCAAATGATGGCGGCTCCTGGACCCACCCGCTGCCGGCCACAGGTGCCACACGGACCCCTGCCCGTGAGGCAGGCCGGCGCCATCTCCGCCCTTCGGCACAAGGGCCCCACCCAGTTCCTTCCAGTGCACCTGCACCAAGAGCCATGGTGGGGCGGGGCCGAGCTCCCGGGAGTGCAGGCGGTGCTTGTCCCCAGGCCCTCCAGACACCCTCCAACACTCAAGAGTCTGCGCCTCTGCTGCCGTAGCGTCAAACACCAATCTCTGCGATGTCCCTGAATCAGGGTGGCTGGAGGTGCTGGGGCAGTGGGATGGAGCCCCAGGGAAGGGATGGATTCCTCCAGAATATCACGGAGTATCACAGGAATGCCAGCAGGCCCTGTGTACCAACCCTGGTTCCAGATGACCACGAGGGCTGGGACGCTAGAGGTAAAGCGAAGGTGGGGCCCCACCACGTGTGAAGGAGGAGCCCTGGGATGCAACCTGCCCAGAGAGCAGCTTTTAAGTTAATCCAGAGTGTTGGCAGTTTGGGGGGAAGGAGGTTGTAGATGAGTTTTGTCTTTTAGCACCTCATTAAGCATAGATGTTTGTACATTTCTCAAAGTAATGACTTGACCGTTTTCTGCAAGCCTGAAGACCCTGCACTGCCGACGGTATTTGTAAATATAAGCTATCATTACAGCAAGACTCACCACAAAAGCGAGGCGAACTTCCTCCACAGGGTGAGTAGTGTGTGAGTAGCAAGCTAAGTTCACCCTCATACATGCTAAACAGAAAAAAATGAAGTGTGCTACACTCTTGGAGAGGCAGGTCCTGAGTAGAAACAGTTATATTTTCAAGAAACTGAAACATCAAAACCCTCACGCTTCTCAACACTTTAACGTAAATGCCAGCTCGTGGCTAACAGCCACGTCATAACCAAGTGGGCCTGGAACTAACCCGGTGACTTCAACTAAGTGTTTTATTACGCAGATCTCAGACAGGTTCACCCACATTCTTAGGATTTTTATGTGAAATAAGCAATGCTGTTTCCAGAGCCCTGGCCTGAGCGAGTCACCAGAAACCCTTTCTGCAGCAGAGAAAATG
Source organism: Homo sapiens (assembly GCF_000001405.40). Lineage (NCBI taxonomy): Eukaryota > Metazoa > Chordata > Mammalia > Primates > Hominidae > Homo > Homo sapiens. The sequence goes on along the minus strand of NC_000017.11, from coordinate 83,083,762 downwards.
CATCACATATGGTTTGCATTTACCGCTGGTGACTCACACTCTGGGCCCCCAAACCTCACTCTTCATAGGCTGCAGGCCACATCAGAGGGTGGTGTCGAGGGTGCACCCCTCCTCACCCTCTCCCCACCCCGACAAGGCCCCAGGTCACGAGTGGCCAGGCCTAGCCGGCTGCCAGGATCACACACCCAGAACAGACTCACAAATTACAGCCCATAAAGCTCACACAAGCTCATCTAACACGTGTGTGGGCAAGGGCACGATGATCGTGCTGTGTGGAAACTGGACTCGGTGAGTGGCTGATACACTCAGCTACAGTCAGCTCTCTTCTTATGCAGCCTCATCGTCACGTCTCTCCCTCCCGTCTCTGGCATCGAGGCCACTGTCCTCCTGCCCGTGCTCAGGCACCGAGCCTCGACCCTCTCTCCACATACACCGTCCTGACACGTTGCCTCCCTCTCGGGGAGTCCTGAAGGTCGAGGGAGCGGGCTCTGGTCACCTCTGACAGCACTGCCTTCATCTGAGCAGGCGAGGGGAACAGCCACAACTCAGCTGGGGACAGGCGGCCAACCCACCTCTGCCCAGGAGGAGGCCGACTTGAGCCTGGGGGCCGTCCTGGCCTAGCACATGCTACCCGCATCTGGTGGGCACGCCTGGCTCCACCCACTCAGAAGACACTGGGCAAAAAGAGGAAGAGGACAAAATGAAGGTGGACACAGAAGAAAGAAGACACCCGGCTACCCCGGCCTTCACCTGACGTCTTCTCAGCGCACTCAGACGGGTCTGCACCCAGCACAGGGCCTGCTCCCCTCTCCTCTCACATTCTCCCGAAACATCCAGACCAACGGGACTCCAACCAGACCCGCTGACGTAGGGATTTTCACATTAAAATCAGTAGCACATGATGCGCAAGACCCGTGTAGACAAAAAAAGTTAAACGATGCATCCTTCAGCCTGGGACCCAGCAGACCTCGGCACGAAGTCCGAGACTCATGGTCTGTGCTGGTTCCTACCAGAAAATCGAGTGCCTCAAATCTCTCACCTCCAAATATCCAGCACCTCAGCAAACCTGAAAACAGAGTCTGTTTATGCAAAATTGCTGGCATTGCAAAAATGTGACCTATCTTTAATGGTCATGGATGAGGGCATTTTGTGATTTTCACGTGAGATGCAGGTGACACAGTTCTGCTGTGATAAAACTGAAGCGTGCAGACAAAACCGTGGTTCGTTCAACTTTAGGAAACTGACAAGGCTGATCTGATGTTGGATCAACAGACTGAACAGATACACTTTTAAAAGTCAGCAAGGGTTACCACCCAGGTGGACATGCTTGTGGGGCACCTTCATGGAAAGGAGGGCAAATCCCAAGTGGATAAAGGGACTCACTGAAGGGGGGCGCAGGTGCACTGGAGGGTTGTTGAGGCACCAGCCCACACACCACAACTCTGGGTCACCAGGACAAAATGCCCGGCTCCTGTATGAAAGTCAGGAAGGGCTTCGAACCCACTGGCAGGTTAACTTTCCTTTCCCCACCTTGCAGGAGAGACGAACCAGGTGTGACCGCACCTGCGATGCCCGGGCTGACAGCAAGTGGGAAAGTTCATGGTCCACATTTATGAGCACTGGCTGATAAAGACGGGGCGCTGGTCCCGCCTCCCCCCACGGAAGGGAGGTTTCATCATCTCCTACTTAACTGCTTAGAAGAAACACCCAGCAACAGAGGCCGTCGATGCAGTGGCCAGTGTCATGAGGGGCAACTTTCCAGCTATCGGGGGATGAGAATCCACCCAGCACACCAGCGCTCGCTCCACCCTGTGCTTCGTCAGGACAGCTGGTAAAAAGTCACAAACACCGGAGGGTAGCAGGCAGGCCAGCGCACTCCGGTTTCCACAGCGAGTCTCTGTCACTGATTCGTGACGTGTGTGGATCAACGGGGCAGTGACCACAACAAAAGGAAGTCTCACTTACGCCCCAGAAACACAGCCGGGCCCCGTGTCCCCTCCAGATCACACCCGCAGCTCCAGCAGCCCCCACAGCTGCCCTCTGCCAGGCTCTGCAGGTGTGTGTGTGTTGGGGGGGGTCCCCTGTGTGTGTGTGTGGGGGGGTCCCCTCTGGGGAGTCTGAGGCCAGGACTGGCAACGATGGCGAAGAGGGCCTCCAGGTAGACAGGAGGGTGCGCAGGTCCTGGAGGGCAAAGCACTCCTGTCCCGCTGCTGTCACCTGCCTGGAGGAGCCGCCCGCCCCTGGAGGTGGAGGGGTGGCCTCCCCGCCACCCTCGGCTGCCTACCGCGCCCTCCCTTCGGGCTCCGGGAGGCGCCCCCTCCTACCGGGCACACAGTCCCCTGACACCCTGAAAAGGGCGCCGGCCCCTTCTCGACACACTCGGCCTGGGTGGCGGGGGCGGCGTTTCTGGCTTCGGTCTGCTGGAGCGGAACGCCCCGGGCCTCGGTTCGGGGATGCACCGACCCGCCGGGCAGAGGCAGCGAGCCGGGGCTGAATCACTCCGCGGGGGCAGGGGCGGCCCCAGAAGAGCCGTCGGCCTCGGAGGCTCCCGGCGCCGGCGTTCCCGGCCGACCCCCCCCAGACCTCCATCCGCCCGCGGCCCCGCTCGGCCGAGAAGGGAGGCGGCCGCTCCCGGGACAGCCGGGCACCGCCCACGGCCCTCGGGGCGACTCTGCCCCCCAGCGCCACGCCCCTTCCCCCGGGGAGGCTCCGCCGGGGGCGCTGGGGGGCGACTGTGGCTTCGCGGGGACCCGGAACGGAGGCTGCGGCTGCGGGGAGACCTGCGCCCGCCCCGCGGACACCACCCGCCCCGCACCGGCTCTGCCCCGACCTTCTCGGAAAACAGCTTCGCTCGACATCACCGCGTGACTCGGCCCGCGGCGGGGGCGGGGGCGGGGGCGGGGGCCGCGCCGAGGGGAAGCGGGACCCAGGCCCGGGCCAGCCCGGCCACGGCTCTCCGGGAGGCGCGCGTCACTCGGGTCCCCGCGCATCTGCGAACCCCGGAACTGGCGACTGCGAGGCTCGCGCAGGGCGGGTTCGGCCGCGGTGCCCTCGGCGCCCTGGGCTTCGCGTGGGAGCGGCGGCGGCTCCCGAGGGGCAGTCGCGGTCGGCGCCGCTCTCGGCGGCCACGCTTGAGTCAAAAAAAAAAAAAAAAAAAAAAAGTCCTCGGCCGCCACCGCGGGTGGGGGGGGGGGGGGTCGCCCAGCGCAGCGCGCGCCGCGGCCAAGGGCGGCCTGACCTTCACGGGGCAGGGGCGGGGGGCCCGGCCGGAGCCACACTCGGCCCGGCTCACAGGTGCCCGCCCGCGGCTCCCCGAGACGGAAGTGGCCCCCGCTGCGGTCCGCGCCCGATCCCCGAAACCGCCGCTCCCTCCCGCGGCCGTCCCTTCCCGCTCTGGCCCGGGGCGGCCTCGGGGCGCGCAACTCCCGGAGCCTGCCAGGAAGGGCCCGAGGACCGACCCCCGCCTGCCCCCGGGATGGGGTCGCGGGACCGGCGGCCCCCGAGGCTCGGACACGCGCGGAGCCGGGACCCACCCGGCCGCGCTGCAGGCGCGCCTCCCCCGGGCGTCCTCCGGGCCGGGAACCGGGACGCCGCGGGCTCTTTTGTTCTAGAACCGGGGGCGGGGGACAGCGGGCACCGGACTGGGCCTGGAGAGCGGCCCCCGGAGCCCCTGCCCCGCGCCCGCCCCCGGCCGCGCCCCCGCACGCTCGGCCGGCCCGGGACGGGAGGGGACGCGAGGGGAGGGGGCCGGGCCGGGGTCGCGCCGCGCACACTCACCTCCCCTTCCAGCTGCACCGGTCGCTGGAGTACTGCGCGCCCGCGCCGCCCAGCAGCCCGGCCAGGAGCAGGAGCAGCAGCGGGAGCGGCGGCGGGGGCGGGCCCGGGGCGGGGGGTCGCGGCCACGGCTGCCCCGCGCGCCCCCAGGCCGCCCGCGCCGCGCCCCGCATGCTCTGGCGCCGGCTCCGCCGCCCGGCCCCGCGTCCGCGACCCCCGGAGCAGACCCCGGAGCCGGCGAGCCGGGCGGGGGCGGGGCGGGCTTCGAGTCCGGGTGGTCACGTCGCGCGCCCCCCGCGTCCTCCGCGCGGCCGCCCGCCCATCCCGGCCCGCTGGAGCCGCGCGCAGAGCTCCGCGCCCGCCGCCGCCGCCGAGCCTCTGAAGTTGGCGAGTCCGAGTCCGCCCGGCCGGGCTCAGCTGGGGGGTGGGGCCCACCCGCCGCCCCGCCCCGCCCCCGACCCCGCCCCCGACCCCGCCCCGCGCCGGAAACTCCTCCCGGGGCGCCCGGCCGGACGCGCAGACACCGAGTCAGCAGCGAATCGGGGGCGCGGGCGCCGGGGCGGGGGGCGCTGCAGGAGGAGGGGGCCGCGCCGGGCGGCGAGCGGGGTCCGGAGGGAAGAGCCCGGCCTGGAAAGCGGAGTCCGGGGCCGGAGGGGTTGCAAGGCGAGGGCGGGGCGGAAACCCGAGACCCCCAAGTAGTGGCCGACGCGAGCCGCGGTCGCCCCCCGCAGACCCCCGCGAGGCGGTGCCGGGGCCGCATCCTGCGCCCCATCCTGCGCCCCATCCTGCGGGCAGCCCCGGCGCGGAGCGGTAAAGGAGGCTCCCGGCCCCGCCGGTTCTGGGTCCCCCGCGCCTCGCCAGCGGGCGGTGATCAGGGGCGATCCGGGCGCCCCGCGTTCCGCAGAGTTGGTGCCTCGGGAGTTCCCGGCTCCCTCCTGACCGGGGGGGAGGCCCGGCGGTGAGCCCGGCTTCCCTCCCTCCTCCCGGAGGACGTGCAGCCGCCGCGCCGGGGCCTCTGCCGAGCGCTGCCCACTCCTCGCTCCGGATACGCGGGGCCGGGTGGTTCTTGGGGTGGGGACGTCCTGCGCATGGTGGGATGTTGGCAGCACCCTGGCCCCCGCACTCTGGGTATCAGTAGCAACCCCCGCCCCAGCTTTGACAACCTAAACTCTCTGCAGATTTGGCCAAATCCCGCCCCCACCCCGTGCCCGCGGGGCAGAATCACCTGCGGAGCGTCCTGCTCGAGTGTGTTCCTCGGAGTCGGCGCCTTCCCCAGGTGGTCACCGCGGCCACCACGTGCCTGACCCAGTGGGGGGGACAGCGGAGACCCCCGCCCGGACTGGGGAGGCCCTAGAGACTCAGGCCAGAGAAGGGGAGCCAGAGGGTGCCGAGGGCCCCCCAGGCAGGAGAGGGCGGAGCTGGCCCGCCCGGCGGTCCCCGCTGCGATGGCAAAGCTGGCTTCTGTGTGCTGCGGGTCAGTGGCCCTGCCCGAGACGCCTGGTGTCAGTTCCAGAGCCGAGCGCAGCATCCAGCGGTGGGGAAGCTTGGCCTTGTCCCCTTTTCCAGCCAAGATACCTTCCAGGAGGACTTGCGAACGACCTGTGCAAGTCTGAATAACTGGGTTGTGACTACCAGAGGAGGCGGGGAGAGGGCTTTGAAAATTGTGAGTCTGCAGGGACGGAAGTCACCGGCAAAGGCAGGTGGAGCCCAGCCCCCAGCCCAGGAAAGCTGGGACAAGGGTGAGGGTCTGAAGAACTGGAAGGCGATGACAGTGACCACTGAAGGTAGTTTCATTGTAAGGATCTGTTCAGAGCACCCACCCCATCGAAAGCCTGGAGCCAGGACCTTGCCCAGCACATCAAGTGACATCACCCTGAGGCTCAAGGTCTGGTGGAGGTGCATTTCGGAGCTTGGAGACTGCCCCACCCACCCCCGTCTGCTCTAGGAGTGCACCTCCCCCCACCCCCATCACTGCAGGTACCAGGGTGCCCAGTGGAAAGGGACCTGCTGTGGAAAGGGACCTGCTGTGGAAAGGGACCTGCGGCTTCACACCTGTGCGCAGCAACTGCTTTCCATGCCCACCAAGCATAAGATAGCAGCCCCCCCAGGCCCGGTCCACCCTTGAAGGGCCACATGGCCTATCAGGGTCCAGATCATCACACCACGGAAGAGGCAGGGCAGTGCTGGGATCTCTTGAGTTATAGATGCGGACATGGGGAACTCAGGACCTGCCGTGACCTGCTCAGGGTCTCAGAGCCCCTGGTGGCTGCTAGACCGAAGGGGAGAGGCCGCCTCTGGTCAGCAGGCAGCTGGTTCCAGCCTAGGCTGGGGCAGAGATCTGCCACCTGGCAGGATGCCCAGCCTCCTGTGCCCAGCGGGCTGTCCTAAGACTGGGATCGTACGATGGTGAGTATGGGACCCACGTGTACTTTTCAAAACCCGTAGAAAATACAGCACAAGAGTGAATCCTGATGGAGGCTTGAGACATTTGTAATAATAACGGATCAATATTGGTTCTTTGACTGTCACACGCCTACACCCTAATGAGAGAAGGTAATCATAAGAGAAACTGGGTCAGGGAGAGGGTGTGTGGGGGACCTCTACCATCTGCTTGGTGTTTCTGTAAACCTAAAACATTAAGTCTGCTAATTAAAACAAAACAAAACTAGAGTAAGAATGCTTGCTGGCCAGTATTCTCGGAAGAAGCTAATCTGTCTTGGGAAAGGAGCCTGGCCCTTTCCACCCTGGGGCTGTGGTTCCCCAAGCTGTTCCCTTGAGGAGGTTCATGCCCCAGAGACATTGGGTGCTCCTGGGCACCTCTGCTGACCCCTGTCCTGGCCCAGCGAGGCCACCTACAGGTGAGACGTCCCCTGTAGACGGGGTTCCTGGTGTCAGGAGGTATCAGGCTCCTAGAGGATGCAGGCTGAGGTGGTCAAGGCTGTCTGGGGGTGTTCCCAGCCACTGGTACACTGCCCCTTGTACCACCAGACCCCGAGAGGCCGATTATGAACCAAAAGGATCCCAGCTGGTCATGGTGTGTGGCCCTCCCCCTGGTCCTCTGGGAGGGTCTGCAAGGAAAGGGCCTTGGGTGTGTTTGTCCCTGGATGTCTGGGAAGGGACTGCTTCCCAGTGAGCATGTCACGGGGTTAGACCCAGGAAGGGGCCACAGCATCATCCCACCCACCCACTCGTGGGAAGGAGCTGGTCTTCGCAGCTTTGCGTGAAGCTCTGATACTTCCTACCTGAGTCGGAACGTTGAGGCTGAGCCGTGGAATCGGAGAGCTCCAGAACCCACCAGGATCACGCCTGCCCATTCCCTCTACCGGCGGGCCCTGCAGTGATGCTTCTGCATCCTGGGAGATGGCAGCTAAGGGACCTGGGCCAGGGGGGCCTGTGGCCCAACCGTAGGTCTACATCAACCCTCTCTCTTTCCTCATCTATCCATTCCCTCGAGAAACAGCTCTCAGAAGCCTCCTGGGCAGACGTCCGTGAAAAAAATTCTGGGTGCACCCTGGACAGTCCTTCTGTGCCTCACCAGGGTCTGAGGCCTCAGAAAGCAGGACGTGGCCTCCCATGTCCGAGGACCACGACCCACTGTTAGGATCGAGTGACCTCGGCAGGGTCACCTCTGTGTATTTGACCCGGGAGTTTTTATCGCGTGCATTGCAGGGACCCAGCACCTGGGAATTTGCTGGGGTGGAGGGCTGTGGGACTGGACCCCTTTCTCGGCCTTTCCTATGCCGGGTGCCTACAGGCCCTGTGGGGTGGTGGACGGACCTGGCTCGGACGTCAGCCCCCAGCTCTGGGTCACAGACATGGTGGGGTTGGAGTCTGTTTCTGAGCCTCAGTTACCTGCAAAGTGGATCTGTTCTTGATTCCCAGGGCGTCGTAGGGTTTACGATGTCAGGATTCAACGCCACGTCCCCAGGTGGGGGCTGATTCTCACCTGTTCAAGGCACCACCGGGCTGTCATCAGGCCTTGGGGCCCTCATGGGGCTGGGTGGGGGGAACCCCTCCCGCCGTGCTCCCCACAGCTGCGAGTTCTCTGAGCCACTGGCACAACCCGGTGGACTTTACTGCTTTTATTTTTGGCCCAGTCTTGAGGTTTTCAAATGTGTGTTGACGGCCAATGTGCTGCCCAAGATGACCAGTCACCTGAATCCACTCACTAAAGAAACAGCTCCTCCCAGAGTAGCTGGATTCCTCCAGAAAAACATCACACGGTTTCCCCAAGCGCGTCCATGAAATTTTCTCTTTCAGCATTTGAAAAATACTGAAGAACGTCGCAGTCTGTCGTTCACGTGAGCACAGTTCATCCCACGGCCCCGCCCAACCACCACCTCCCAAGTCATTTGCCACCCGTTTCCCTCCCAGGCCATTTTCGCCAACCTTCTCGTAATTATCGTAATTGTGGTTGAATGATACATGGAGAGCCTGTGCTTGTAACTCAACTTCAATGAGCAACGTGTAATTACTACACGAAACAGCCACGGATGCCAGCCAGCCTCCACCTGATGACCTTCAGTGTGTCATTCTTCCCTAACCCCCTCCTTAACCTAATTTGCTGCCATGTGCTGCTCTCTGTGCGTCAGAGAAAAGTGGGAGTAGGGAGTTTCCTTGAGTCAGATACAAGTCCAGGCCGATGCTGGCCGGCTATGTGACCTTGGGTGGTGCTTGCCCCCAGGTTGGCCAGGTGGAGAGAGGCCACCAGCCGCCAGCTCGGCAGTGAGAGACAGTTCTGTGTGGCACGCTGGCCCCACACCGTCCTAGCAGTTGTTTGTAGCAGCTGTTCATGGCAGCATCTCACCCTCCGCCCGGCCATGAACCGACCATGGCCCCAGGGCTGGTGAGCTGTAGTGACTCTGCCATCTCGGGCACTCAGACCCCACAGGGAAGGAGGGTCCTCGGCCTCCGCGGGGTGGTGTCAGGAGGGGCCATCTACAGTACACGGTGGATTTGTACACAGAGGTGGACGTCTGCGTGGACCCTGACCACGGCCGGTCAGATGTGCTCAGGGGCAGGACCGTGAGCCCAGTGATGACGTGCTAAGGTCCGGCCGGCCGGCCACACACAGCAGGTCTGCGGTCACCCAGGACGTCAGCCGAGGGCCTCAGCCCACTCGTTCTGGAGGACGCTCACGGCAGAAACGCCTCGGAAGGAGCCGGTATCCCCACGGCCTGCGGGGAGAGGGAGTGTCCCATATGCCAACTACCGAAGGCCTGAAACTCACAAACGTTGAAGGCCAGTGTGCAGGGCACCCACGCATCCCCCGGCTGCGGCCGAGGGCTGTTCCTCTGTTTTGGCATTTCCCCTGAGCCACGTGGGAGCTGCAGAGGTTGTGACCCTTTGGCCCTAATCATGGGAGCAGGAGTCACCCCTCAACGGGGACAACGTATGGTGCCATCCAGCGCCGTCGGCACACCCAGCTTGCCGTGTGGAGACGGTGCCCCTCCATAGAGTAAATGCACGCCGCCTTGTTCCCCGTGGGCCCCACACTTGACTGCTCATCACCGGGCTGGGCCCCCTCTGACAGGCTGGGCAGGGCACAGGGTGGTCCCTCCCAGGGTTCACTGGTTGGCATCAGAGACCAGAGCCCCGCTCCGTGGCCCTCCTGGCAGCCCGCCCCACTGGCATCTGAATTCTGGAAGGCACCTCTCCCAGGGCCACCTTGGCCACCCTCTAGAATAAACAGAAAGAGGGGGCTCTGCTGCCTGGGGCTCCTCGTGGGCTCAGATCGGTCGGCGTGTCTCACTGAACAGTTTGGGCTCCTTTTTTCTTGCAAGTTTATAATCGAAACGAAGAGCTTTTTTTCTCTGCTTCTGTGGCCTTTGGTTTCATGCTACAGGAAGGCATCTCCCAGACCCCAGTGGGGCCTGCCGACAGCGGAGGCACGTGGGGGTGTGCGAGGGGCTGTGCCCTGTTCTTGCTGTGCCCCTCTGCCCCTGGCACCACCCCGAAGGAGGCAAGGCCTTGTCAACATCTGTTAAGCCGGGAACCGGGGACCGCCCAGGGTCAGATGGGCTGGAGTAGCCACACTGCAGGAAGCTGAGGGCAGACAGAGCTCTCTCCTCCCATACCCCACTGGGCTGGGTGTCCCGGGGAGGGTGGACGTCCAGATGCTGGGGCACCTAACCTGGACCGGGCTGGGCAGCTGCCCAGCGCGTGGGGAAGGGCGGGACCGTGGTCGGCGCAGTCACCACCAGGACCTGCCCCGCCGGGCGGGGTTCTGCCTCCTCCTCCAGTCCACAGGGCGAGTCTCCACGGACAGCCCCAGGGACAGGCCCTCCCCACATCGACGCTGCGCCTGGATGACTCAGCCCAGGCAGGCGGGGGTGGCGGTAGACACCCTCACCAGGAGCCTGTCCAGTGGGGCCCTCCCATGCAGGTAATTAGCCCGGCTGTCCTGCCCCTGAAAAGAGGCCGGGTAGCCCAGAGCTGCCCCCAGCTGGAGGGGCTGAGAGCTCTGGCTGTGGAGCGTGCGTGGGATGCGGGGGCGCTGGAGGCACAGGGCAGCTGTCTCACATGTCCGTCCCTTTCTGCCCACGCTGAGATAGTGAAGAAGGCCTTGACAGCCATTTGGACAGACGGTCCCACCCAGAACGAGGAGAAGCAGGCGACACCCAGCTCAGCGGACAGTGGGCAGGCACACTGGCAGGCAGGGTCAGGGGATCTGTCTCCCGAGTCACCTGTGTGCCAAGACACCCCACTGCGTCCCCAGGCTCCAGGGTTTGGGGAAGGGTGTCGGTGGGGCTGGGCGTGCAGGGAGCGTCCGGGGGCCAGGTCACGTGGACTTGGCCGATCTTGGAGAGAGAACTGGACCCCCACAGTGTCGAGTAGATAGGGGCCCAGCGGGGTGGGGCCCGAGCAAGTGAAGGCGGGGGTGGGGCAGGGCCTGGGTGTGCCTCCCCAAATCCAGCCAAGCTGGAGTGCACAGGGTCACCCAGGGATGCTGGCTTCACGCTCTTCCTCCAGCCATGCCTGCCTGGACTCGGCGGAGGAAACACTCCCTCCAGAAGCCCCTCCAGGCAGGCAGGAGCGAGGCCAGCTGGTGGGCTTTCTCCTCGGGAGTGGAGGGGTCCCTCCCGTCCACACGGCAGGTGCTGAGCACCCTACCCCAACCCTGCCTGCTGCAACGTGCGGGCCCAGCCTTGGCGCCAGCTGTCCCAACAGGGACCTGAGGACCCATGTGCCTTCTCCTGGAGAGGTGGCCAGGCCTGTGCCGGGGCTCCACTCTACTCCCAGTGGTGCCAGGAGGTCCCTGCAGCCCCAATGCCAGAGCTGTGCCTCCGCTGAAGCTTGCGGAAGTGAGACGGCCCAGAGGGACCCGCTGTCCAGACCCAGGATGGTGGACTGTGCGTCCTGGGCCTCAGTTCAGGCTCATGAAAGATGACTGAGCCCCCTCCGCCCCCGCCCCACACCCTCCAGCCCCCACACCCCACCATGCCCCGCACCGCACCAGCTCCCCGCATAGATGCTCCTCCTTGTCAGCCTGGGCCAGAGCCAGACAGGACCCACAGAGGCAGGGACCCCTCCCCAAATCCTAGCTGGCAGTTTCAGTCTTTAAGCACTGTCTGGGGGGTTGTCAGTGTTGGTGGGGTGCACTCCTGTAGGGCTGCCTGGAAGAGGTGACCTACATGCGTGCACAACTGTTCAAGCAAGGGTGAGGAAAAGGAGCAGCTGGCACTGTGCACTGTGTGGGGGTGCAAGGAGACCCAACCCAGCAGGAGTCAGGGCAGGAGGCTGGGGGCAGCCTGACCCCACGTGGAAGAGCTTGGGGTCATGAGGCTGCTGTCACCAGGCTCACAAGGGACTCCAGTGAGAGAGTAAAGCGATGAGGTCACGTGAACTGAAGAAACAAAACCACAGATCTTTATATGCAGTGTGGCAACAGTGACAGGAGCCAGGGGAAGTCTCCCCTCGACTCCACGGTGGAATTTTAATCGTCCCCAATTTTTCTACAATGACTAGGTATTGCTATTATGATGAGAAAACAAATTATTTAAAAAGGAAAAAAAAGAAAAAAGGAAGGAGGAAGGGAGGGAGGAAAGATGGAGGGAAGAAGAGAGGGAAGGAGACAGAGAGAGAGATTGTTATGAATGATGGGGGGGGACACAGTTTACCCAGAAAACAACTGCAGCCTCATGGGGCCTCTCAGGGGGCCAGGCCCAGGGCGTGGCTGATAGGGAGGTGGGCCGAGGGGCACTGGGAGCCCATGCTGGGCTTAGTGAGGTGGTGCAGGTTGGCTCGAGGAGTGCCCACTGCTAAACTGCGTGACTTGGTGGCGATCAACCCTCCAGCTCCCCATCTGAGAGCGACTTCATGGTGCCAACCCCACAGAGTCGTGGGCAGGTTCATGGCCCAGCTCAGTGGGAGGGAAGCTCCAGCTTCCTATGTACTTTGGAGCATGGGCCTCCCATTCCGGCCTCCCCACTCCCTGCCTCGACCTCAGCAGCCCTGTCCCCGTCCCCTCACAGCAGTGGCTGCAGCCACCAGGATCTGCCCCTTCCTCACCACCCTCTGGCTCTGTTCTACCCTCCGGAGCATGAAGGGCCGTGGGGCGCCTGGTGTCTGCGTCCTGTCCAGAACATGTTGGTGGACAGCACCTTCCCCCCCAGCCCTCCTGACTCTGAGAAGCCTCCTGCCTGCCAGCCTTTTGCGTGTCACAGAGAAAACAAGGTGAAGAAGATGATTATTTGAGTCTAGAGAGCTAATTAAAATGTTTAAAAACATACTTTTTAAGTACAAAAGTGAATATGCTTATTGACAAAGTCTGTTGTTCGGGGTTTCTGAGAGAAAAAAGAAAAGAGGGATTTCCCCTTTGACTTCCTGGCCCTGTCCAAGGGCTGGTACAGGCTCCCTGAGACTCCCTGGGCGTCGTGTGTGCACGTGTGTATGTGCATGCGTGCTCGAGTGTGCATTGTGTGTGTGCGCTCATGTGTATGTGTGCATGCCTGTGTGCACGTGTGCGTGTGCTCGAGTGTGCATTGTGAGCGTGTGCGTGCTCATGTGTATGTGTGCATGCCTGTGTGCACGTGTGTGCGCTCGAGTGTGCATTGTGTGTGTGTGCTCATGTGTATGTGTGCATGCCTCTGAGCATGTGTGCATGTGTGTAGAGCCCTGCATGGGATTTGGCCCACAGTGGTTCCATTTTGACTCTAATTTCCAGCAAAAACTCTGCAGAGCTCTGGTCAGCAGCCGCGACTCTGGCGCCAGTGCCTGTGGGGCAGGATCTGGATTTCAAACTCAATTTCAAAAAACAAACCATAGCTGAGTCCACTACAAGGCAACAGGAAAATAATGAGTGGCAGAGTGGGGGCTGGGGGGCATGACTTTATTTTTCGTGGTCCAGTGGTCGCCTGGGCGATGCCGGCCTTGGAGGGCGCGGAGGAGAAAGGCCTAAGAGTGTGTTGATGTCAACAGGAAGCGCTTTTGTGGGCGTCTTTGGGCATCGTCTGTTCTCACTGCTTTCAAGTCCAGTGAGGGGCAGGCAGAGCGGCTGCCAGCTCCCTGAGTGACCAGCATCTGAATGTCCCCAGGCTGCTTGCTGGGCCACCTCCCAGCCCTGCCCACCCCGTGGTCCCCTCCTGACCCTTTCTAGGTGTCTCAGGCCCCCAAGGCCCCACAGCCTCCCCCCCTGCGAATGAGGAGTCATCAGCACAGCTCAGCAGGGACCCTGAGAGGCCAGAGGCCAAGCCGCCGCTCAAAGTGGAGGTCAGGCCCGCGCTGACCGGCTGGGCTGGGGGGAGCCGTCCCTGTCCCGTCCACTCCCCGCGCCCCGTCCGCCAGAAGCCTCCGCAGTGGGGCAGTCCCAGCCCGTGCCCCTGACCACAGCCCTGAGGCAGACTGTCCCGGCCACCTTTGGGCCCAGCACGCTCCCTCCCAGCCCTGCACACACGGGGGCTGTGAGCTTGTGCACCAGCAAAGGCTGTCATGCAGCAGTGGGGACCCGGAAGGATCAGGGCTGGAGCGTCCTCACGGGAGGCATCCCACGTGGCTCACCTCGGCACTGGGTGTCTGCCTCTCACATCCTGCGGCTCCCACCACATGGGCCCCGTCCACTTCAGGGTAGACCCCTCCTGGCAGGTTCTGTGCCCACAGCCTGACAACTACAGGGGCAACTACAGCCCCTGACCCTCCTTCCCTGGCTTGGAAGAGGGATGAGAAGCCGCTGGACAAAGGGGCATGACAGGCATATGTGAGCGTGTATGAGCGTGTGGGAGCATGTGGAAGCATGTGGGAGCATGTATGAGCATGTGGGAGCATGTGTGTGCATGTGGGAGCATGTATGAGCGTGTGGGAGCGTGTGTGCGCATGTGGGAGCGTGTGGGAGCATGTGGAAGTGTGTGGGAGCATGTGGAAGCGTGTGGGAGACCCAGCAGGTTGGGGAAGGACTGGCCCTTGTCCCAGCTCTGGCACCCATGTTAGCTTTTGGTGAGGGACACAGTTTCTAGCACCTTCTGAGAAAGGACCTGTTTGAGAACAGCCAGACCCTGCCAGCCCCCACCCGGCCCAGCCCGGCTCTCAGAGAGGATGGGGTGGGACCCCATGTTCAGCGCTGGCCACCTTCGGGCTGCTCCGACAGCATGGGGTGGTGGGCACAGAGCCCTGCCCGTGGGGGTTGACACCTGACCCAGTCACCCTCGTCATGGGGCTGACGACGGCACCCATCCCGGGCACCCCTAGGAGCACAGGGGTCAGGCCTGTGTGCGGACCTGCCAAGTTCTCTGGGTTTCATTTTGTCCCCACCCCGCTGCATTCTCTCTACTTGTGCACACGTGATTTCCACAAATGATAAGCAGCCTCAACCATTTCCTGAAAAATTGGGGTTTTAGGTGAACCTCGGGGATGTTTTTCTACTGAAAAAGGTGAAATTAGGGAGATGCCTCCTCTAGGTCCGGAGGGGGACTCTGGCAGGGCGGCCGCCAGCCCTGCCTCTTGGGGTCACCGCGGGAAGGTGCTGGGTCCTGCTGTCCTCACATGCAGATGCGATTTCCACCACGGCAGCCCCCACGGCTGGGCTTACTGGGCCCGCGTGCCATGGGGGGAGCACCCGAGTTCCAACCTGCAACCCCCACGGATCCCACCCTGGGAGGACACCCCCATTGTCGCCCCCGCTGTCGCCTCCCGGGACCCCCGCTGCCGCCCCCCGCTGTCGCCTCCCGGGACCCCCATTGTCGCCCCCGCTGTCGCCTCCCGGGACCCCCGTTGTCGCCCCCCGCTGTCGCCTCCCGGGACCCCCATTGTCGCCCCCCGCTGTCGCCTCCCGGGACCCCCATTGTCGCCCCCCGCTGTCGCCTCCCGGGACCCCCGCTGCCGCCCCCGCTGTCGCCTCCCGGGACCCCCGCTGTCGCCCCCGCTGTCGCCTCCCGGGACCCCCGTTGTCACCGCCGCTGTCGCCTCCCGGGACCCCCGTTGTCACCCCCGCTGTCGCCTCCCGGGACCCCCGTTGCCGCCCCCGCTGTCGCCTCCCGGGACCCCCGTTGTCACCGCCGCTGTCGCCTCCCGGGACCCCCGTTGTCACCCCCGCTGTCGCCTCCCGGGACCCCCGTTGCCGCCCCCGCTGTCGCCTCCCGGGACCCCCGTTGTCACCGCCGCTGTCGCCTCCCGGGACCCCCGTTGTCACCGCCGCTGTCGCCTCCCGGGACCCCCGTTGCCGCCCCCGCTGTCGCCTCCCGGGACCCCCGTTGTCACCGCCGCTGTCGCCTCCCGGGACCCCCGTTGTCACCCCCGCTGTCGCCTCCCGGGACCCCCGCTGCCGCCCCCGCTGTCGCCTCCCGGGACCCCCGCTGCCGCCCCCCGCTGTCGCCTCCCGGGACCCCCGCTGTCGCCCCCGCTGTCGCCTCCTGCAGGTGGGATTTCGGGAGGTTCTTGGGTCATTCTCATCCCCGTGGAGGCTCAGGCTTCATTCCTTTAGCGAAACCTCATGTGTTTCCCGCACTTCCAAAAACGTCCAGCTGGAAGCCCTGAACTTCAGAAAGCAAAAGCAACTGAGTTTTCCCTGCACAGCCTGTGGCTCTCCCGGCCGGAAAGCACTTGTGTCACCCAAATGCCTGGGTCCTGGGCTGACCGTCCTAGTCTTTTGGAATCTAAGCTGAGCTGACTTAACCTAAATCCCTCCTTCCCAGAAGGGCTAAAGTGATCCTTTTCGTAGCTCCGCTAAGAGGCCTTTATCTGTGGCCCGGCTCATCCCAGAGGGGACGGGAGGGGTTGAGGTGAATGCCTGCAGGGTAACAAGATAAAGCACAGTGTAAGATGAGTGTGACACAAGGGGACAGGTCAGGCCCGGTCAGTGTGACACGAGGGGACAGGTCAGGCCCGGTCAGTGTTGCCACAGGGGCCACGAGGGGGGGCTTCAGGTGGGTTCCCCAGGACCCCCAGGACTCCGCACCTAGGCCAGAGCTCCGGACGGCCAGCAAAGCCAGCGAGACCTGATGCCTCAGGGCCTGCAGTGTCCAGTGCATGGAAATGGCCTTGGGAGGAGAGGCGGGTCCCGAGAGAACCCCAGGCTCTCCCCCAGGCGCAGGCACCCACACCACCTGGGCAGGCGAGGCCGAGCCTCCCCCCGCAGTTCCTCAGGACCTTCCTCTTGCCAACAGGAGCCCAGCGTGGAATCCCGCAAAGGAAACAGACAATGGGTCCGTGTCCACACCATGGCCACCAGAGCGCAGGTGTCACCTCCCCTTGAAACCCACAGCTGGTATCTTCACCATCGCCTCCTTCACAGGCAGAAAACAGACGCGGAGAGGCCAGCTCTCTCCCGGAGGCCGCGCGGCAGACAGGGGGCCGGATCCTACCCAGCGGGTCTCTCGGGTCCCTAGGGGGTAGTCCCCAGGCACCCAGACCTGCCTTGAGAAGAGTGTCTGTCTTGCCACAGCCTTCCCTGAGAGGCCCTGCGTGGCCCCAGGTAAGAACATGCACCGTCCCTCCAGGACTCAGGGTGAGGGTGCAGAGGGCGGGCAGCCGTGCCCAGGGTGAAGCCGTGGCCCCGGGTGAGAACACGCACTGTCCCTCCAGGACTCAGGGTGAGGGTGCAGAGGGCGGGCAGCCGTGCCCAGGGTGAAGCTGTGGCCCCGGGTGAGAACACGCACTGTCCCTCCAGGACGCACAGTGAGTGTGCAGGGGGCGGGCAGCCGTGCCCAGGGTGAAGCCGTGGCCCCGGGTGAGAACACGCACTGTCCCTCCAGGACTCAGGGTGAGGGTGCAGAGGGCGGGCAGCCGTGCCCAGGGTGAAGCCGTGGCCCCGGGTGAGAACACGCACTGTCCCTCCAGGACGCACAGTGAGTGTGCAGGGGGCGGGCAGCCGCGCCCATGGTGAAGCCCGGTGAGGCAGCCTGAGGCTGAGAAACACAGTTTCTTATGACAAAAGAAATTCACTTTCATGACAGAAAATGCGGATGAACACAGAGAACGACGTAAGAGTATCCTGAAACCTGCAGGAGGTAACAGCAGGGGTGGCATTTGGGGTGTCCTCCAGGGCGCAGGACTCTTGAGGGGATGGCTGGCTCGGACCCGGGGTGCTCCTCCAGCCGGACACGGGCCCAGGAAGCCCGCACTGTGGGGCTGAGTGGAAACTGCATCTGCGTGGCGGGCACGGCACGGTGTCTGCGATCTGGAGCTCTTCAGGGAAGGCCAGCCTGCGGCGGCGATGACGATGACAGATGGCGAGGGTCCGAGAGCCTCGTTACCCCACAGTGACCCGAGACGTTCGGGACCAGGAAACTTCCCGAAGGTCGGCCAACCCGAAAGTGGCCAGGGCCTCCAGGCACCAGGTAACAGAATAAGAAATATACATTTGGCCTCTGCCCTGGTTCCCCACACCAGCTCCGAAATCGCTTGGTATTTCCTGGGTGCTAGGAGCGTTTTTTTGTTCAAGGAGGTGACTCTTGGGGGCCCCTAGACAGCTTCAGGATGGGGTACGCTCACCGGGAAGACCAAACATCAATTAGAAGCTTGGAACTTTCAGTCCCACCGGCCTCCAGGGAGGGGAGAAGGGCTGAGATTGAATAACGATCCATTGGTCATGCCTGCCGGCTTCCATTAAACCCTTTAACAGATAGAATCCGGGAGCTTCTGGACTGGGGAACGCATGGGAGTGTGGGGGGTGGACAGAAACTCCTGCACTTGGGTCCTTCCTGGACCCCGCCCTGTGCACCTTGTTATCTGGTTGTCCATCTGTATCCTTTATTACATCTTTTATAGTGAATCAGTGAACGTAAATGAGTTTTTCCCTGAGTCCTGTGAGACTTAGAGCAAATTATCAAGCCTGGGGAGGAGTCGTGGCAACCCCCAACTTTGTAGCCAAGTCAGACGGAGGCGTGTGAACCCTGGGCACCCGATACTTGGGACGGTCGCCTGCAGAGGGGCAGCTTGTGGGACGGAGCCCCAGCCTGCGGGGTCTGCGCTACCTGCAGGTAGTGTGAGAGTCGAACTGAATCGTGGGACACCCCGTTGGTGTCCACTGAGAACTGGAAAGTTGCTTGGTGTGAAAATCCCGCACATTTGGTGCAAAGTGTTTAGAGTGTAGAGAAACAGATGTGTTCCGTTTCAGCCTGGGTGACCAGCCGGGGCCCTGGATGGTCTTGTCTGCCCAGCCCCCAACCTTTTCTTCCCCTGTCTGTGGGGCTGGGATGGAGCTGCTGATAAAGCCGGCTGTGCCCAGGCCCAGGCTGCGGGCTGCACGCTCCTCCTGGGGCTCCGTGACCGACGCGCAGGGCATGCTGGGGACTGAGCGCTTCTTGGGACTCAGAACCCTCCCTGCTAACATCAGGAAAGTCCCAGGCCGACTGGGATGAGTTGATCAACATCGGTTCTGAGTTCCAGGCCAACTGGGATGAGTTGATCAACACTGGTTCTGCTGAAGCTGGAGGGAGTTCACCCTCCGACCTTTGGGGTCACCAGGTTGGCAGGAAGCTCAGTTGCTCCTGGCCGCTGTCCGGGCCTCCGGGGGAGGGAGACCCATGCCCCCTCAGAGGGGCGTCACAGGCAGAGGCTGGGGCTTTGTTCCTGACAGCGGCACCTATGTCCTGTCCACCTTCCTGTGACACGGGCAACCAGCCAACCTGCCTGACTTCAAACCAGTGCAAACCAGTTCAGCCAGGAATCCTGACTCACACACCCTCCAAATTCACGTGTCGGGAAGACGCCAGCCCCGAGTCTGATGACCAGATTTAGCCCAGAACGTTCTGTGAGGCTCCCTCTGACCGAGTCCCCCGCAGGCGCTTTCATTTGCCACCTGGGGGGTCCAGCACCCACCTGCACCCTGTACCTGGTGTCGTCCTGCTGGCATCAGCATTTCCAAGGTGAGCTAGAACTGGTTAAAATATCAGCATGTGGCCCTGAGAACAAGGCCTTTGCCGCCAGCTGACTTTTCTCTCTGGACGCCTGGGCGAGGGCCTAGTGGTATCCTTGTGTCTGACATCAGGGCACGGCTGCAACGGTTGTCCCCCAAGCTGCCCCCTGAATCCCCCATGGATCTCCCAGCCTCCGATCCCTCCCTCTGGGCATTTGCACTATTCAGGGGTGCAGATATTAAACAGAAGGGAAAGTAGGCTAAGTCCCATATGACCTGTATGACAAGCGGGCTAGGACCTGACCCACCTGTGCTGACCTGCGGGCCCCTCACCTGCGGTCCGCTTGGTGCCCTCCAGCTCCCCAGGCCTGGACCTGGCTGCAGAGGCAGCTGCCCTGGGGACAGATGGTGCAGGGGCTGCAGGGCTGGGGGCTGTGGTGGGGAGCACCTCCCTCCACAGGTGGGCCACTCCCAGGGTGAACAGGGATCCAGGTCTGAGGCCAGGCCTGGATGGACGGCAGCCAGGAGCTTCTCAAAGGCACCAGCGGCACGGCCGGCACCTCTCTCAGCTCCGGAGCTCTCTTAAGTTCACAGCCTTAATAGAATTCCACCCATTTGTCCAGGGGGACAACGGGGCTTGGGAAGGAGTGAGAGAACAGCTCCCGCTGAGCCCCAGCCAGGTGCCGGCAGGACAGCGTGAGCCGGAGTTACAGATGGTCAGTTCCAAGAGAAGCCCGAAATCCAAATGTGGATTTTTGTGGAATTACCTGACATTTCGATCACTCTGCAGCCCCCACAGGCATCCGGGGATGCGGGGAGGGGGCGTGGTTGGTTTGCAGCCCCGCCTTGACCATAGAACAGGACAATGGAAACTCTGGGAGGGCCTGAATATTACCTGACTTCACAGATCAAAATGACCAGATAATCCAAACCAGCAGTGTACACCTGGCGTTTGGCAATTCCACACCCACCTGTGAAATTCACTTAAGCATTTTGGAAAGTTTGAGTTACTTCAGTAATAGAATCCGTATCTAACTAGATGTAGGTGTAAGCGCAGTCGTAATGTTTGCTGCAGGGGCCTATTCGCTGGCACTGTCTCAGGCGCTCCTCCTTCGGTCCGTCAGCAGTTCCTGGGCACCAAGCTGTGCTGGCCGCCGCCCTGCACGGTGCACAGCAAAGCTACGCAGCCATGGCGCTCCTTCCAGAACCAACCAAATAAACAGCAGGACTTTAGGGGCCAGGGTGAGGGGGAGAGCAGGGAGGGAGACCTCCCTGTGTGGGGTCTCTGTGCTGTGTGGCCCTGGGGCATGTGCTAACAGGGCTGGGACTGCCCGGACACGCAGCCTGCCCTGGAGTCTACGCCTGCCGTCCCTCCTTGCGGGTGTGAAGAGGCTGAGGCCTTGCTTCTCAAGGAGCTTGGTCGGAGACCCTCCCACACCCCATCCTAAGGAAACTTCTCCCTCCTCAAGCTGCTGCTTGGGATGTTCCCAGCTGCCTCATCCTGGCGCCGCGGCAGTAACCGGCTCACGTGATCACTGGACTCTGCCAGCCACGGGGAGTTGGCAGTAGACAAGAAGACCCTGTCCCTGCCCCAACAGGAGGTCAGTTTAGAGACACAGAGCTGGAGACCACTTAGCAGAACGATCTCCTGCAAAAAGGACAGGCAGGTGCTGGGGACAGTCCTAAGGCACGGAGGGGTAAAGTGTGTCTGTGCATGAGCCAGAGCTTCATAAGCTGGGCTGCCTCATCGCCTTTCGTAGCTTAGGACAACTTGGGCTAGATGGCCCCAGAGCCAGGTCCTGGGAGTTAGGAGTTGGTCAGGGTACCCCAGGCCCTGGCGGTCGTGAGGGCAGGGCCCAGCCCCAACTGTGCTGGATGCCGTCTGAACTGTGCAGGGGCCTGAGATTTTACTTTCGGGCTAACAAGCCTGCCTGTTTCGTGGGTGCTGGCAGGAAGCACCAGACTGCTGGGGTCAGAGATAGAGGATCTTAATCACTCACAGCAAAAGCAGAACCAGAGGGTCAGCACCTTGAGTGGGCTCCCAAGCCCCTTCCCCAGCAGCGATGTGCGGGGGCTCAGACAGATGCTGCCCACACAGGGGACTGCCCACAGGAGAGGCCCTCAGCTCTGGGAAGCCGCTGCTGTACAGCAGGCAGACAGTGTGCCAGCTCTTCGTCCCAGAGAGAGGCATCGGTCACCGTGCACACACCCGTGCACACCCCCCTGAGAAACGACCCCGGGGCAGCCATTGGAGTTTGCATTCCTGGCCCAGCAAGATGGGCAGGAGCAAGGGATCCATGGAGGAGCGTCTTCCAGGAAACACTGGGGAAGCTTTGACACAGCCTCAGACCGTGGGGTTCAGGGAAGCAGCTGGGGGCTGAGTGCTGGCCCTCCCCGGCACGGAATACCGTACAGGCCTCGGGTTTCTGGGTGGCTGCTGGTGCAGTTCCCCATCAGCAGGTGTGGGTCCTACCTGCCTTTATGGCCCTGGTGGCCTGTGGAGACGCCTGGTTGAGGGATGGGGGCTGATGGCTCCTCCCAGGGTGGACCGTTGGGCTCCCCTCCCTGCCTTCCCCACGCTCTCACTGCCCCTCCCTGCCCCAGAGGGGAGACTGCTGGGTGGGTCCCACGGCCAGAGCTCAGCCCTCGTGCTCCGCCTTTCCCCAGCACCGCACACCTGCCTCAGGAGGGGGCCGTGCACCCTCCGGGCCTTCTGCCACCAGACCCAGTTGTGCCCAATGATGCTGTGAGCGTCTGTGCTGAGTCTTCATCAGGAAAATGTGGGAAAGACATTAAAATGGGTGAGGAGGTTTCTGGGCATCCTTTCAGTGGGGGGCCAGGCGAACCCCTGGGTTCTCTGGTGCTGCAGTGATCGGCGCCTTCCTCATCTTTAATGGAGCTGTGAGACAGTTCCCTGCACACCAGAAAGGTGACGGCCACACACAGGAGCCCACGGAGGTGCAAGGACACTTGTCAGTGGAGACACGGCTGATTTCCACCAATGGAAGAGAGAATCCAAAGGGGAGGTTTCAGGCCCTGTGGATATTGGCTGGTTTGGTGATGACTTGGGGGATGCGTTCCAAGCACTCCAGTGGATGCCTGAAACCTTGGATAGTGTTGAACCCTGTATAGACTATGTTTTGTCCTATATGTACAGCCCTTTGATAAAGTTTAATTTGTAAAATAGGCACAGTAAGAGATTAACAATCACCAATCATAAACAGCAATTACAACAATCTATGGTGATAAAAATTATGTGAATGTGGGATCTCCCTCTCTCTCAAGGTATCTTACTGTGCTGTACTCACCTGTTTTCTGCAGTTGAGCACAGACAACTCAAGTCGGGGATACGGGGGACGACTGTATTAGCAAGTTCGTTTCAGCTCGATTGCCTAAACCTGTGGATTTTCCTTTGAACCAGTTTTAATATCTTCCTGCTTCCCTCATGAATTAATAAGTTAAATAAAACTTTTGACTTAACACGTGTATTAGTCCATTCTCGCATCGCTATCCAGAAATACCTGAGTCTGGGCAATTTATTTATTTATTTATTTATTTATTTATTTATTTTATTATTATTATTTGTTGAGATGGAGTCTCGCTCTGCTGCCCAGGCTGGAGTGCAGTGGCGGGATCTCGGCTCACTGCAAGCTCCGCCTCCCGGGTTCACACCATTCTCCTGCCTCAGCCTCCCGAGTAGCTGGGACCACAGGCGCCCGCCACCACGCCCGGCTAATTTTTTGTATTTTTAGTAGAGACGGGGTTTCACCGTGTTAGCCAGGATGTTCTCGATCTCCTGACCTCGTGATCTGCCTGCCTCGGTCTCAACAAAGTGCTGGGATTACAGGCGTGAGCCACCGTGCCCGGCCGAGTCTGGGTAATTTATAAAGAAAAGAGGTTGAACTGGCTCCGGGTCCCACAGGCTGTACAGGAAGCGTGGTGGCTTCTGCTTCTGAGGAGGCCTCGGGGAGCTTCAACTCGCGGCGGAAGGCGAAGCTGGAGCAAGTGTCTCCCACGGCAGGAGGAGGAGGAAAAGAGAGGGGGAAGGGGCCACACACGTTTAAACAACCAGATCGCAAGAGAACTCTGTCCCAGGACAGCACCAAGGGGATGGTGCTGAACCCTTCATGAAGGGTCCACCCGCGATCCGGTCACCTCCCACGCGGCCGCCTCTGACACGGGGGATCCCAGTTCGACATGAGGTTTGGGTGAGGACACAGATCCAAACCTTATCAATGTGTGTTCATTCTAGATTTGTGTGTCATGATTTTACTTTTTTGAATATTATCTTTTAACCCTTCATTGTCTGATACAACAGAGTCTCACCAATTAAACTTTGAGAGACCCATTTATGAATCCACACCAGGCCCTTGTTTATGAAGGATATTATGAGACATTTAGTCAGTCATTGAACGATACTTACTGAGCATCTGCCGTGTGCCAGCAGTGAGGGGAGCAGTCTTCTCCGCATGGGGTCATCAGAGGCTTCTGAAACCGACTGGGAAGTCAGAGAAGATCCCAGAGGAGGCGATGCTGGAGGCTGGCTTTGAAGGACAAGGAGGAATTCACTTTAGGGTCCTACCTTAATGAGGGGGTGTTGAGAAGGACAGGGTCTGGGTAGCTGGAACCACCCACAAAAGGGCAGCCATGCTGTCCTGAAAGGGTGGGGATATGGACAGCTGTCACCAGGTGAGCCTGGATTCAATCTGCATTTTGTTTGTTTGTTTTTGAGACAGAGTCTTGCTATGTTGCCCAGGCTAGAGTGCAGTGGTGAGATCTCAGCTTGCTGCAACTTCTGCCTCTCGGGTTCAAGCAATTCTTGTGCCTCGGCCTCCCAAGAAGCTGGGATTACAGTTAGCCGCCACCACATCCCACTAGTTTTTATACATTTAGTAGAGACGGGGTTTTACCATGTTGGCCAGGCTAGTCTCCAACTTCTGACTTCATGTGATCCACCTGCTTCGGCCTCCCAAAGTGCTGGGATTACAGGCATGAGCCGCCGCACCCGGCCAGATCTGCATTTTGGAAAGATGCCCCTGTTCACTGTGGATGCGCAAGAGGGTGAGGCAGGGAGACCCGGGGTGGACGTGCCAGGCAGGCCTGGCCCCGCAGGGACCGTGACATGGGGCAGTAGAGGTGGGTTTTAAGGTGGTGGATCTGCAGGTGCTGGGTGTGCCAGGTGGCAGTGGCTGGAAGTCTCCAGGCCTGTCCTGGTGTGGGACGCCCAGGAGGTACCTCAGGTGTGTGGGGCAGGTGTTGGGCATTGGGGGCAGGTGTTGGGCATTGGGAGCAGGGTTGTGCCTCCTACCTGGGGGCTGGGGGTGCCTGGGCCAAATCCGCCAGAACCGGGACCTAAGAGTTCAGAGGGCATCAGAAAAACGCAAAGACCCACTGGCACCCCAGAAAAACGCAAAGACCCACTGGCACCCCAGAAAAATGCAAAGACCCACTGGCACCAGGCAGGTCATACTCCATGAATTTGTACATTCAGGCTTTTGGTACCCAAAGTTGGTGTTTCCATGGCGACAGGGCCCGAATGGCCATTGAACTCTCCTCTAGCCTGCAAGAGCCAGTGTGGGTCTCAGGCAGCTGACAGCCTCTGGAGGGTGCATGGACGGGCTGAGCGGGGGCATCTTCCTTGCTGGGCACAGCACAGGTGACCAGGCCGGGGTGCAGCTGCACGGCCGCACTGACCACTGAGCAGGTTCTGAAGGGCCGTCTACGTATGCGCTGGGGACAGGACCCTCCCCCATTAATGGTGCCCCGGCAGCCTGCTGTGAGCCCCGCCTTCCACAGCCACATCAGACTCACATGGTCCTCTTTGGGTCACCAGGGACTTTGGGCTGAGTCCTGCACCTTTAGGAGCTGAATAACCCCATTTGTTCTCAGGACCTGGCCCGGGTTCCCCTGCCCCAGCCTCTCCGGCCCCTCTCATGCCCCATGTGGGCTCTTCGCTCTCCCTGTGTAGACCACACCCACCACCCCACATTAGAGCCACGGACTCATCTTTCCCTCCAGACTACGGCAGGCACCACAGCGAGAAATGCGCTTTCTATCACGGTCCAGCACACACTGGCATAGAACGTGCAAAACCAACACAAGCTTTACAAATCAATGCAGCTCTTACTATATGGGACAGACTCACACTTCATCTTTAGGAATTGCCAGTCAGAGCCCAGTGTACTGACCCCATGACCCCTGGTATACTGGCCACAACCTGCAATTTGAAAACTACCCTAGGCCCTGGCACTGAGCCCTTCCCAGAGTGGATGCCCAGGAACGCTTGCGGATTCCATCCAGTCACGGGGACGGCTGGGCTGCCAGCTCCTTCGGTGATCCACGTCAACACCACCCTTGCCTCCCTGGCAACTTGGCGGGCCAGGTGCACGCGGCGGCTTCTCAGTCCAGCGTTCATGTCTGTGCACTGACCGTGTGAAGCCGCGGCACCGAGCACCCCTCAGTCAGCAGTGCAATGTGGGGAGCGCTGGTGCGGCTCCCCAGGCCGGCCAGGTGTCTCGCCTGCATCAGCCGACTTGACTCCACTTTGCCATGAGGAATGGATGCCTCTGTGGACACCAGGGCTGGCATGCCAAGGCCACTTGGCCAGGACGTGGCAGAGCTGAGGGCAGGTCCCGGTGTGGCCCCTGGACTGGCTTCACGCACTGTCCAGATGTGGCTTCTCCCACAGGCTGGCATCACACCTGCTTCTCGGCAGCTGTCTTCCACGTGCGCTGCAGGGCCAGCTGGGGAGGACATCTGAGGGAGGCCGAGGCAGAGCGGGGGCGGCTCCACCTTCGACAGTGACATCAGGGGCACCACAGGGCCCTCACAAGGTCTCATGCAAGACGCAGAGGTGCCCTGGAATGTCCTGCTTCCCATTTATCCTCAGCATTCACTCAGGCACCAGTCGAGCCCAGCCCTTTCTCCCACGTGTGAAAAATGTTATGTTATCTCATGGGAGTGAGTTCCATAAATCACGCTTGGAACCCCCATGAGACGTCTTCCGCCCCTGTTTAGGAGGAGAGTGTCTAATTGAACACGGAACGTTGTTCAGCACAGGCCTTTCCCGTCCACGTCAGCTGCTAACAACACAGGTGCCCCTGCATTGAGCATAACTGGGGCCGCACCCACTCGGCGTCCGCAGGCACCTGCCATCCACTGTAGATTTCCCCAAGACTTGGAGAGCTGTGGGCTTAGGTCACCTCCAAATCCACCTTGAGTGCTGAGTGTGCAGGAGGGCAGCTCCGGCTTGCGGGGCCGTCCCCTGGAGGTGAGGCTGCTGTCTCATTGTGCATCTCCTCCTCCTGCCAACCTGAGAGCTGGCTCCTCTGAGTCAGCCTGTCCCACCCTCCGGGTCCTAACTCCAATTCCTGCAGGGTGGCCTCTGCAGTGAGAAGAGCCTCAGGCCTCGGGACACCTGTGGGATCCTGCAGTCACCACCCCAGGGCCAGGACAGCAGAAGCCCCGAGGCGCAGCTCCAGCTGACAACAAGCAGGGGCTCCTCACTGCTCGGATGGAGAATTCTCCAGGCTTGTGGAGGTCCAGGGTCCAGCCCTCGATGTGGACCCTCAGCAGAGCACGCTGGTCCTGGCCCCCTCCCCGCTCCTTCCTGGCCCCTGCCCCAGCCTCCTGGGCGTGAAACGCTCCATGTGCAAGCCCCTGACTCCGGCTCTGCGTTCTGGGCTCAGGCGGGACGGGGGAATCCAAGACAAACATGGTCCCTAGTACTTGATGCTCACCTAGAATCCACAGCGAGCATCTGCCCGGCTGATGACGGAACGGTTCTGGTGACAGGAACCTCCCCCTTCCTGTAGGCCCAGGGAAGGAGGGCAGGCTGTGGCTCCAGGTCAGTCATGTGGCACTGGGCTTTAACGAGGTAATATTTGCTTGGAAGTTTGGAGACGCTCCGTCAGTCGGATCTCCTTCTCTTTCCAGAAGGCCTGACGGTGCAGGTGGGTGGAGCCAACACTGACTGCGTGCTGACTTGGGCAAGGCGCTGGGTAGGGCTTGGTCCCTCCAAGGGGCCACATGAGGCCGTCCCTTCCCTCTGACGTGTAATAGAATTTCACGGATCTGCAGAACGCCGTCACCTCAACTTCTCTGTCCAGGCTCTGCAATTCACAGGCTTGACTTTCCTTTCGTAGGATCAGCCCGTACCCCCCGGAGCTCCAGGCCGGTACCCCCACCCCTGGCTCAGAATTATCCTCCTGAATTGACTCTGGGTTTCCCTGTGCAACTAGAATCCTACAATCCCCAACAGGTCTGAATCCCAGGAATGTGGGCGGCTGAAAAATGGAACTCGAGGGACCACATCCGCACTTAAGTCTACTGTCCTGAAGACTTTTTCATTTATTTTTTTGTAGATTACTTTTTTAAAAAGCATGGGCTGCAACTCCTTAATAAGTCATTAAATCCACATGGTGAGTCACAGCCTTTAAATAGCTGAGACAGAGTAGGAGAGATGACCTCAGTGCACACATCGCCGAACAGCCAGGCTGCCCTCACGGGCTGCTTTATTATGGGGGTGCTATGGTCACCACGTGCAGAGTCTCCTACAGTCTCGAGCGACCCTGCCCTCCAGGCAGCACCCACTGCCTAGGGGAGGTCGAACCAGGTCTGTTGAGGTTCATCCCCTCTGGAGACTTGGACACACGAAGGTCTAGGGGATCAGGCTGTTGAAGGAACCTGTTGGGCTCTTGTCTTTAAAGCTTGAACTCAGCCCTCACTAGCTGCACTCACATCAGAATCATTCTTACTGGGGACCCAGTGTCCCCCAAGTCTAACACCGTCCGTGCGGACCTGCAGGGAACCTCTGTCTCCCCACCCAGCACCGAGTCTAACACCATCTGTGCGGACCTGCAGGGAACCTCTGTCTCCCCACCCAGCACTGAGTCTAACACCGTCCGTGCGGACCTGCAGGGAACCTCTGTCTCCCCACCCAGCACCGAGTCTAACACCGTCCGTGCGGACCTGCAGGGAACCTCCCCACCCAGCACCGAGTCTAACACTGTCTGTGGGGACCTGCAGGGAACCTCTGTCTCCCCACCCAGCACCGAGTCTAACACCGTCCGTGCGGACCTGCAGGGAACCTCCCCACCCAGCACCGAGTCTAACACTGTCTGTGGGGACCTGCAGGGAACCTGTCTCCCCACCCAGCACCGAGTCTAACACCGTCCGTGCGGACCTGCAGGGAACCTCCCCACCCAGCACCGAGTTTAACACCGTCCGTGCGGACCTGCAGGGAACCTCCCCACCCAGCACCCAGTCTAACACCGTCCGTGCGGACCTGCAGGGAACCTCTGTCAACCCACCCAGCACCGAGTCTAACACCGTCCGTGCGGACCTGCAGGGAACCTCCCCACCCAGCACCGAGTCTAACACCGTCCGTGCGGACCTGCTGGGAACCTCCCCACCCAGCACCGAGTCTAACACTGTCCGTGGGGACCTGCAGGGAACCTCTGTCTCCCCACCCAGCACCGAGTCTAACACCGTCCGTGCGGACCTGCAGGGAACCTCTGTCTCCCCACCCAGCACCGAGTCTAACACCGTCCGTGCGGACCTGCAGGGAACCTCTGTCTCCCCACCCAGCACCGAGTCTAACACCGTCCGTGCGGACCTGCAGGGAACCTCTGTCTCCCCACCCAGCACTGAGTCTAACACTGTCTGTGGGGACCTGCAGGGAACCTCTGTCTCCCCACCCAGCACTGAAGGCTGCTGAGAAGTTCTTCGATTTGGAGACCTGATGTCTTGGTCCATTTGTGCTGCTGTAACAAAATACCTCTGACCATGTGATTGATAAACAGTAGAAATGTATTGCACACAGTTGTAGAGGCTGAGAAGTCCAGGATCCAGGCGCCAGCAGACTTGGTGTTTGGTGACAGCCTGTTCCCCAGAGATGGTACCTTCTATGTGTCCTCACGTGGAGGAAGGGACAGAAGGGCTCCTTCAAGTCTCGTTGAAGGGCACTCGTCCGTCATGAGAGGACAGCCCTCACGGCCCAGTCACCTCCTTAAAGCTCCATCTCCTAACCACATCGCCTTGGGGGTTAGGTGTCAACATATGGTTTGGGGGGACACACACATTGAGACCACAGCACCTACTCCAGGCCCCTGGCAACTGGTACTGAGTCCTCTGAATATAGCCAGTATTCGCCAAAACCTTTTGCACAAACAACAATTAAAAATAAAGAAAACTGGCTATCTGCAATGGCTCTCACTTGTAATCCCAGCAGTTTGGGAGGCCAAGAGCTCGAGACCAGTCTGGGCAACAGCAAGACCCCATCTCTACAAAAATAAAATAAAATAAATAAATACAACTGCCCACTCAGTGAACCCAAAGCTGTGGGGCGTTTTGTGTCACTTCCTCTGCTGGTGCCCACGTGACGTCAATCATCTTTCATCAGCACCTCACTTCCCTCTGAACGAAGACCACACGATCTCCACCCGGCCAGCTCTGAGGCCCCAGGTCCTCCTTCCTGTCTCTCTCCAGGGTACAGTGTCAGTGCCTTCTGTCCGGGCCCTCTGCTGACCTCTCCCCGAGGATCTTCCTACTGCGAGGGCAGTGATCTCAGGCCCCACCACCCTTGGATTTCAGGACCCCACCTCTGCAACCCTGCATTTCTGAAACGCACCTTGGCACTTTGAATGTTCCCAAAAAGGAGATTCTAATCAAATTTGAATTAGGGGGAAGTCAGTGAAAAGCAAATTTCTGGCACCAGGAAATGTACAGGAAGGAAGGTGAGAGGCAAGCCCAGTTCTGGACACCATGTGCTGTGGAGGGGCAGAAGCCATCTGTGACCCCTGACCTCTGGCCCTTACCACCTACCTTATCATGAGCCTACGGCGCATTCTGGCAGCTACAGGGCTACTTTTTACTGAGTCCTTTACAATGAAATGATTCCTAGTACCCCAACCTCTGGAGAACATGAAGTCCCTGGAAGCAAATTCTCAGATAGCTTTTGCTGAACGGTAAATAAGGCTGCATTTTCACTCATGTGACTTAAGCAGTCCACTTGTAAAACAGGCTTTGCAAACAAGGAGGCAATTTAAGGGAAAAAAAACCATCTATGAAGTGATGCTTAACAGAAGTTTGGCTTTGTTGTAACGGTTAATTGACAGAATGATTTGCATTTAATCTTAGTTTTGGACAGCCAAGGATTTGTCCAGGAAGGGCTGCTTACAGCCATGCTCATTAATTGTGAATTACTCATTACTTCAGATCAGCTGGAACAAATCCCAAGCGGGCTTAATCTCTGTGTGCAGGCAGCCCAGGGCTAATGGCAGCAGTCCTTTTTATTGACCCCCACGGCCCTGTCCCCAGTCAACCTCCTCCAAGCAGGGAGTTTCCAGAGGCCTCACAGCCGCCTGGGAGACCCCTCATGGCAGGCTGCTCCCTTGACAAGTTCAGAACTGCTGGGGTTCCCGGCCGCGCGTTCAGGACTCAAATCTGGAGATATCCGCTCTGTGCTCCTCAAGTATAAGGTTAGATAGGGATGGGGCCTGGCCTGTGTTCCTGGCAGGGAAGGCCACCTCTGAGCTCCCCCAGAGCCCGGCCGCCTTCTCCGGGTTCCCAGCCCTGCAGTTCCCAAGGCTGCATGCGGAGGCGGAAATGAGGGCAAAGGTGGAGGGTACCCGGAGCTACTGAGGTCATGTCTTTCCCCAGGCACCCCTTCTCCTGGGGGACCTCACGGTGGGGTCAGGGCCTCACTCCCGGGCACCCCTCCTCCTGGAGGACCTCACGGTGGGGTCAGGGCCTCACTCCCGGGCACCCCTCCTCCTGGGGGACCTCGCGGTGGGGTCAGGGCCTCACTCCCGGGCACCCCTCCTCCTGGGGGACCTCCTGGTGGGGTCAGGGTCTCACTCCTGGGCACCCCTCCTCCTGGGGGACCTCGCGGTGGGGTCAGGGCCTCACTCCCGGGCACCCCTCCTCCTGGGGGACCTCCTGGTGGGGTCAGGGCCTCACTCCTGGGCACCCCTCCTCCTGGGGGACCTCGCGGTGGGGTCAGGGCCTCACTCCCGGGCACCCCTCCTCCTGGGGGACCTCCTGGTGGGGTCAGGGTCTCACTCCTGGGCACCCCTCCTTCTGGGGGACCTCACGGTGGGGTGAGGGCCTCACTCCTGGGCACCCCTCCTCCTGGAGGACCTCCTGGTGGGGTCAGGGCCTCACTCCTGGGCACCCCTCCTCCTGGGGGACCTCGCGGTGGGGTCAGGGCCTCACTCCCGGGTACCCCTCCTCCTAGGGGAGCTAACCCCGGGCACCCCTCCTCCTGGGGGGACATCTCAGTGGGGTCAAGGCCTCAGGCCTGGGCACTTCTCCTGGGGGACCTCGCCCCGGGCACCCTTCCTCCTGGATGACACCCCGGTGGGGTCAGGGCCTCACCCCTCTCCTGGGGCCGTCAAGTGTCCTGCACGCCCTGCTCTCCCTACCGCGTCTGTCTGAAAGGACGCCCTGCAGTCCCCTCGTCCTCCCCGGTCAAGTAGCACAGCCCACAGCCCGGGTGAAATGCAACGACCTTTTACATATCAGCCTTGCTTGAGGCTTTACAGCAACTCCAGGCCGCCTGGCTTGGGTTTGCAGCGCGGCGCCCTCGCACAGCCCCGCCTTCCCCGCGGCGGCGTCTACGGGGGACCAGAGATTGTGACGCGCGCCCTAGGGGAGAGCAGGAGGCTTCCACGGGCCAAGGAGGCGGCTCCGAGAGGTGACCCGGGACCGGGGCGTGGCCCAGGGCGGAAGACTGAGGCGGCGACCTCCCGGCCCCGCCCCGCGCCGAGCAGCCCCGCCCCTTCCACGCCCCTCCGGGAGGCCCACCCCTATGGACGCCGCTCTGCACCAATCGGAGATTGCCTGGCCTCAGACCCGCCTCCTGGTGCCGCCCGCGCAGGCGCCGTAGGCCGAAGCGGCGGGATGAGCGGAGCCGGCGTGGGCGGGGCGTCCGAGGAGAGCCAGGCCATGCAGGCCCACGTGGTAGGTGCCAGCGGGGAGGGTGCCCCGCCGTGCAGGCTGGGTCCTCGCGTCCCCTCACCCCGCCCTCCAGTCCTCTCTCGCTCCGGGGTTCGCAGCCCCGCACCGCCTCTCGGGCTCACCTACGGGGTCTCCGCCCTGAGCAGCCCTTAGGCCCCGCGGGCGAGCGCGGCTGCGCGTGCGGGGGACGCTCGGGATTGGAGCCCGCGGGGCGCGGCCGAGATCTGCAGCTCCGGCTGCGCTTCCTGCCCCCGTCCCGCGAGCGTGGCCTCCTCACCGACCTTCCTCGTTCTGATTTTGAAGCTTCCGGGCTCGGAGCTCAGGCAGTTCCCCGTTCGCCCTCACCTGGTCGTGGGGTGGAGGAACGGCGCACCTGCCTCATCCCCGCCCGCCTGCCCCGCGCTCCTTCCCCGCGCCCGCACACCTGCCTCGCTCCCGCCTCGCTCCTGCGCACCTGCCCCGCCCCCGCGCACCTGCCCCCGCACCTCACACACCTGGTCCGCGCACCTGCGCATCTGCCTCGCTCTTACGCACCTGCCTTGCCCCTGCACGCCTGCCCTGCACACCTGCCCCGCCCCCGCACACCTGCCCCACACCCCACACACGTGCCCCGCGCTCCTGACTCGCCCCCGCGCACCTGCCGCGCGCACCTGCCTCGCTCCCGCACCCCACACACCTGGTCTGCACACCTCCCCGTGCCCCACACCTGCCTGCACACCTGTCCGTGTGCCCCCACACAACCTCGCACCCCACACGTCTGCCGTCACACATTCCCGGCACACTTGCCCATGCCCCACACACACGTCTTGTGCCTGCACACCTGCTTCACACACCTGCTCTGCGTCCTGCATACATGCCCGTGCCCCATACCTGCCCGTGCACCTGCCGTGCACACCTGCCTGCGCATCCCACACACCTACCTGCACACCTCCTCCGTGCCCACACACCTGCCTGTGTGCCCAGCACACTTACCCCAAACACGTGCCCTAAAAACCTGCCCTTAAGCCCCGAACACCTTCCCCGTGCTCCGGCAGAGGCTGGAGCAAAGGCCCTCAGGGTTCAGACCCAGCCAATAGGCCGATGCAGGGAACAACCACAGGGATGTAGGATTAGCAGTCGCCCAAAGGCTCAGCATGTTTTCTGTTTTTTGTTTTTTTGTTTGTTTTTTTTCCAGCCTTTTTTCTTTTTTATTCCAGTCTTACTAAAATTGGTAACAGGTGAATCAAGGTCTATCTTTGATAGAAACATTATATTTTGTAGATCTTGAGAAAAATTATTTCCTTCTTTTCCTCTAAGTAAATCCAAACTAAGGTAAATTTGTAAATAAATTAGGGAACTCGTTTTATTTTTTTTTTAATTTTTATTTTTTGAAATGGAGTTTCACACTCGTTGCCCAGGCTGGAGTACAATGGCGCGAGCTCGGCTCACCGCAACCTCTGCCTCCCGGGTTCAAGCGTTTCTCCTGCCTCAGCCTCCCGAGTAGCTGGGATTACAGGCATGCACCACCACACCAGGGTAATTTTGTATTTTTAGTAGGGACGGGGTTTCTCCATGTTGGTCAGGCTGGTCTTGAACTCCCGACATCAGATGATCTGCCCGCCTCGGCCTCCCAAACTGCTGTGATTACAGGCGTGAGCTACCGCGCCCGGCCAGAACTCGTTTTATTCTTATTAACCTAAGTCCAGGAAGAGACAGAGTGAGGTTTCATTTGTAAAGAACTTGACTAAATTGTGTTTTCAACACAATTTCAACTTTTCTTTTTTGGATATAAATTAAGGGTGAGGACAGACTAATCTCTTAAGTATCGCTCCGTATCACTTAATATTATAATGTATGAAATTAAGACTTAACTCCTGTAATCAGTTGTTTTGTTGGCATTGAATTTCCTGGTTTTACTCCATCCCACTTTATAAATTTTTGTTTTGGGCTTCATGAGAAAAGGACAATGAGAAAAGGACACTAGCTACACTAGCCCGAAACGAAGTGTAGGACAAAGGAATCGAGAGATGGACGTCAGGCCTCCCATTTGCTCAGCTGGGTTCTTTGAACACCTCCTGCCCGATACTTTGTTAAAACATTGTTTTTTGTGGGCTGAGGGGTTACTTAAAGGGGTTACTTTGTTGCAGGTTTTCTAACATGGTTTGCCGAAATGCTTATTCCACCTAGAACATGACCAGCCAGCACCTGTAATCCCAGCTACTCGGGAGGCTGAGGCAGGAGAATGGCGTGAACCCGGGAGGCAGAGCTTGCAGTGAGCCGAGATCGAGCCACTGCACTCCAGCCTGGGTGACAGAGCGAGACTCCATCTCAGAAAAAAAAAAAAAAAACCAACCAGTTATTTTCATGAGTGAGTTGGAAGATACCCAGATACTTGTTTCAACCAAAATGATGTTTCTGATCAGTGATTGGAAAACTCATGATTTACCATTGAGTTGGGAACAATTTGATGCCTTTCAGTTTTTTTGTTTTGTTTTGTTTTGTTTTTTTGAGACAGAGTCTTGCTCTGTCACCCAGGCTGGAGTGCAGTGGTGCAATCTCAGCTCACTGCAAGCTCCGCCTCCCGGGTTCACGCCATTCTCCCGCCTCAGCTTCCCGAGTAGCTGGGACTACAGGAGCCTGCCACCACGCCTGGCTAATTTTTTGTATTTTTAGTAGAGATGGGGTTTCACCATGTTAGCCAGGATGGTCTCAATCTCCTGACCTTGTAATCCACCCACCTCGGCCTCCCAAAGTCCTTTCAGTTTTTTTTTCACTTTCAAAAACATGTAGAAGGCAGTTCAGGGAAAGCTAAGACGTAAAGAATCTTACAAGCATGTTAAGAGCCTGGAGAAAAGGAGTGGACACCTTTTGTTTGTCACGGCATATGTGCGGGTGGTGAAGGGGAGGTAAATTAGAGCCATGGAAAGGGAACTAAGTTTTCACACTTCTGTTAATCCATTTCTTTTGAATTCCAGTCTATTATCCTCCCAGTCCACAACGCTGAACCGTGGCTGGACGAATGTTTGAGGTCTGTTTTGCAACAGGACTTTGAAGGTACCATGGAGCTGTCTGTTTTCAATGATGCCAGTAAGGTTTGTAGGAACTTCCTGTCGGGTGACTCAGCCCCAGTGTAAGCAACGGTTGACTGTTCGGAGGGAAGTTTCCTGACCTGCCAGTGTTCTGCTTTCAGGACAAGTCTGGGGCTATCATTGAAAAATGGAGAGTGAAGCTGGAAGATTCTGGTGTCCACGTGATCATTGGGGGGCACGATTCTCCCTCTCCTAGAGGCGGTAAGTAAACATGCTTAGTTTATTAAACTATAATTCGTGGTTTCTTATCAACTTACGTACCGAAACAGTTTCATGTTGTTCAAATACTGACAAAAAGTATCCTGGTGGTAATTGGATATACCACTTATTAAGAACCTAGTAGAGGCCAGGTGTGGTGGCTCACACCTGTAATCCCAGCACTATGGGAGGCCAAGGCAGGCGGATCCTTTGAGGTCAAGAGTTCAAGACCAGCGTGGCCAACATGGTGAAACCCCATCTTTACCAAAAAATACAAAAATTAGCCGGGCGTAGTGGCACACGCCTGTAATCCCAACTACTTGGGAGGCTGAAGCATGATAATTGCTTGAACCCGGGAGGCAGAGGTTGCAGTGAACCGAGATCGTGCCACTGCACTCCAGCTGGGGTGACAGAGCAAGACTCCATCTCAAAAAAGAGAAAGAGAGAGAGAAAGAGAGGAAGGAAGGAAGGAAAGAAGGAAGAAAGGAGAGGGAGAGAAAATGAAAGAAAGAGAAAAAGAAAGAAAAGAAAGAACCTTAGTAGACCTAAAATTTTTTATTGTTTGGTAGGATTTATTATAGACCTAAATTTCTTATTCTTTGGTAAGGATTTATTATAGACCTAAATTTCTTATTCTTTGGTAGGATTTATTATAGACCTAAGTTTCTTATTCTTTGGTAGGGATTTATTGTAGACCTAAATTTCTTATTCTTTGGTAGGGATTTATTATAGACCTAAGTTTCTTATTCTTTGGTAGGGATTTATTATAGACCTAAATTTCTTGTTCTTTGATAAGGATTGATTATAGACCTAAGTTTCTTATTCTTTGGTAGGGATTTATTATAGACTTAAATTTCTTGTTCTTTGATAAGGATTGATTATAGACCTAAGTTTCTTATTCTTTGGTAGGGATTTATTATAGACCTAAATTTCTTATTCTTTGGTAGGGATTTATTATAGACCTAAGTTTCTTATTCTTTGGTAGGGATTTATTATAGACCTAAATTTCTTTTTCTTTGATAAGGATTGATTATAGACCTAAGTTTCTTATTCTTTGGTAGGGATTTATTACTATGATCTGAATGTCTGTGCCCACCCCGAGATTCATATTTGGAACCCCCAGGGTGATAGTATTAGGATGACATTAGGTGGGGACTTTGGGAGGTGATTAGGACATGAGGGTGGGGCCTCACCAATGAGATTAGTGCCCTTATAAAAGAGGCCGCTCAGAGCTCCCTCACCCCTCCTGCTCTGTAAGAACACAGGGAGAAGGCACCTCTGTGAGCCAGGAAGGGGCCCTCACTAGACACTGAATCTGCTGGAGCGTTACTCTTGGATTTCCCAGGCTCCAGAACTGTGAGAAGCCCCTTCTGCCACCCAGTCTGGGGTATTCTGCGGTGGCACGCAGGCTCTTCCAACCCTGGCAACCACTCGCCTGCTTTCTGTCTCTGTAGATTTGCCTGTTCTGGACATTTCATGTGAATGGAGTCAGGTTCCACGTGCTCTTTTGTAACCGGCTTCATTTAGCATAACGTTTTAACGTTCCTCTGTGCTGTGGCATGTATCGTGCTCCGTTCCTTTTTCTGGGAGGATGATATGCAGTTGTACATAAGTACCATGTTTTGTGTGTCTGTTTGTCAGGCAGTGGACATTTGAGTTGTTCTACCCTTTGATACTGTGAATGATGACAGTCTGAACATTTGTGTACAGTTGTTGTTTGAACACTGGTTTTCAGATCCTTTGGGTATATTCCTTGGTGTAGAATTTCTGGCTCATATTGTAATTCTGTGTTTAACATACTGAGGAGCTGCCAAACTTTTCCACAGTGGATGCATTTTACATTCCTACCAGCAATGTATGAACGTTCCAATTTCTACATATCCTCATCAACACTTGTTATTTTCTGTTTTTTAAATTATAGCCATGCTAGTGGGTGTGAAGTGGTGTCTCACTGTGGTTTCCATTTGAATGTCCTTGTTGACTAAAGATGTTGTGCCTCTTTTCGTGTGCTTGTTGGCCATTTATATATCTTCCTTGGGCCAGGCATGGTGACTCACGCCTCTAATCCCGGCACTTCGGGAGGCCGAGACGGGTGGACCACCTGAGGTCAGGAGTTTGAGACCAGCCTGGCCAACATGGTGAAACCCCATCTCTACTAAAAATACCACAAAAAAAAATTAGCCAGGTGTGGTGGCATGCACCTGTAATCTCAGCCACTTGGGAGGCTGAGGCAGGAGAATCGCTTGAACCCGGGAGGCAGAGGTTGCAGTGAGCCGAGATGGTGCCACTGTACTTCAGCCTGGGTGACAGAGTGAGACTCCATCTCAAAATAAATAATAAAAAATAAATGGGCCGGGTTTGGTGGGTCATGCCTGTTATCCCAGCACTTTGGGAGGCCAAGGCGGGTGGATCACCAGAGGTCAGGAGTTCAAGACCAAGCTGCCCAACATGGTGAAACCCCGTCTCTACTAAAAATACAAAAATTAGCTTGGAGTAGTGGCAGCGGCCTTTAATCCCAGCTACTCAGGAGGCTGAGACAGAAGAATTGCTTGAACCCGGGAGGCAGAGATCGCGATCTCTGCTGTGAGCCGAGATCGTACCATTGGACTCCAGCCTGGCAACAAGAGCAAAACTCCGTCTCAAAAAATAATAAATAAATAAATAAATGTATATCTTCCTTGAAGAAATGTTTATTCAAGTATTTTGGCCATTTTAAAAATTGAGCTGTATGTGTTTTCATTGTTGAATTGTAAGAGCTCCTTATATGTTCTGGACACTAGAGCTTTATTATATATAATTTGCAATTTTTTTCCCGTTCTTTGGGTTATCTTTTCACCCTCTCGAGAGTGTCCCTTGATGCACAAAAGGCTTATGATTTTGATGAAGACAAAAATCTAATTTATCTATTATTTCTTTTGTGGCGTGTGCTTTTGGTGTCATTTCTAAGAAGCCACGGCTAAATCAAGGTCACGAAGATTTTATCTGTATGTTTTCTTCAGAATTATACTTGTAGCTCTTATATTTAGGCCTTTGATCTATTTTGACTTAATTTTTATGTATGGTGTGAAGCAAAGGTCCAGCTTCATTCTTTTGTAAGTAGATACTCAGTTTTTCCAACACCATTTAAAAGACTATTCTTTCTCCACTGAATTGTCTTGGTATTCTTGTCAAAAATCCATTAACCATAAACGTATGGATTCATTCCTGGACTCCAGATTCTATTCCGTTGGTCTATATGTCTGTCCTTACGCCAGTACCTCATTGTTTTGATTACTTGAGCTTTGTGATAAGTTTTGTGAATTGTTTTCTTAATTTTCTTTGAGAGTGCTCATTTCTAGGGGATAAACAACAGATTTCTCTTAGTGTTGACCTTGTATCCTACAATTATTAGCTCTAATAGTTTATTAGCTTTAATAGTTTGTTCTTTGTGGGTTTTTAGGATTTCCTGTATTTAAGATCATATTATCTATGAGTAGAGATAGTTTTGCTTCTCCTTTTACAATTTAGATTCTTTCTTTTTTTTTTTTTGAGACAGAGTCTCACTGTGTCATCCAGGCTGGAGTGCAGTGGCACGATCTCAGCTCACTGCAAGCTCCGCCACCTGGGTTCAAGCAATTCTCATGTCTCAGCCTCCCGAGCAGCTGGGTCTACAGGCGTGCGCCACCACAACCAGCTAATTTTTTTGTATTTCTAGTAGAGACGGGGTTTCGCCATGTTGGCCAGGCTGGTCTCAAACTCCTGACCTCAGGTGATCCGCCTGCCTTGGCCTCCCAAAATGCTGGGATGACAGGCGTGAGCCGCCGCGCCTGGCTTTTATCTTTCTTCATCGCTCTGGTTGGTGCTTCCAGGACGGTGCCGAATAGAAGTGGTGAAAGTGGGCATCCTCGCTTCGGTTCTCCCAAGCAATTGTAGGGGAAAAGCTTTCAGTCTTTCACCTTTGAATATGACGTTAGCTGTAGGTTTTTATAAATGCCATTTCTTACGCTAAGGAGGTTTCCTTTTAATTCTAGTCTGTTGAATTTTTAAATCATGAAAGGGTGCCGGATTTTGTCAAATGCCTTTTTGACACCAATTTGAGATGATCATATAGTTTTTTCCCCTTTATCTGTTAAGATGGTATGTTACGTTGATTGATATCCTATGTTGAACTGCCCTCACATTATTGGGATAAATCCCACTTGTTCCTGGTGTAAAATCTTTCTAGTATACTGCTGGATTCAGTTTGCTAGTATGTTGTTGAAGATTTTTGCATATATATATTTGTAAGGGCTATTGGCCTGTAGGTTCCTATTCATATGATATCTTTGTGTGGCTTCGGTATCAGAGTAATACTGGCCTCATAGAATAAGTGTTTCTTCCTCTTGTTTTTTGGAAGAGTTTGGGAAGGATTGGTGTTAGTAATTCTCTGAGTTTGGTGGAATTCATCAGTGAGGTCACCTGACTCTGGGCTTTTTTGTTGGGAGTTTTTGTTTTTTTTATTACTGAGTCAATCTCTTTATTTGTTATAGGTGTGTTGAGATTTTTTTTATTTCTTCTTGAGTCAATTTTGGTAGTTTGTTTCTAGGAATTTGTCCATTTCATCTAGGTTATCTAACTTTTTTGGCATATGTTGTTTTTCACACTGTCATAATCCTTTTAGTTTCTGTTAAGTTTGGGAGTCATGTACCACTTTTTATTTCAGCATTTTGAGCTGTCTTTCCTTCTTTCTCAGTCTAGCTGGGTTTGTCAATTTTGTTGACCCTCTTCAAAGAATCAACTCTTTTTGTTGATTTGCTATTGTTTTGTCATTGTTTGTTTATTTTCACTCTAATCTTCACTGTTTCCTTCCTTCTGCTAGCTGTGTGTTTAGTTTATTTTTCTTTTTCTAGCTTCTTAAGGTGTACTTTTAGGTTCTTGATTTTAGACCTCTTTTATGTAGGCATTTATAGCTATAAATTCCTTTCTATGCACTGATTTTTCTACATCCTGAAAGTTTTGGTTTGTTGTGTTTTTGTTTTCGTTTGTCTCTGAGTATATTCTAATTAGCCTTATGATTTCTTCTTTGACATATTGGTTGCTGAAGAGTATATGGTTTAGCTTTCATTTATTTATGAATTTTTCAGTTTTACTTCTGTTACTTATTTCTAGTTTCATTTCACTGTGGTCAGAGAAGATACTTCATATAATTGCAATCTTTAAACAAATGTTTAAGGTACATTTTATGGCCGGACGTGTCACCTGTCCTGGAGAATGCGCTGTGCACACCTGAGAATGTGTGTTCTGCTGCTGTCAAGTGGAGTATTCTGTATATTTCTGCTAAGTCTAGTTGGTTTATAGTATTGTTCAAGTTCTCTGTTTATTATCTTCTCTCTAGATGTTCTCTCCATTATTGAAGGTAGAATGTTGAATCTCCGACTGTTACGGTAGAACTGTTTCTCCCTCCAATTCAGTCAATCTTTGCCTTACTTAATTTTGTGACCCTCTTGTTAGATGTGTACAGTTTTATGCTTGTTATATCTTCTTGATCAATTGACTCTTTCTTTGTCTTTTCTAATAATTTTTGAGTTGAAGTCTATTTTTTCTGATATTAGTACAGCCACGCCAGCACTCTTTGATTACTAGTTGCGTGGAATATCTCTTTCCCTTGTTCCACTTTCAGCCTACTTGTGCCTTTGGATCTGAAGTGAATTCCTCATATAGACAGCATTTAGATGGATCATAATTTTCAAGATCCGTTCTGCCAGATTTTGCCTTTTAATTGGAGAATTTAGTCCATTTACATTTAAAGTGATTACTGACAAGGAAGGACTTTTGCCACTTTGCTATCTGCTTTCTATATGTCTTATGTCTTTTTTATTCCTCAATCCTGTATTACTACCTTCTTTTCTGTTTAATTGCTTATTTCCGATGTGCCATTTTGATTCCCTTCTCGTTTCCTTTTCTGTGTATTTCTAAATGATCGTCTTAGTGGTTACTGTGAGGATTACGGTGAACATCTTAAATTTATAACAATGTAGTTTGAATTAACACTTAGCTTCAATCATGTAACATTAACATAAATTCATAAATTATTTTCATGAATGTAGATTTAGATTTATAATTGTTTCCTGGTGTGTGTGTGGCAGTAGGGGGCAGGGGCTCACTCCATCACCCAGGCTGGAGCGCAGTGGCGTGATCTTGGTTCACTGCAACCTCCACCCAGTAGGTTCAAGTGATTCTTGTGCCTCAGCCTCCCAGGTAGCTGGGAATACAGGTGCCTGCCAGCACGCCTGCGTAAGTTTTGTATTTTTGGTAGAGAGGGGGTTTTGTCCTGTTGCCCAGGCTGGTCTCGAATTCCTGGACTCAAGTGATCCACCCACCTTGGCCTCCCAAAGTGTGGGGATTATAGGCATGAGCCACAGCACCTGGCTTGTTTTCTGTATTTGTTTTAAAAGCATATAGGAAAAATACAAACCAAAATAGTACTATCTTTTATATTTACCTGAATAGTAAACTTTATCCCTGTTCTTCATTTGTTCTTTCTCTATGAGTTCCTGTTTAGTGCCCTTTCATTTCAGCCCTACAATGAACTGCCTCAGTTTTTGTTTATCTTAGAATCTCTTACTTGCTTCTTCATTTTTGAAAGATGACTTTGCTGGATATAGGATTCATAATTGACAGTGTTTTTCTTTGAGCACTATGAATACAGATGGCCCCCAGCCTGTGATAGTTCAACTTACCATGTTTCAACTTTATGATGGTCAAAGGCAACACAAATTCAGTAGAAACCATGGTTCTGTCAGGATACCAGGCAGTGGCCATGAGTCACAGCTCCCAGGCCCCCAAGCATTTTTGACTTATGATGTTTTAAACTTACAGCAGGTTTACCTAGACATAGGCTCACCCTCAGTTGAGGAGCATCTGTGTGTGACCCCATTGCCTGTGGCCTTCATTGTTTCTGATGAGAAGTAAGCGGTTAATCTTACTGAGGGTCTCTTGTAAGTGACAAGTGATTTTCTCTTGTCGCTTTCAATATTTTGTCCTTATCTTTGGTTTCAGCATTTTTACTATGATGTGTTTAGCTGCGAATCTTCTGTGTTTATCCTACATGGAGTTTGTTGAGCTTCCTGGATGTGTAGATGAATGTTTTTCAATAATATGAGAATTTTTCAGCCATTATTTTTTCAAACTTTTTTTCTGCTTATTTCTCTTGCCTTTCCGTGTGGTACTTGCATTGTGCATATGTTGGTATAGTTATTGGTATTCCAGCTTTCTCTGAGATGCTTTTCACTTTCTTCATTCTTCTTTGTCTCCATTTTCAGATTCAGACTTACCCATCTATCTCTGTGTTTGCTAATTTTTCTTCTGCATATTTAAATATACTCTTGAGCTCCTCCAGTAAAATTTTAGTAATTTGAGAATTTTTCAGCCATTTTTTTTTTTTTTTTTTGAGATGGAGTCTCGCTCTGTCACCCAGCCTGGAGTGCAGTGGCATGATCTTGGCTCACTGCAAGCTCTGCCTCCCAAGTTCACGCCATTCTCCTGCCTCAGCCTCCCAAGTAGCTGGGACTACAGGCACCCTCCACCACACCCAGCTAATTTTTTGTATTTTTTAGTAGAGATGGGGTTTCACCGTGTTGGCCAGGATGTTCTCGATCTCCTGACCTTGTGATCCGCCTGCCTCGGCCTCCCAAAGTGCTGGGATTACAGGCATGAGCCACTGTGCCCAGCCTCAGCCATTATTTTTTCAAACTTTTTTTCTGCTTATTTCTCTTGCTCAAGAATATTTTTATGCTCAGTTGACAGATTGGCTGGGTATAGAATTCTAGGTGCAAAATAATTTTTCTTAGAATTTTAAAGGGATTGCCTCATTATATTCTAGTGTCCATGTTTCTAATAAGAAATCTTACACCAGTCTGACTCTTGTTATTTTAAAGGTATTGTTTCTCAAAGTATTTAAGATTTTTCTTTTTGTACTTTTGAATTTTGAAATTTCATGATGCTGGGTCAAGCTGTGTTCAGGTTTCTTCATTCACCCTCTGTTTTTATGTTGAATGATTAGCTTGTGTTCTTAGCTTTGATTGTAATAGATCAGGGTCCTTTTAGTTTGACTTTAAAGTTTCCATATAAGACTTGAAAAAAATATGCCTGCCTATATTGCATGGGGCTGAAAAAGTCAAGGTTGGCAGATGATACGTTTTTAGTTGGTGGACGGGTTCCTACAGATTTTAGGAGTCACAGCTTCTCTAAGATAATGGTCGTCAACTTTGTGCACGTTAGAATCATCAGTGAGTTTTAGAAAACCAGTGCCTGAGTCTCACCCTAAGATATTCTCATGTAATTGGTCTGGGGTGCAGCGTGGGCATTGGGATTTTAAAAGCTTTCCAGAAGATTCTGAGACACATCCAGGATCAGGAGCCACTGCTTTAGAATGTGCTCAGGAATGGGTGGCATCACCCCACTTTCTAGTGGACTTGGTCCTGAGGGAGTCTTACAGCTATGACGTATTTCAAGGGCAAGCGGCTGAGGGTTTACGGTCCCTCTGGAATGTCCCCATGTGAGAGCCTGGGGAGTTAAGTCCTCTGTTGGGTCCTGTTCAGATCTGTGAGACTCACAAAATCACAGGCTCACCTGCGGGGTGTCTCAGTGGACAGGAGCAGCTCCTGGCCCCAGCTCTTCTCCTGCAGTGCCCTGGGGCTCAGAAGACGCAGGAGTAAAGTAGACTTGGGTGTGGGGCCAGGCTGGTGGGGTCGGCTCCACGGCCACCTCGCTCTGCCTCCGTTTCCTTATTTGTGAACAGGTCGTGGTAGTCAGCACCCATCTTGGAGTGCTGTGAGGTGTGAAATGAGCTAATCTGCAGTGTGTCTAGAACAGGGGCGGGCAGCGGGCGCCCAGCAGTGTGTCTAGAACAGGGGCGGGCGGTGGGCGCCCAGCAGTGTGTCTAGAACAGGTTCGGGCGGCGGGCGCCCAGCAGTGTGTCTAGAACAGGGGCGGGCGGCGGGCGCCCAGCAGTGTGTCTAGAACAGGGGCGGGCGGCGGGCGCCCAGCAGTGTGTCTAGAAGAGGGGCGGGCGGCGGGCGCCCAGCAGTGTGTCTAGAAGAGGGGCGGGCGGCGGGCGCCCAGCAGTGTGTCTAGAACAGGGGCGGGCGGCGGGCGCCCAGCAGTGTCTAGAAGAGGGGCGGGCGGCGGGCG
Organism: Homo sapiens; assembly: GCF_000001405.40. Classification (NCBI taxonomy): domain Eukaryota; kingdom Metazoa; phylum Chordata; class Mammalia; order Primates; family Hominidae; genus Homo; species Homo sapiens. The sequence continues at coordinate 83,039,323 of NC_000017.11, read as the reverse complement.
CCCAGCAGTGTGTCTAGAAGAGGGGCGGGCGGCGGGCGCCCAGCAGTGTGTCTAGAACAGGGGCGGGCGGCGGGCGCCCAGCAGTGTGTCTAGAACAGGGGCGGGCGGCGGGCGCTCAGCAGTGTGTCAAAAAGCCAGGGGCATAAACAGGTGCAGAGAGGAAATGCACCCAGGGAGGTGAGTGCCTGTTCTGCCCTGGGATGGACGGTGGGCAGCGGGCACTCAGGAGGTGTTGGCAGCTGTCTGTCATCATCATTGCTGTCATCATCATCGTCTTGTGTATTTGGAAGATGTTTTTTCCCAAGTTATATCTTGTTTTCATTATCTTTCGTTGGTTTGAAATAGAAAACTCTTTATAAATTGATTATTGTAGAACATCTGTTTCAACTTGCTTCTGTAATGTGTGTAAACAAATTGGTTTTTGAAACTACTATAAACATCTTTTAATATTTTTTTGTTGTTGTTGAGATGGAGTCTCACTCTGTCGCCCAGGCTGGAGTGCGGTGGCGCGATCTCGGCTCACTGCAAGCTCCACCTCCCAGGTTCTCGCCATTCTCCTGCCTCAGCCTCCCAAGTAGCTGGGACTACAGGAGCCCGCCACCACGCCCGGCTAATTTTTTTGTAGTTTTAGTAGAGATGGGGTTTCACCGTGTTAGCCAGGATGGTCTCGATCTCCTGACCTCCTGATCCGCCTGCCTTGGCCTCCCACAGTGCTGGGATTACAGGTGTGAAACACTGCGCCCGGCCTAATATTCTTTTAAGTTAAAGAATATTAGAGAGAGTTTTGCATCTTTTATAGTTGGATGAAAACAAATTTAAAGTATTTTGGTGACTGTTGTGACACTCCTTGTCTAAAAACATTCATCTATTTTGAAAACATTTTGCTTTTCATAAAGTACTTTTTATAGATTAGCTCTAACTTGAGGCATATCCCATTTGTATGAATTCTGCCAATAATAAAAACAATCCGTTGTAAAGTTCTGAAGGACCGAGGTGAAGGGCTGAAATGAGCCGTCCTGCTGCCTGTCTGAAGTGTGGGTAAGGAGACCTCGTGGGGACCCTATTCTACACTTTAATAAAATATGGTTGGTTTGGTTATAGCTGAAAGGGACGTATTTTCCTGTAATGATATTTTTTCTTGAATAGGGAGAGTTATATTGACTATTAGATAACATAGATCCAAAGTGTCTCTTTTCAGAAGTGCTGGGTATTTGAAATGGGCTGATTCACTTATTACGATTCATGCACTAACGGAGCCCCACTTTCCTAATAACGTCGCCGCTTGCTAAAACCAAAATGAAGTACAATCCCCACTCTTCTCTCCAGGAGGAAGGAATGTTAATATCTCGCCGCCGTGTGAGTTTTTCCTGCTGAGACCATGGCAACCAGATCCCCTCACAAAGGGACTGGCCTCCCCAAGCAGGAGCCCCACGCAAACATTTGACTTTCTTCAAGGCAATAATATTAAAGCAAATTCCTTGTCTCTGCCAAACACAGGATTCATTGTGAGAAACTTCCAGCTTCCTTAGTGAGATAAGTCTTCCTTCGTTACCCAGGCTCACGGATACCCTTCTCTCCTGAAACCTGACGCTAACAAGCCGCATTGTGAGCAGAGCCCCTGTTGAACAGTGTGCCTCGTGGAAGGCCCCTTCCGGCCCTTCGTCCTCACAGGTGCCTCCGCCTGTGTTTCTCGTGAGGAGCTTCAGGGCACTCACCTGGCCCTGCAGCGATGATGGAGGCTTGGCTGCAGCGGCCCTGGAGACACGGCCCACCATCCATCCCAGGGCAGAACAGGCGCTCGCCTCCCCGGGTGCATTTCCTCCCTGCGCCTGTTTATGCCCCTGGCTTTTTGACATCTGGGATCCTCTGGCTAACTGGGTTGAGCTGGCTAAACTTTAGGGATTAATGCTAGAAATTAAACTGCTACCTGGTATGAAGAGGGGCACTGCTCCGGGTTGGAGAACGCAGAGAGGGTGGGAGACTCTGTGCGTCTCGCTTCTGTGCGGCTGTGCGGTCCCAGTGGTGCCGTGAGCTTGCTCGATGCCCCCCCGGAACAGGGCAGCCCCCGTGGGGTGGGAGCCCTGCCTTCCCCTCCTTGTAGTGGAGACGGGAGAGTGCCACGGGTGTGGCCGAAATGCACACTTGGCCACTGTCCCTCCAACAGACAACTTTCTGCAGCTTGTCTTGATTTGGATACCAGAGAGATCTATTGCTTAATTCTGCACACGTCTGTTTTGCTTTGTATGACTTTCCTGGGTGCCATGATGTCTGTAACTGTCCGGTGTTGCCAGCCTCTTTTCTAGGGAAAGTGGGTATCCTGCCCCTTGGAGCCTCCTCAGCACCCTCATTTTGGGCTAAATGCCACCTCTGATCCACCCGCCATTGGCATCGAAGCTGAGCTTGCCACGCATGAATTTCTGCTTGTTACTCCTTGTTCAGAAGCCTTCCTTGGCTACCCCTGCTGGCAGGGGGAAGTTGAGCCTTCTTAGCCCAACATGCAGTTCCCACAAAGCTGCCCAGTGCCTGCTTTCCCAAACATAGGCTGCCCCAGATAATGAGGGCTGCCCAGACTGCCCACCGCCCACAGGGCAGCACCCAGGACGGTGGTCTGCCCTGGGCTGCCTTGCTTCTGCTGGTTCACGTTCTTAACAGCCTCAGGCTCTTGCCACAGCTCCCTAACAGGGACCCTTTAGGCCTCCCTATCCCCGTTTTCAGTCCCGTTCCTTTGGCGTTTAACCACAGGTCATCGTTCAGCCTTTTCCAGCTCAGTTGTGATGTCTTTGAAGACAGAGATTTTTTGAAACTCCTCTTAAAATATGATATCCATACAGAAAAGTGCACATCACAGTCTTACTGCTGGATGAAGGTTCATAAGCTGCACACACCATGTAACCGGCACCCTGAGGAAGAACAGAAGATCGCAGCCCCCAGAAGCCCCCTCAGGCCCCTCTGGTCACCCCCTTCCCCAAGGGCAGCTGCTTTCCTAGTTTCTCACAGCACAGAAGAATTTCGGCTGCCCTCGTGCTCCGGGCCAGGGCCCCCACCCAGCAGCTGCTCCCTTCTCTGCTTAGCAGCCTGGGAGAGGCACCCACGCTGTGTGTACAGCCCTGGAGGGTGCCTTCTTGTCATGTATGTTTCCAGCTTTTCCATTCTGCACTTGGGTAGTTCCCAGTTTTGAGCTCTGATGACAGTGCTGCTCTTGGTGGCCATGCAGATTAAGTTCTGCTGGGTTTACGCCGCACAGTATCTGTTAGGATCAGAGCTGGGTCATGGGATGTGCACCCACTCTGGTGTTGTAGATGCTGGCAGCACATTCAGCTCATCACAGAGATGCACGCCAAGAGGATCACCCACCACGCGTCCAGCCCAGTGACCTCCACCAGCCCATCACACACGTGCAAACCGCCCTCCGAGGGTCTACCTCAGTGACCTCCACCAGCTCATCACACACGTGCAAACCGCCCTCCGAGGGTCTACCTCAGTGACCTCCACCAGCCCGTCACACATGTGCCAGCCCCCAACTTCCCTCTTGTGACCGGATCCTGACTTTCATCAGGGTAGACTTTACAGACTTCCTTCCAGGGATATTTTAATTTTGTTTAAAAAAATATTCCCAGGACTTAGCTTAGTGCTGTACTCAGTAAAGGTCCATCTCATTTTTTTTTCCTTCAGTGAGTGTCAGACTTTAATGAAGTACCCAGTGGACTCTGTGTTTTATCCTTGTTCTCATTATGCCACCTACCAAAGGTGGAATATTGTCTCTCTCTGACTTTCCTTTCATTCCTTTGAAAGCTGACCCACATTTTTGGTGGCAGTGCAAAATGTTCCTAGCTTTCTTATAGAACATCGTATATTGGGCGGGTGCGGTGGCTCACATCTGTAATCCCAGCACTTTGGGAGGCCGAGGTGGGCAGATCACCTGAGGTTGGGAGTTCGAGACCAGCCTGACCAACATGGAGAAACCCCCAAATACAAAATTCGCCAGGCGTGGTGGCAGGTGCCTGTAATCCCAGCTACTCAGGAGGCTGAGGCAGGAGAATCGCTTGGACCCAGGAGGCGGAGGTTGCAGTGAGCCAAAATCACGCCACTGCACTCCAGCCTGGGCAACAAGAGGGAAACTCCATCTCGAAAAAAAAAAAAAGAATATCATATACTAAGCTCTATGAAAGAGAATGCTGCTGGAAACTGAATTATAAAAGAGTTTTGCTCTTCTTTTTTCCACAGTCGGATACGCTAAAAATCAAGCAGTTGCCCAGAGCTCAGGGTCTTACCTTTGCTTTTTGGATTCGGTAAGTAACTTTCTTTTGTTTATAATGTATAAATGTGTACATGTTGGTTGAATAATTAAATGATCTTACATTTTAGTGCGGTTCTTGAAAATCATTTTTCTAATGGTTATTAGACTAATAATGTGTTAGTCCGTTTTCATGCTGCTGATGAGGACATAGCCGAGACTGGGTAATTTATAAAGAAAAAGAAGTTTAATAGACTCACAGTTCCATGTGTCCGGGCAGGTCTCACAGTCGCGCATGTCTGACGTGGCGGCCGATGAGAGAGGCAGCTTGTGCAGGGAAACTCCTCCCTTGAAGTCCATCAGCTCTCCTGAGACTCACCCACTATCACTAGAACAGAAATGCCCGCCCCCGTGATTCAGTGGCCTCCCACCGGGGCCCTCCCACGACACGTGGGAATTGTGGGAGCTACAGTTCAAGATGAGATTTGGGCGGGGACACAGCCCAACCTTATCAAATAGTTATTAATTCAAGATGAGATTTGGGTGGGGACACAGCCCAACCTTATCAGTTATTAATTCAAGATGAGATTTGGGTGGGGACACAGCCCAACCTTATCAAATAGTTATTAGACAACCTTAAAAATTAAGGTCAATAGGTTGTTGCTGTTTAATTGCTGTAGCACTTAATGAGTTAATCATGGTAAGTAAGATATATAAAAATGTAAAATTGCACAGCAGAGAGCGATGTGAGCAAAATGAAGATAAACTGGGATGAAATCGGAAAATATGGTACTTAAAAGATGAATAACCTTACTGATTTCTAAAGGTTGATAAGAAAACACTAAGAAAAGGCTGGGCGCGGTGGCTCACGCCTGTAATCCCAGCACTTTGGGAGGCCGAGGCAGATGGATCACCTGAGGTCAGGAGTTTGAAACCAGCCCGGCCAACATGGCAAAACCCTGTCTCTACTAAAAATACGAAATTAGCCAGGCGTGGTGGTGTGCGCCTGTAATCCCAGCTACTTGGGAGACTGAGGCAGGAGAATCGCTTGAACCCAGGAGGCGGAGGTTGCAGTGAGCCAAGATTGCGCCATTGCACTCCAGCCTGGGAGACAGAGTGAGACTCTGTCTCAAAAAACAAACAAACAAAACACTAAGAAAAATAGATAAGTAGGCAGAGGACAGAAGCAGACTCTCAGAGTGGATGTACAAACAACTAATAAACTTTCTAAGAATTTAAGTCATTTGTATTCAAACACAGATTAGTGAGATTCTTTTAAAAACTGAACTAATAACACTTTTAAAAATGTAGATAACTTAGGCCGGGCGCGGTGGCTCACGCCTGTAATCCCAGCACTTTGGGAGGCCGAGGCGGGTGGATCACGAGGTCAGGAGATTGAGACCATCCTGGCTAACACGGTGAAACCCCGTCTCTACTAAAAATACAAAAAATTAGCTGGGCGTGGTGGTGGGCGCCTGTAGTCCCAGCTACTCGGGAGGCTGAGGCAGGGGAATGGCGTGAACCCGGGAGGCGGAGCTTGCAGTGAGCCGAGATCACGCCACTGCACTCCAGCCTGGGCGACAGAGCGGGACTCTGTCTCAAAAAAAAAAAAAAGCATATAACTTAGTATTTTGGACAGTCTAAGTTGATGCCATCTTGACAGTGTAACTTTGCATTTTCTATCAAGAGCCTGAAGAGTGTCCTTCACTCCTCAGCTTCCTTCTTGGCATCTCTGAGAACGATTTGGATACAAAGAAGCTTCAGGTTGTTGACTGTGATGGAAAACAGAAACGTTAACATGGGACGGGAGGGTCACGGTGGAGAAGTTTCCGGCAGGTCTCCATGGGGGAGTCACTGTGATGTTTATAAAGACTTTTCAATAGCAGGACAAATGACTGAATAACAGGTAGTCGCTTGTATAGTCTACACTCAACTATAGATATTTAAAAATTACTTTAAAATAAACTTCAGGAACATTTATCTGTATCTGTCCCTCCTCTGTGGCCAGGTTCCGGGGCTTCTGTGCATTCCTGGGGTGCCGCTCAGCGTCTCCAGGCCGCTCTGGCCCAGAGCTCCTGCCTACGCGGGGATTTACGCGGGAGCCGCCCGTTCCTCTCCTCCTGACCCAGCTCTTTTCCTTGATCACCAGAAGCCTCTGCACATGCTCCTGGTACATGTGGAAGTTTGGGAGAGGCGTGCCCGTGTGCAGACGGGGTAAAACTGCATATTTATCGGCCCAGCTCGGGAAGGCGGAACCCCCAGGGCGGCACCAGCTGCTATGACTCCTGTCCTGGTGCCTGGGTCTCTTTCTTCTCTTTTCTTCTTAGACCAAAACACCTCAGATTTCTCCCGTTTTCTTACACAGAACCTTCAGCCCTCTCTCCTGACCCTTCCTTGGGCTCATGTTTTCATGCTCAGATGGTCCATCCAATGTTTTCCTCACTAAGACAGCATCCACCAAGGACAGCTCAACCCACCACATGGAAAATGGTGCTTTTTATTGTCTTTGGGTGACAGGATTAGGGTGTGCTGGGCCCCTGAGCTCAGTCTGGGTCGGAGGCCTGGCCTGGTCTGACCTGGTTGTTCAGCTCCCGAGTTCGGTCTGCGTCGGAGGCCTGGCCTGGTCTGACCTGGTTGTTCAGCTCCCGAGTTCGGTCTGCGTCGGAGGCCTGGCCTGGTCTGACCTGGTTGTTCAGCTCCCGAGCTCGGTCTGGGTCGGAGGCCTGGCCTGGTCTGACCCGTTGTTCAGCTCCCGAGTTCGGTCTGCGTCAGAGGCCTGGCCTGGTCTGACCCGTTGTTCAGCTCCCGAGCTCGGTCTGGGTCGGAGGCCTGGCCTGGTCTGACCCGTTGTTCAGCTCCCAAGCTCGGTCTGGGTCGGAGGCCTGGCCTGGTCTGACCCGTTGTTCAGCTCCCGAGTTCGGTCTGCGTCGGAGGCCTGGCCTGGTCTGACCCGTTGTTCAGCTCCCGAGCTCGGTCTGGGTCGGAGGCCTGGCCTGGTCTGACCTGGTTGTTCAGCTCCCGAGTTCGGTCTGCGTCGGAGGCCTGGCCTGGTCTGACCCGGTTGTTCAGCTTCTGTGCCTGGCTTAGGAGCAGGTCTGCAGATGTTGTGAGGCTGGGCCTGTGGGCACCTTCCCGGGTGCTGGCTGCTCTGTGGAGTTGATGAGGACGAGAGTGAACATCCTCGAAGGACGTTGGGGTTTTGCCCAGCTGACCAGTGTGAACGTCACCTGAAACTCACTCTGGATCCAGTATGTGCAGAGGGCGTTACAGTCGAACAGATTCGGTTCCTGACCTCTAGCGTTGGCAACTGAGGACGGTTTAAACAGATCTTCACCTTTTGCTCATGAAGCATCTCCATCCTCCCTGGGACCCACCCCACACCTGCTGCAGTCAGAGTGGAGCCTCCCTGCACACCGTTCTCGTCACGTGACACCTGCCTAGACGGCTTGTCCTCGAGCCTATTAGGTGGCCTCAGGTGTCCTTGGAAAGGCTGTGGAAGGCCTCCCCCGTGACTGTCCCATGGCCAGGTTCCTAAGGGGCAGAGGGGTGAGTCCTCGCAGAGCCCTGTCTAAACGTGGCGCCAGTCCTGCGAGGGACCCGTGGGTGCTCGGGCAGCCGTCGCTGAGTTTACACCCTTCCCCGCTGGAAAACGTGACTCTGGTCCTGCGAGGGACCCGTGGGTGCTCTGGCGGCCGTCGCTGAGTTTACACCCTTCCCCGCTGGAAAACGTGACTCTGGTCCTGCGAGGGACCCGTGGGTGCTCTGGCGGCCGTTGCTGAGTTTACACCCTTCCCCGCTGGAAAACGTGACTCTGGTCCTGCGAGGGACCCGTGGGTGCTCTGGCGGCCGTCGCTGAGTTTACACCCTTCCCTGCCGGCCTCTGATGGATCAGTGCCTGACGCGGCGTTTCCTCCTGGCACACACTGCTGTGTTCTCGTCTCGGTTGTCTGTGTTCTTGGAAACTTTAGTAGAATAAAACAAAGTAAACAAGAAGCCTGGCTTTTAAAGAAAATAGCCTCTAAATAGCTCATTCATTATAATGATTTGGGTTCCAGTCCTCTTAGAGATGTTCAAACATAATGTCTATGAAAACATCTGCAGAGCGGCTTCACCCAGGAGGTCTGGTGGTTGTGAGAGCGCTGCTTACTTCTGAGCCGACCAGGTTTTCTTTTCCCTTCGCCCTTCAGGGTTCCCAGGGTGGAGAGCCTCTGCCACCCTCCTGTCCCCCGACTCCCGTCTTCACTGGGGAACCGGCCGCATGGCTGTCCACGTGCACAGGAAGCCACATGGCCTTCCCGGAACCGCCCCGAGGCCTCTGAACTGGGGCCTCAGGTGAGAGGAGAGGGGCCCATGTGGCTGGGATGAGAAGGGCCAAGGCGGGGCGGGCGCTGCAGACGGGGACGGCCCAAAGGCTCTGCATCCATTCGGCCGGCTCTACAGCATTGTCGAGTCATCGCCGGGGCTGTGGGGAGGGTTACAGACAAGCCTGGCCGTTCTCATCCTCACTGCCGATCCTTGAACCGAGGGGACAGGGATGTGGCTGTAGCCGTGCCCCAGACCCCGAGCAGCAGTGCCGTCTAGAACCCTCACAAGCCGGCAGGTGCTCTGAGCACAGCCTGCAACGCCCAAGGCCTGTCCCGTGTCAGAGGCTGTTCTCCTTTCCACCTCTACAGCTGCCCTTTGCCTCCTTCTCCGCTAATCCCTTTATTTCTTTACTTTCCCACCTGTGGTTTTGCTTCTGCTTTATTCGCGCTCATTCTGCAGTTGTGTTCCTAACCCTTGAGCTGGGCCCTCCTCTCCAGGCTTTTGTTTCTAACATAAGATTTTCCTCTCATGGAGAACTTAGTACTGTAGGGGTGTCCGTAAGGTTTGAATATAAAACCCTAGTTATTATTCAGTTGTGTTTCCTAACTTCCACTATGATTTCTTTTTCTTCTTTTTAAATTTAGATCTTAGGATCTCAGGAGCCCAGAATCAAATTAATCACGACCCTTGGTTCAGGACACATTCTCCTCATTTGTTCACGCGTGGCCCGTTTTACTTGTCTCTGTGATTATAACTGTACCTGTTTTCGTGGGTAGCGACTAACTGAGGCCAGTGGTGCAGGTGGTAAAGGAATTTACCAAGACAGTTGTAGGTCAAGAAAGGCAGATTTATTCGAGAAAGCAGGAAGATAGGTTGCAAGAAAGCAACGGGCGCGTCAGCAAGAGAGAAGCTGACTGGCAGGAGACAGAGCCTTGCCGGGGGTTTTAAAGGTGGTGCTTGCGCTGGAGAGGGCCACGAGCGGTGCTGGTAACGCCAGGGTTGCAGGGAGCTAAGTTGCATTTTCCTCTCAGCCGAGGATCTGGTGATACGTTGGGTGGAGGAGGATTGTGAGTTAGGTGAGTTATTCGTGCAGACGCGCTGTGTCCTGAACCATGAGGAAAGGCAGACATAGCCAATCTGCGAATTCTTTTTGCTTCCCCGGCTCCCCCCAGCCTGACTTCTCTTCCCTAATTAGGACTCCACACCTGTATTTTTTGTTTTCATCGTGTGACAAACACCCATGGACCTGCCACCTGACACAAGAGCCAGCTCGGTCTTCTCACGTCTCACAGGTGACCACGATGCTTATCCCCTGCCTCCTTCCGCCTGGGTAACCGTCAGCCCAAATTCCGCGCTCATCATCCCTTGCTGTCCTTTTAAAATAACTATCTGGTATCTATACAAATCTGAAAAAAAAAATTTAACTTCAGTTCTTTTTAACTTTATAAAGTGGGTACCACTGTAGTATTCTGGAACTTTTAAACCTTATAATTGTTAAGGTCCATCCGCGTTGTTGCATCTCATTATAGTTTATTCAGGTTTGGAGAATTGAGGTAGAATTTACATGCAGTGAAGTGCAGGATTTCCGTGTGAAATTTGTGTACAACATGGATAATGTGTGTTTTGACAGCTCACACGCCTGTGTAACTCACACCCCAGTCAAGGTGCAGAGACTTCTGTCCCTCGGAACGGCCTGCATGCTCCCGGCTCCGGTCCCCACGGCAGCCACTGCCCTGACTTGGAGCCCCAGGGCTTCTGTTGCCAGCTCTTGAATTTCATGCGTACGTGAAACCGCACGCCGTGCCCTCGTGTTTCTCTTTCCACTCAGCCGGATGGTCATGCGTTACAGCTTGTGTATTGGTGGCTGTGTATTGGTGGCTCCTTACTGTTTGCTCATCCTTCTGTGACTGCACCGAGATTGTTTCGATGCTGTAGTTTCCAGTTCGGGTTACTAGAATAAAGACGCCATTAACATTCTTGTCTGTCTTTCTGTGGATGTACCTTGGGAAGTACCTAGGGGTGGAATTGGCACATCAGAGGGAAAGGTGTTTTTACCTTAAAGGAACCTGCTGAACAGTTTTCCGGCGTTCGTACTGTTCTGCCTTCCCGTCAGCAGAGTGTGGGCTCTGCGGCGTTGATGCTGTCGGCCTTAATTTTCATGATTCTAGTAGCTCTGATGTGTGTCTCACTGTGGTTTGACATTTTCCTGATGGCTGGTGATGGTGAGCACCTTTTCTTTTTTTTTCTTTTTTTTTTTTTTTTGAGATGGAGTCTCGCTGTCGCCCAGGCTGGAGTGCAGTGGCGCAATCTCGGCTCACTGCAGGCTCCGCCCCCTGGGGTTCACGCCATTCTCCTGCCTCAGCCTCCCGAGTAGCTGGGACTACAGGCGCCCGCCACCTCGCCCGGCTAATTTTTTGTATTTTTAGTAGAGACGGGGTTTCACCGTGTTAGCCAGGATGGTCTCGATCTCCTGACCTCGTGATCCGCCCGCCTCGGCCTCCCAAAGTGCTGGGATTACAGGTGTGAGCCACCGCGCCCGGCCTGGTGAGCACCTTTTCGTGGGTTTATTGGCCATTCATAAATCTTCTTTCATGAAATGCCCATATCTCACCTCTTACCTTTTATCCCCGGCTGCCATGGGACCAGAGCCGGGAGCGTGCAGGTCGTTCTGAGGGAGATGAAGTTTTACTCTGTCGCTCAGGCTGGAGTGCAGTGGTGCGATCTTGGCTCACTGCAACCACCGCCTCCCAGGTTCAAGCAATCCTGCCTCAGCCTCCTGAGTAGCTGGGACTACAGGTGCATACCACCACACCTGGCTAATTTTTTGTATTTTAGTAGAGATGGGGTTTCCCCATGTTGCCAAGGCTGGTCTTGAACTCCTGAGCTCAGGTGGTCTGCTCGCCTCGACCTCCCAGAGTGCTAGGATTACAGGCGTGAGCCACCACACCTGGCCTGTTTATCTTACTATTAATGAGTTACAGAGTTTTGTGACATATTCTAGATACAAGTCCTTTGTCAGGTATATAGATTGTGGATATTTTTTCCCTGTAAGTGGCTTGCTTTTTTTTTTTTTTTTTTTTTTTTTGAGAGCGTCTCACTTTGTCACCCAGGCTGGAGTGTGGTGGCCCAATCTCGACTCACTGTAGCCTCAGCCTCCCAGGCACAAGCAATCCTCCTGTCTCAGCCTCTCAAAGCATGGAGATTACAGGCATGATCCACCGTGCCCGGCCCCTCTTCATATTTTAATGGTGTCTTGAGCAGAAGATGTTAACATCAGTGAAGTCCAACTTATTTACTGTTTTCTAGTTAAATTTTTTCCTAATAAACTTTTGCTCACCCCGAAGGAGAAGTTGTGTTTTTCTGGTAGCTTCTAGTTTTGACTGTCCTATCGACGTCTCTTGTCCATCTCTAGTTAATTTCCGTATGTGGCATGAAGTAAATATCAAGGTTAGTTTTTTTCATGTGAATATTCAGTCCCAGCACCATTTATTGAAGAGCTTTCTTTTCTCCATGGAATTGTGCTGATGCCTTTGTTGAAAATCACTTGGCGGTGTGAGGGTAGCTTTGTCTGCAGGCTCCCTGCCCTGCTCTGTGTCTGTCAAGGGTGGGTTTGTCTGCAGGCTCCCTGCCCCCCTCCGTGTGTCTGTCCAGGGTGGGTTTGCCTGCAGGCTCCCCGCCCTGCTCTGTGTGTCTGTCGAGGGTGGGTTTGCCTGCAGGCTCCCCGCCCTGCTCTGCGTGTCTGTCGAGGGTGGGTTTGTCTGCAGGCTCCCTGCCCCGCTCTGTGTGTCTGTCGAGGGTGGGTTTGTCTGCAGGCTCCCTGCCCCGCTCTGTGTGTCTGTCGAGGGTGGGTTTGTCTGCAGGCTCCCTGCCCTCCTCTGTGTGTCTGTCGAGGGTGGGTTTGTCTGCAGGCTTCCTGCCCCGCTCTGTGTGTCTGTCGAGGGTGGGTTTGTCTGCAGGCTCCCCGCCCTGCTCTGTGTGTCTGTCGAGGGTGGGTTTGTCTGCAGGCTCCCCGCCCTCCTCTGTGTGTCTGTCGAGGGTGGGTTTGTCTGCAGGCTTCCTGCCCTCCTCTGCGTGTCTGTCGAGGGTGGGTTTGTCTGCAGGCTCCCCGCCCTGCTCTGTGTGTCTGTCGAGGGTGGGTTTGTCTGCAGGCTTCCTGCCCTCCTCTGTGTATCGGTCGATGGTGGGTTTGTCTGCAGGCTCCCTGCCCTGCTCTGTGTATCTGTGAAGGGTGGGTTTGTCTGTGGGCTCCCCACTCCGCTCTGTGTGTCTGTTGAGGGTGGGTTTGTCTGCAGGCTCCCTGCCCCGCTCTGTGTATCTGTCCTCTGCGGTTTGTTTGGTTTCTCTGCTGTACAGCATTCTGCTGAGCAAACCTGCCGTGTACATCCGTCTTTCCTCCTGTGGACAGGCTTTTGGGCTGCCACCAGGTTTTTGCTTTGAGGAATGGTGCTGCTGTGGCCTGTCCACACACCTCTGGCTGTGCATGTGGGTTCCTCTTAGCTTTGTACCTGGAAGTGGAATTGCCAGCTCCCAGGGCACGGAAGAGTGATGCCTGCGAACACCCACGCTCTCGCTGGTTCTCCAGCACTTAGAATTCCGGGGGGTTCACTTTTGCTGGCTGAGCAGGAGCAAAGGGGGCCTCTCTGTGCCTGGATTTGCACTTCCTGGTCACGGGTTATGGTGAGCGTCGTCTTCTGTTCTTGGCCATGTGGGTTTTCTTTTCTGTGAAAAGTGTTTACATCTTTTTGCTCATTTCTCTTTCCCCTTTGAAACCATCAGAACTCACAGAAAGTTTCAAGGATACTGCAAAGAACTTTTTGTTCTCCCTGAGCCATTGGCTTAGGCCACCAGCATCGTGCATGTCACCCCGAGTACGTGTGTGTACGTCCTGCAAAGAACATTCTCCTGCAGCCCACGGCCTCCCGTCACGACAGGGATGTACTCACCCGGACACGACTGGCACCCGGTGCCGGGCCAGGCTGTCCCAGTGGTGCCGTCGGAGAAACCCCTGCTCAGAATCGCGCTGCATTTAGTTACTGTGTCTCTGTGATCTCCTCCACCTGGAATACCCTCAGCCCCGCCTTGACTCTGCTCTTCTTACGTGTGTGTGGACTCTCCGCGGTGTCCGTGTGTGGACTCTCCGCGGTGTCCGTGTGTGGACTCTCCGCGGTGTCCGTGTGTGTGTGGACTTCACAGTTTCTATGTGTGTGTGGACTCTCCGCGGTGTCCGTGTGTGGACTCCGCGGTGTCCGTGTGTGTGTGGACTTCACAGTTTCTATGTGTGTGTGGACTCTCCGCGGTGTCCGTGTGTGGACTCCGCGGTGTCCGTGTGTGTGTGGACTTCACAGTTTCTATGTGTGTGTGGACTCTCCGCGGTGTCCGTGTGTGGACTCCGCGGTGTCCGTGTGTGTGTGGACTTCACAGTTTCTATGTGTGTGTGGACTCTCCGCGGTGTCCGTGTGTGGACTCCGCGGTGTCCGTGTGTGTGTGGACTTCACAGTTTCTATGTGTGTGTGGACTCTCCGCGGTGTCCGTGTGTGGACTCCGCGGTGTCCGTGTGTGTGTGGACTTCACAGTTTCTATGTGTGTGTGGACTCTCCGCGGTGTCCGTGTGTGGACTCCGCGGTGTCTGTGTGTGTGTGGACTTCACAGTTTCTATGTGTGTGTGGACTCCATGGTTTCTGTTTTATTTGAGTTATCATTAGTTACTGTCACTTACTGTGATGTTCACACTGTCTGTGATTTGGCCAGCGAGGGACCTTTCAGACTGGCTTCCATGCCCTTTGACTAGGTCCCACGACCTTGGGGGACGTCTTGCTCCTGAAACGAGGACTGCGGTCTTGCAGCTGCCGGCTGCTTTGATCCTGGCCAGCAGTAGCCGTTTGCTGCCCTCTGTGCCGGCCGATGTGTCTGGCAGGAGTTGGAGCGCTTTGCACCCCTGAGCAGCACGGCCCAGGCCCCGTGGCCACAGCGTTCTGGTCACTCCTCAGCATCACAGCGTCTGCCTGTCCGGCTGCAGAAGGTGACCAGGGCATGCCGATGTTGCGGGCATCATGACCCTCAGGCCCCTTACCCAGGCCTGACCCACACCAGGAACCCGCAGCTTCCGCAGTCTCAGCCCCGGGGGCGTGTTAACACGCGTGGATTCACCCCTGGGCCAGAGTCCTCTTCTCCTGGTGGGGTTGGGGCCCTGCACAGTTGCCAGCTTTTCCCTCCGCACAGAGAGCCCGGTCTCTACACAGGACACAGATGTTTATCCCTCAACAGCTGAGGCCCCACACGCAACCCACCTCACTTGGAGACTGGAGGCGGATGAGCGAGGGCTCTGCTGGCCACGTCCGCGCCTGTCTTGTGCGTGGTCTCGCGAACTCCGTCTGAACCGCCGTGTGGTCTTGGAGGTGACTTGATTTCCGGTTCAAGAAACTATTCAGGAAACCGTGGAGCAGCACCTCTAGGAGGGAGTCGATGCTGAATTCAGAAGCAGGGCCTGCCCGCCTGGAGGACCCCGGGCGGAGGCTGCCGCTGAGCTGGCCAGGAGCTGTGGCCGGGACCACCTGAGGCCTGCGCTGGGGGCTCTTCTGCAGACGACCAGGAGGGCTGCTCTGCTGCCTGAGTACATCAGGGACTCTGCCTCCAGGAGTGGACGCCTGGAACCTCTTGTGCGTTCACCCCTGTTTAGCCTTTAGGTCCAACAGGAAATGTGGGGACACAGGACCTCGTATCAGGCGAGTCCTCCCCACACTGTACCCTCTGGCATCTCCGGTGTTAGAGACACACGGTCCGGTGTTTGCTCTGGCGAGGTAGAAGGAACCAGCGCAGAATCCACAGGGGAGGAAGCACTTTTAAATTGCTAATTTGCAGAAAATCGAGAAAGGCAACTTCAACCTCCTTTGTGATGACACATTTTGTCCCACCGTGTCCCACTGCTAGTGAGTGTTACAGAAGCATCGGCCCATCTAACCCATGAAGGTTGGGTTTCCACTTTCCCTTCCAGCTCTTCCCTGCAGCTGCTGGAGGTCGGGAGACGTGGGGGTGGAAGGAAGGAGATCTGGCGCCTCCCCAGCATGCGTTTAACAGAAAGGGGACACGAGGCCACGTGCTTTGTCTTGGGTGGTTTTGAGACCAAAGCGTTTCACCACAGAGCATGGTGGTGACCAAGAGATTCCTGAATCATGCTATTTTCCCTTTATTTAGAATGGTACACTGGTCAGTAACTGATTAAATGCAGGTGTTGCTAGCTGAGTGAGGAAGTGTGTTTTTCCTCATCTCTTTATCACGTGCCACCTGACTTCTATATTTGACTTGTCGGCTTTAGCCTGGAATTATTTAGAAAAGAATGTTGGTATCAGCTGTATAGAATCTGCTGCAACTTTAGAAAACAGCGGAGAGCAGCCAATGTGAGTTCATGCTGGTGCAGGTGGGCCGGGGACAGTGCTAAGCTCATGTGAGTTCACGCTGGTGCAGGTGGGGCGGGGACAGTGCTAAGCTCATGTGAGTTCACGCTGGTGCAGGTGGGGCGGGGACAGTGCTAAGCTAACGTGAGTTCACGCTGGTGCAGGTGGGCCGGGGACAGTGCTAAGCTCATGTGAGTTCACGCTGGTGCAGGTGGGGCGGGGACAGTGCTAAGCTCATGTGAGTTCACGCTGGTGCAGGTGGGCCGGGGACAGTGCTAAGCTAACGTGAGTTCACGCTGGTGCAGGTGGGCCGGGGACAGTGCTAAGCTAATGTGAGTTCACGCTGGTGCAGGTGGGCCGGGGACAGTGCTAAGCTCATGTGAGTTCACGCTGGTGCAGGTGGGCCGGGGACAGTGCTAAGCTAACGTGAGTTCACGCTGGTGCAGGTGGGCCGGGGACAGTGCTAAGCTCATGTGAGTTCACGCTGGTGCAGGTGGGGCGGGGACAGTGCTAAGCTAACGTGAGTTCACGCTGGTGCAGGTGGGCCGGGGACAGTGCTAAGCTCATGTGAGTTCACGCTGGTGCAGGTGGGCCGGGGACAGTCCTAAGCTCATGTGAGTTCACGCTGGTGCAGGTGGGCCGGGGACAGTCCTAAGCTCATGTGAGTTCACGCTGGTGCAGGTGGGCCGGGGACAGTGCTAAGCTAACGTGAGTTCACGCTGGTGCAGGTGGGCCGGGGACAGTGCTAAGCTCATGTGAGTTCACGCTGGTGCAGGTGGGCCGGGGACAGTGCTAAGCTCATGTGAGTTCACGCTGGTGCAGGTGGGCCGGGGACAGTGCTAAGCTCATGTGAGTTCACGCTGGTGCAGGTGGGCCGGGGACAGTGCTAAGCTCATGTGAGTTCACGCTGGTGCAGGTGGGCCGGGGACAGTGCTAAGCTAATGTGAGTTCACGCTGGTGCAGGTGGGGCGGGGACAGTGCTAAGCTCATGTGAGTTCACGCTGGTGCAGGTGGGCCGGGGACAGTGCTAAGCTAACGTGAGTTCACGCTGGTGCAGGTGGGCCGGGGACAGTGCTAAGCTCATGTGAGTTCACGCTGGTGCAGGTGGGGCGGGGACAGTGCTAAGCTCATGTGAGTTCACACTGGTGTACGTGGGGCCATGTCTTTTGATGAACAGAAGTTTTAAATTTTGATAATGACCATTTTATCACTTAAAGAAAAATAAGATTTGTGCTTTTTGTGTCCCGTCTAAGAACCTAAGAAACCTTTGTCTGCCCCAAAGTTTTCTTCATTTTCTTTTGGATGTCTTCTATTTTTATCTTTTACATTGAGACCTCTGGTTCATTTCAGGTTCATTTTTGAAGATGGTGTATATGGGGGCTGAGGATTCTTTTTCCTGGATGATGTCCGGTTTTTCCAGCATTCCTGTTCTTTCTCTGTGGAATTATCTTGGCACCTTTGTTGAAAATCAGTGGATCCAAAAAAGCGTGGATCTATTTGATCTATTTCTGTGCTCTGTTCTGTTCCACTGATCTTTATATTTCTCTTTATACCAGTTCCACTCTGTCTTGATTACTATTACATGATTATTCTAGCAGCTGCAGTAATAAAGCTACAGTGTAGCTTTATAGTAAGTCTCAAAATCTGGGATTGTAAGTCTTCCAGCTTTGTTCTTACCGCTCTCAAAATGGTTGTGTTGGTTTTTTTCGTTTTTTCTTTTAGGTCCTTTGAATTCTGCAAAATTTTAGAATGAACTGGTCAAGCCTGCTGATTTTTATTGGGATTACATTGAATCTATAAATCCACTTGAGGATCTTAGTATTGAGTCTTCTAATCCGTAAACATAGTATATCTCTCCATGTGTTTATGCCTTCTTAAATTTCTCTCTGGAATATTTTGTAGTTTTTAGGGTATGGGTCTTCAACATTTAATAAAATATATCTCTTAAGTATTTTTGGGTTTCAGTGCTATTGAAAAGTGGTATTAACAATTCATTTCCAAGTTTTATTGCTGCAAATATGCTACATTAGCTTATTCTAGTAGAGTTTTTTTTTTGCATATTCTTTACAATTTACTATGAAATGATTATGTCACCTGTGAATAAGGAGCCTTTTACCCCTCTCCAATGTCTATTCCAATCTTACTTATTCCGCGTTCTTGGTTCAGTTCATTATACTGACTAGGACCTCCAGTACAGTGTTGAACAGAAGTGCTTCTAGCAACAACCTCGTGTTCAAAATTCTTGTTTGTTTCATCATTTTCATTATGAAGAAAAACACATACAGAGAAGAGCACAAAACACAGATGTCCATAAAGTATCATTAAAGTATCATAAAGCAAATATTCATGTAGGGCACAAATGTACGTACAGCTTCATAAGGCAAATACTCGTGTGGAACACAATGTATGACTCTATAAAGTATCATAAAGCAAATATTCCTGTGGCCACCATAGAAAATGTAACCACCTCGGAAGCCCCTTTCATGCCCCTTCGCAATGATCTCTCTCTCTGTCTTCCCCAAATTAAATGCAGTTGGTTCTCGTGGGTCCCAGCAGAAAACTCGGGGTGTTCTCCAGTCCCCGTCCTCACAGATCCCTGAACCCCGTGTTTCCTTCCAGCCCTGGGAGTGGCAGGAGTGCCATGCGGCCGTGGCCTCTCCCCAACTGCGCTCAGAATCAGTAACTCTTTGAGACGCTGGTTTTAGAAATGACCGGATGGTCGGGATGGCCATCACCTCCCCTGGGGCTGACTTTGTCTCCCGATGGGCAGGTGGGCTGGTGGCCTGGTGAGCTGGGCCCCAAGGCCCCATCGTGTCCCCAGGGGCGTCCTGCTCACCTCTCTGGGCTTCTCCGCTCCAGACCTCGGTCTTTGGTCCTTGTGGCCTTTGTGGGTCTCCAGTGGCTTTCAACAGGCATTTTGTTTTGTTTTAGTATTTTTCTAGCTTTTCCAGCTATTCTATGGAAAATATTGTTCTGAAGCAACTTATTCGTCCGTTCCTGGAAGTGGACTCGGCTCCTGGGTTTTCTGGGACTTGCCTGGCCTGGGCTTTGTAATTGTGTGTGCAGGCATCCTTATCGGTCTCAGAAATTTCTTAGCCGTCATTTCTTCAAAGCTTGCTTGTTTCCAGTAAGCTTTTCTCTCTCTCTTTCTGGGACCCTCTTACACTTTATATCGCTTTGGTTTTTCTTCTTTTTTTCTCTCTGTTTTCCATCTTCTGGTCTTTTCATGCTGAATTCTGAATAATTTATTTTGATATATGTTCAAATTCACTATCTCTTTAGAAAATCTGTTTTGCTATTAAATTTGTCTGTGTTATGCTTAATTGGGATTTGTCTTTTAGTTCTAATAGTTCTATTCTTGGCCGGGTGCAGTGGCTCACACCTATAATCCCAGCACTTTGGGAGGCCAAGGCGGGTGGATCACCTAAGGTCAGGAGTTTGAGACCAGCCTGGCCAACGTGGTGAAACGCTGTCTCTACTAAAAATGTGAAAATTAGCCAGGTGTGGTGGTGGGCGCCTGTAATTCCAGCTACTCGGGAGGTTGAGGCAGGAGAATCGCTTGAACCTGGGAGAAGGAGGTTGCAGTGAGCCAAGATTGCGCCACTGCACTCCAGCCTGGGCAAGAAGAGCAAAACTCCAACTCAAAAAAAAAGAGAGAAAGTTCTATTGTTCAAGTTTGTCTTTTAGTTTTTGTGTGTGGTAAAATGTATATAACATAAAATTTACCATTTTAGCCATTTTTAATTCAGTGGCGTGAAGTACAGTCACATTGCTGTGCAGCCCCCGCCGCCTCCGCCTCCAGATCTTTCCCGTCTTCCCGAACTGAAGCTCTGTCCCCGTGAAACAGCCCATTGCCCGCCCCAGCCTCTGGCTGCCACCCGTCTCCGTCCAGTCCCCATGACTTTGGCTCTGCTAAGGGACCTCCTGTGACAATATTTGTCCTTTCATGACTTGCTCATGTCTTATATCTTTTAGTTTTTTAAATACAACTTGCATAGATTTTAAAAATATTTTGTGCGTGATAATTTGAATATATCAAGTCTTTTGTTTTCTGATATTTTGTCTGTTTTTACTTATAAGCCTGGCTGTCTTTGCGCACTGGCCATTTTATTTGAACCGTTCTCTGTGGAGTAATTTGACGCCCCAGGGTTCTCCTGCATCATAGACTCTGTCCTGCCTCCATTGTGGCCACATAGGCCAATTCCCCCTGGGTGGTCAGGATCAATCCCCGGGCCAGCACAGACAATCCCTTTCTGGACGTGGACTCAGAGGCATGAGGAGCCCAAGGGGCCGGGTGGGGTCTTAACTTCCATTCCGGCGGCGTCATCGTGCGTCTCCTGGTGGCAGTGTTCCTCCCCTGGGACCCAGACCTCTCGGCCTGTAGACCACAACGTCAGGGGGCAGGAAGCAGGAGCTCCCCTAGTACATCACCAGGAGTGACAGTGAGTGCCACTCCCATGTCCGCCCCTCGATTCCTGGCCCCGTGAGCCCTGGCTGGGGAGAAACAGCTCCATGTCCCAGAGGCTCATTTGGAGTCAGTGCGGCCTCTGGAGAGCCTCGCCCCAGCCCTGCCAGCGTCGCCGCTGAATGGGTGCCGTAACTGGACCTCCAAAGGCCATCCCACCTCTGTCCGACCCATGGCTTCGAGATGGTAGGGACATGAGAGGGAAGTTAATTCCAGGAGCCCGGCCCATTGCGACCTTTCTTTGGCTGTTAAGTGAGTTCCTTGGTCAGAAGCAATGTCCTGTGGAAAACCATGGTGTTGGATGAGGCGTTCTATCCAATTTTAACCCTGACATGTAATTGCTACGAGACTTTGGGTATTAAGAATTACATACCCTTTCCAAACCTCCGTTTTCTTGGCTACAAAATAGAGATAATATTAGCTATTCTCTCTCCAGCCATAGAAGAGTGTGATAAATATAAAAAAAAAGTGTATGTGTGTGTTTTATAAATGGTGAAGTGAATTAAAGATCTATTCATTTGTTTTACAAATATATTTTTGAAGTTTTTAGGGATCGTTGTACATGTTCACGGAGCACGTGTGGTACATGATACAGCCACACCATGTTCGCGGAGCATGTGTGGTACCTGATGCAGGCGCACCGTGTTTGTGGAGCACGTGTGGTATCTGATACAGGCACACCGTGTTTGTGGAGCACGTGTGGTACCTGATACAGGCACGCCGTGTTTGTGGAGCATGTGTGGTACCTGATACAGCCACACCATGTTCGCGGAGCATGTGTGGTACCTGATGCAGGTGCACCGTGTTTGTGGAGCACGTGTGGTACCTGATACAGGCGCACGGTGTTCACGGAGCACGTGTGGTACCTGATACAGGCGCACGGTGTTCACGGAGCACGTGTGGTACCTGATACAGGCGCACGGTGTTCACGGAGCACGTGTGGTACCTGATACAGGCGCACGGTGTTCACGGAGCACGTGTGGTACCTGATACAGGCGCACCGTGTTTGTGGAGCACGTGTGGTACCTGATGCAGGCACGTCGTGTTTGTGGAGCACGTGTGGTACCCGATACAGGCACACCGTGTTTGTGGAGCACATGTGGTACCTGATACAGGCGCACGGTGTTCATGGAGCACGTGCGGTACCTGATACAGGCGCACCATGTTCACGGAGCACATGTGGTACTCGATGCAGGCACACCGTGTGTCATGATCAAGCCAGGGTAACTGGACCATCCATCACATCAAACATTTATCATTTGTGTTGGGAACATTCCAGATCTTCTAGCTATTTCATTTTGTTTTTTGAGATGGAGTCTCTCTCTGTCGCCCAGGCTGGAGTGCAGTGGCGTGATCTCAGCTCACTGCAGCCTCCACCTCCAGGTTCAAGTGATTCTCGTACCTCGGCTTCCTGAGTAGCTGGGACTACAGGCGTGCAGCACCATACTCGGTGAATTTTTTTTTTTTTAGTAGAGCCAGAGTTTCACCATCTTGGCCAGTCTAGTTTCGAACTCCTGACCTCAAGTTATCCGCCTGCCTTGGCCTCCCAAAGTGCTGGGATTACAGGCATGAGCTACTGCGCCTGGCCATAAAAGTCTTCTAGCTATTTTGAAATATACAATAACTTATTGTTAACTATAGTCACCCTATTGTGCTATCGAACACTAGAACTACTCCTTTTACCTGACTGTAGTTTTGTGCCCTTTAACCAACCCCCCTTCCTCCTCCCGCCACTGCCCTTCCTGGCCTCTGCTGAGCGCCATCCTTCTACCTCCACGAGATCATCTCCTCAGCTCCCACACATGGGTGGCAACACCAGCGTTTGTCTTTCTGTGTCTGGATATTTCACTTAATGACCTCCATGTCTTACAAATATTTTTGAGGGCCAACTCCATAGAAGAACTGGCCTGGCCCTGGTTCTAGAAGGTGCAAGAGACTTTCCCACAGGACATTTAGCCTGGGCTTGGGGCATCGGGGATTAGGTGTCTAGACCAGGGGTCGGAAGGTTTGAGGGTCCCGTGTTTGAAGGTTAGTGACGTGCCCCTTAGGTGGTGCCTGTGGTTCCTTTGAGCCTCCTCAGCTCTTCTTTTTGAAATACCTGTCAGGGTCATATGCAGGTTTTTAGCCCTCCTCCTCCTCCTTCCTCCCTCCTCCCTCCTTCCATCTCCCTTCTCCACCTTCATCCTCCTTCTTCCCTCCTCCCTTCTCCTCTCTCCTCCACCCTCCCTCCTCTATTCTCTCTCCCCAACCCCCACTTCCCTCCACCCTCCACCTGCCTCCTCCCTCCTTCTTCTGTCCCTCCTCCCTCCTCCCCCCTCCTCTTCAGTCCTCTCCCCTTCTCCCTCCTCCACTCTCCAACCTCCTGTTCTCTTCCCTACTCCCTCCTCCCTTCTCCACCCTCCTCTTCTGCCCTCTTCCCTCCTCCCTCCATCCCTTCTCACTCCTCCATTCTCCACCCTCCTTTATTCTCTTCTCTCTGCCCTCCTCCCACTTCCCCTCTGTCCCCAGCCTCCTCTCTTCAGCCCCACTAGGTTCCTCTCGGCTTCCCTCAGCATGGTTCGTTGGATGATCTGAATGTCCTAAGGCCGTTTTGCGGGAATAAGAGACATAAATATGGGTATTTTAGTTCATCTTAGCGTTCAACTTAAAAACAGATATCCTTCCAATGACATTATTCTTATTTCTGCTATTGAGTACATTTGTACCTTTTACTCATGTACTTAAACCTTTGCTGTTCTTCCACTTAATTTTTTTATCATGAGATAGAATACACCCACAGAAAAATGCACAAAACATAAATATCCATTAATTTACAAGTTAATTATGAAGCAAATATTTGTGTAGCTACCACTCGATCAATAAATGCTTATGGCCGGCACCTTAAAGGGACTGTCCCACCCATGCCCCCACCTCGACTTCCCCCCAAAAAGTGACCACTCTTCTGATCTTCAAGGTTATAATGTTGTTGCTTTTCTTTATGGTTTATATCCGTGGTCCCCAGCCTTTTTGGCACCAGGGACAGGTTTTGTGGAAGACAATGTTTTCACAGACCGATGGTGGGGGGGCGTGGTTTTGGGATGAAACAGTTCCACCTCAGGCCGTCAGCATTAGTTAGATGCTCATAAGGAGTCTGTGACCTGGATTCCTCGCGTGTGCAGTTCACAGTAGGGTTTGCGCTCCTGTGAGGGTCTAATGCAGCCGCTGCTCTGACAGGAGGGGCAGCTCAGGCCGTGACGCTCGCCCGGCCGCCGCTCACTCCTGCTGTGTGGCCTGGTCCATGGCGCGGCACCAGCCCGCTTCCCCGGGAATTGGGACCCTGGTACACACTGTGTGTGCATTTCTTAAATAATATGGTTTATTTGGCTTGGTTTTGAATTTAAATAAGGGGAAAATACCATGTATATTCTTGTGTCTTGCTTCTTTCACTGAACATTAGGCTTGTGAAATTTCTGTTGTGTTCAGCTGCTGAATGGCATTTGAAAATAACATGCACAATTCATGTATCTGCTATTCTCACTCACTGGGTTCTTTCCACATTTGAATGAGCTGCCGTGAGCATGTCTGTGTGTGTGAGTAGGGCTTTTCCTACCCAAGTAGTCAGACGTCAGGGTCTTAGGGAAGTGCATCTTCAGCTTTGCTGGAAGATGCCAGACGGTCCCCTCCACAGTGGTGGCAGGTCCTCACCGCAGACGGTCCCCTCCACAGTGGTGGCAGGTCCTCACCGCAGATGGTCCCCCTCCACAGTGGTGGCAGGTCCTCACCGCAGACGGTCCCCTCCACAGTGGTGGCAGGTCCTCACCGCAGACGGTCCCCCTCCACAGTGGTGGCAGGTCCTCACCGCAGACGGTCCCCTCCACAGTGGTGGCAGGTCCTCACCGCAGACGGTCCCCTCAACAGTGGTGGCAGGTCTTCACTGCAGACGGTCCCCCTCCACAGTGGTAACAGGTCCTCATCGCAGCCAGCAGTGCATGGGAGCTCTTGTTCTGCCTAATTAAGTACACTTGGAATTGTCAGCATTTTTTATTTTTCCTTCTCCGCTGCATAACTAATTGCATTTCTCTGATGGCTGACGAGGTTGTTGGTCCACTGGAAATCCTCTTGTCTGAATGGCCTGTTCAAGGCCCTTGCCTGTTTTGCTGTTGGATTGTCTATCGTTTTCTTACTTATTTGTAGGAATTGCTTTATGTGAGTTTAAAATATGTTCTTGGGGCTGAGCATGGTGGCTCAAGCCTGTAATCCCAACTCTTTGGGAGGCTGAGGCGAGAGGATCAGTTGAAGCCGGGAGTTTGAGGCTGCAGTGAGCTATGATTGTGCCGTTGCACTCCAGCCTGGGCAATAAAGCGGGACTGTATTAGTCTATGCATCAATCAATGCAAACAAACAAACGGAAAGTGTGTTCTTTACTGCAGGATGACGTCATGATGCCCCAGCGGGTGAGGCTGCAACACGAGGCTGCCGTTCAGCACCCGTCGAGCGTAAGTACTGGCCTCCTTAGTGTCGTTACTACCTTTAGTGAAATTACCACTGTGGTTTTTTAAATAAAGAGTTTTCCTAGGGGTGGAAAGAATCAGGCTATGGTGAGACTGTCAAGTCACGGAGAGGGATCTGTGGCTGGCATGTCTCTGAGCCCTGGAGGGTGTTTTCCTTTGGAGAAAAACATGCCCCTGATTTTTCTCCTGTTATTTTCGTAGGGTGCAAAGGTGGTTGTGTTGTTTGTTTTTAATCAGCGTTTTAGAAGCTGAGCGCCTTAGACATGAAAACACAGGCTGAGAGCTATACCGTGTTCACAGTTAAACGTTTTTCTTATTTAGACGATCTTAAATTACGGTTTTTATCTTTAGAACGGCTTCTCAGTTGCCCCTCCAAAGCCAGGCTTCCTGGGGCCCCTCCTCAGCCCAGCAGTGCCCCGTGGGCTCCTCCGCCCAGTGGGGAGGAAGCACAGCAGTGCCCCGTGGGCTCCTCCATCCCCCACCGCAGATGGTGGGGACACATGGCCCAGGGATCCCTGGAGCTGGTGTCTCAGCCACCGCGAGGCTCCTGCTGGCTTCAGGGAAGGTGACTGTGTCCTCAGAGATCTCGCTCAAGTTTTAGAAGACTTTGAATCACAGCGGTGATCACTTGGGTTTTAACACTGAGGGATCCATAACTGTCCAGCGCCCACAGTGTCCGTCCCCCGGGCAGTTTGGCGCTCACCCTGGACAGGCCCCTCTGCCCTCCCCCCGCGGGGCTGTGCGTCGTGGGCACGTGTGCGGTTGGGTCACCACACGGTTCAGTCACGGCCGGCTCTGGTCACATCCTGGTCAGGTCACAGACGGGCCTGGTCACGGCAGGGTCTGGCCCACACGGCGCTGGGAGCCCAGCTCCCCACAGAGTGGGTGCTCGTGACAGTTCACCCTGTGGGGGGTCGGGCAGGGGGGCAAGGGCAGGACGGGTGTGCTGGGGGCGTCTGAAGGGGAGGGCCTGGGTGTTGGAACCAGAGGGGGTTGGGAGGGGGGAAAGGGTGTGGGGGTTTGGGGGGGCAGCATTGAGGGGGAGGGGGGTTGGGATGGGGGCAGGGCTGGTGCGCTGGGGGTGGGCGGTGCTGGGGGTGCAGCCGGCTGCACGGAGGTTTGCGTCTCACGTGAGGCAGGAGACAGACTGAGACACAGGCCACCTTCTCGGGTGCAGAGGGCCCCACACGGTTGCCTCCTTTGGGGGTGTGTCAGGTCCTGGGGCTCAGTGGCCCCAGCGTGGCTGCAGGGCCTTCTGTGGGGGCACATTTTCTGTGAGGGCAGGAGAGAGCTCTGTGGCTTGTAGCAGATTCTTAAAAGGGTCACGTGTTTGCAAAGTTTAGGAACCGCAAATATGTCTGAATGTTTCTCCGTAGCAACCACAAATACGTGTGAGAGTGTGACAGCATATCCATGGCAATCGGGGCCACAGGCTCCGGAAGTCAGTTTCTGGAAGTTTACAGGCATGGACTGCCTGGGAGAGACGTCCGAGAGTGTCTGCTTGTCGGGTGGGACGGGGGGCCCGGGGATCTAGGGATTAGGGGTGATTTCTACCCCAGCCACAGGTGCTGTGGGGTTTCAGTCATGTGGAAACAGAGAGTGATCACAGACGGTTTTTCCAGTCCAGTTCCTTTGTGGGGAATAGGGGGAAAATGGGGGAAAATGTCCTTCGGGATGGACTTCTGTGGACAGTTTATGTGAGGAAAGTGCAGAGTCTGGGGTTTCCAGGAGGGCCTTTTGCAGAGGTGTGAGATATCGCACATGGAGGCTGGAGAGGAAAGGGGCGTCCCTGCCACGTTAGCTGCCCAACGGCTCCCTTTGCGTCCCTGCAGCTGTGTGGTCCTGTGGACTGGAAGGTGGAGCAGACCCTGTGCCGGCCCGTGAGCTGGAAACCGTGGCTGGACTGAGCCGTCCGTATGTGAGGTGCCACAGCGATTTTTACACAGCTAGAAATGACAGTTGCCAGCTATTTAGAATCAATCATACAGACGTCTAAGGAATTTTGTTAGGAGTGTTGACATTTTAGTGGAGGAGATACTTTCAGATGTTTTCATTTCCATACTGAAAAACAAGCCCAGATTGGCTTCATTAATGGAGTTGCCTTTGGCAGTTCTTCGTGGCATGTGTTCAAACGAGCTGGGAGACTTATGGATACGAGGAGTTCGTGGCGTGTGTTCAAACGAGCTGGGAGACTTATGGATACGAGGAGTTCGTGGCGTGTGTTCAAACGAGCTGGGAGACTTATGGATACGAGGAGTTCGTGGCGTGTGTTCAAACGAGCTGGGAGACTTATGGATACGAGGAGTTCGTGGCGTGTGTTCAAACGAGCTGGGAGACTTATGGATACGAGGAGTTCGTGGCGTGTGTTCAAACGAGCTGGGAGACTTATGGATACGAGGAGTTCGTGGCGTGTGTTCAAACGAGCTGGGAGACTTATGGATACGAGGAGTTCGTGGCGTGTGTTCAAACGAGCTGGGATACTTATGGATACGAGGAGTTCGTGGCGTGTGTTCAAACGAGCTGGGATACTTACGGATACCAGGAGTTCGTGGCGTGTGTTCAAACGAGCTGGGATTCCCCACAGGAATGTGGGGAAAATGCACATGGTCAGTTTGTCTTAATTGTAATAAGACAAGCTTAATTTCCATTTTCATCGATGATTTTAAACCTTTTTCTTGCTACTCTTCTCACTGCCTTCGCTGATGCTCTGTTGTGCACTTGGGAGAGAAGCTTCTGCTCCAGGTGCCTCCTCTTTTCCCAATGGCGCGGTTAGGTGGAGCGTCCACCCCGTTTCTCCACGTCGAAGCTCTTCTGGAGGAAGCTTAGGGATGTCATCACAGTTTTGTTTCACTAAAACAAAGTCAGCTTTAGAAAGGCTGTTATTGCGTGGCTGGATTTTTTAGAAATCATGACCTACAAAAATCTTAATTTGCAGTTGCTGGTTCGTGGTTACGTGAATTACATTGTGTAGTTTGTCCTGAGAGAATGAAATAAACGCTGAGATACTTGTACTTGGTCGTTGTTTTCTTAAGATCTTTTACAAGAAACCAGCTAATTAGGAAGGACCTTTGATGGCGGCTTTCATAAATCGTGCATTTGCATGTAGATAAATCACTGCAGAACTTTAGGAATCCTGCATGTAGAGCATCGTTATCCAAGGTTAGCAAGAACAGGGAACCCGCATTGCGCCCTGTAACTTGCCCCCGTTCCTGAGGGCCAGCCAACCCCCGTCCTTCCTCCTCCTCTCGCCCCGGCTGACCCTTGGATTCCTGACACTGTGCACCCTGTGGTTTCCCACCTCTGTGCCTGGGCTCAGGAGACATCGGAGAGGAAAGCCTGCATTCTTGGTCACCTCTAGACCACCCCAGACCAAACACGAAGGCTGCCCTGGCTCCACCCAGCTCCTTTCCAGAGCTGATCTCTGTTCCCAACGTTCAAGACCAGTCCTCGGGGTACAGCCCCGTGAGGGCAGGTGCTCCACCTTAGGGTACAGCCTCACCCACCCTCGTGCACTGGGATGGAGCATGCAGGGAGGTGTAGGGAAGCGACGCGGAGGAACAAAGACGGGAGGGTTCCTGTGAAGCAGCCTGGGCCACAGCTTGCCTGTCGGGGGAATGGGTGGAGCCGCCGTGCCCTGCATCCTGGGCGCCGTTCCCCGCTCCTTGCCTGTGCCAAGCCATAATCATCCAGACGGCACGGCAGCCGACTCTCCCTGCTTCCACTTCTGCCCCCACAAGAAGCTGCGTGTTAACTTAAATAAACAGGACTTCCAGGTGTTCTGTTTAAATGAAGTCCGCGGTGCACTCTGCAGCCTTTGTCTGAGGAAGTCCCAGAGCACAGGGCTGGGGCGTCAGCCCCTCTGCACATGCAGCCTGGGAGGGCCACGGCCCCCAGCCCTGTGAGCCCATGCCCAGACCGGTGTGTGACTTCCCAAGCTGGAAGGGGCAGAACATGCCAGACTGGGCCTTGGAGAGGCAGAAGCTGTTGCAGTGACTGACTCAGCTCTTGAAGTTGGAGTGCTTGTGGGCTCTCCTCTGACCGTGCTCTTCGCTCCGGGGGCAGGGAGTGACAGGGTCACACTGGACGGCTGCCTCCGGGCTCTGCTGGGCTGTAGTTCGGGCTGTCAGGCCTGGGTGCTCCTCCTTCACCTTCGCCTTCAACATCGCTGCTCAGGAGTGGCGGCCGAAGCCCCCGGTGCTGGTGACTCTGGACCCTGGGGCGTGGCTCAGCAGCAGCAGTGCTGGAGAAGAGCCGCCTGCCTGGTGGTTGAACGAGCTCCCCAGGCACCCCTGGCTGCCCACAGCACCCCACACCAGGGGCCCCCGCAGCCCCCCCCACACCAGGGTCCCCTGCAGCTCCACACACCAGGGGCCCCCACAGCCCCCCCAGCCCCCCGCCGGGCAGCCCCCCCACACCAGGGGCCCCCACAGCCCCCCAACACCAGGGGCCTCCACAGCTCCCTTCCCCCACAGCTCCCCTCCCCCACAGCCCCCCTCCCCCACAGCAGTGGACGGCAAGTCGTTCACTCCAAGGCAGTGGCCCCAGGGAGCTGATGTTAGTGTCAAAAATGCAACTGGTTTCTTTTCTTTCCTTCAGTGTAATTCAGAAGCTGACTTCTTGAGTCTGTGCCAGAAACGTGTCTTTCTGGGAAGGGGCCCTTCTGAGCTCTCTGCGTTCATTTGCCTCCCGCCTCAGCCCGGCCCCTCCTTCCTCCCTCGCACCCAGCACCATGCACCGAGGGCACCTCACCTGGGTTCACCCAGACACGCTTGACCCTCCTGCGCTGCCCATCGAAGGTCTCGCCCCTTTGCCGTCTTCAGGACTCGGCCTCTGTGGCGAATCCACGGGGAGTCTGAGCTGCAGCCCCAGCAGCCCTGACCTTCTTGCCACCGTCTTTAGAGCCAAGGGCCCTGCAAACTGTGCCAGGCCGTGCAGTGGGGGGACTCACCTCGTGGGTCTCAGTTCCTTTCTGTGTGGGGGGCTTACCTCATGAATCTGAGTTACTTTTTTTTTTTGAGATGGAGTCTTGCTCCGTTGCCCAGGCTGGAGTGCAGGGGTACGGTCTCGGCTCACTGCAACCTCCGCCTCCCAGGTTCAAGTGATTCTCCTGCCTCAGCCTCCTGAGTAGCTGGGATTACAGGTGTGCGCCACCACGCCCGGCTAATTTTTTTGTATTTTTAGTAGAGATAGGGTTTCACCATGTTGGTCAGGCTGGTCTCGAACTCCTGACCTCGTGATCCACCCGCCTCTGCCTTCCAAAGTGCTGGGATTACAGGTGTGAGCCACTGCGCCCAGCCCTGAGTTACGTTCCAGCCCTGAGTTACGTTTTATGATGGGGGACTCACCTCGAGGGTGTGAGTTTCCTTCTGTGTGATGGGTTCACTTGGGAGTGTGAGTTTCCTTCTGTGTGATGGGTTCACCTGGGGGTGTGAGTTTCCTTCTGTGTGATGGGTTCACCTTGCAAGTCTGAGTTTCCGTCTTTGTGGGTCAGGAAGGGCCGCTTGTCTCCATTCGCAGGCATCCTCACCTCTGGACTGCCGGGCTGGGATCATCTCGAGCCCGCACACTCGTTCGGCGGCAGGGATCCGGGCTGGGATCATCTGGAGCCTGCGCACTCGCTCGGCGGCAGGGATCCTGGCTGGGATCATCTGGAGCCCGCGCACTCGCTCAATGGCAGGGATCCGGGCTGGGCGCTTTCTCTCCACGAAGCTGCTCAGGCTTCCTCGCAGCATGGTGGCTGCAAGAACAAGTGTCCAGGAGAGCCTGCCAGAAGCTGCGTTGCCTTTGACAATGTAGCCCCAGAGCACCGTGTCACGTGGTGTCATGCTGACCCCAGATTTGAGGGGAGGGAGCGCAGACCTCACCTCTCAGTGCTTGAGGGTCGATGGCCATGTGAGGAGGGCAGGCAGGGAGGGACTGTGGCAGGCAACTTAGGGAGCACAGCCCCCCGTGTCCCCTCACACCTCCCTTCTGTCAGTATCCTATTCCTTTCAACGTTCTGACTCTTTTTTTCGGTGGAATTGCCAGATCCTGGTGGTCCCCGTATAAATTCAGAAAGAGTTCCAAGATTGCTTGTTGGGATCAACTCCAGCGGCCTGCGCTTTCTGCTCCGCCTGTTGGCACAGAGGCTTTCAAATGAATTAGCTCACAACACTTCTCGAAAGCCTTGAAAGTGGCTTCTTCTAGGAACCTGGAGAAAGTTAGCCAGCCTCTCAGGCCAGCGCACAGGCCTCTCATTCACATCTGCTCACTGGGTCCAGGCCCTGTGCTAGGTGCGGTGCCCACAAAAGCTCCTGCCCTGAGAATCTGACGTCTCGGTGCAGGATTAAGCGCATAGCGCACCTCTTCCCTGCGCCTCCTCCTCCTCTTGAGAGCGTGCCTCTTCCCTGCGCCTCCTCTTGAGAGCGCGAGGTCTCCTGCAGAGGAAGGTGCCGGCAGCATCGCGGCTGGGCGCTGTTGGTCTGTCTGGAATCCACGCCTTCCTACTGCTGTTTAGATGCAGTTGCACGGGAGAGAGCTTGCTGCCTTCTTCCAAGGTTAAAAAATGTTGAGGCCAAAAAAGATCCTCTCACCTCCTCCGTTTATAGACCAATGCTCGTGGCTCGTGGTTAATTAAAGCCACAGGAATTGCCAGCCTCGGGCCTCTAGTTTCACAGGATTCCCCCACCCCGTCCTCACTCTTGGTGAGAGACCCGGTGTGGCTTTACCTTTCCAGGGAAGCATGAAGCTGGGGGAGTCATGGGGAGGGGTCGGGCATGCGCAGTGGAAGCAGGCGTCAATCAGCCCCCGTCCGAGAGGCGCCTCTCATGCCCCAGCGGGATCCAGGCTCTCAGGAGTGGGCTGGCGTGTACTCACCTGTCGCCCACAGCTGCCTCCCAGGACCCGGCAGTGCTGGCCTCAGGGTCTCGGTGTTTGTGTGTAGATGCTGAGCCTCTCTGTCTTCACGTTTTGGAACAAAGGACTTCTACCTCCAGCTTTTGATCAGCTTCCCTCAAAATCTTTTCTGTTCAGCAGTCAAACGTGAGACAGTATAGACAAGACCAGGAAACAGATGCAATTGTACGTAGGTAGATGCTATGCAGGATGCACAGAAACAGACACACCAAACAGTTTAGAAATGCATCTCGGTCAGATTGGGTGTGGGGAAAACTCGCTGGGCAGGGCGGCGGCTCCAGAGCTGTCCTAATTCACAACTATTTTTAGCATGTGCTTTAGGAGAGAGACATGAAAGGTTCACAGATAGAATTCAGCAGCATATGAAAAGAATTACACAGCCATGGCCGAGCACGTTTGTTCCAATTAGAAAATGAGCAAAATACATGAAAAGACATTTCACTAAGGAGGGTGTACAGACGGCAAAGAACCAGGCGAAAAGATGCTCCTCGCCAGCCTTCAGGGAGCCTGTGTTAAAGCACGGTGCCATCAGAACGGAATGAAAACCGAGACACCCAGTGCTGGCGAGAGGCAGAGAAGCTGGATCCTCATGCATCACTGAGGGTGAGAGACGGCGCAACCACTCTGGAGACTGTTTGGAAGTTCCTGTAAAAACTAAACATGTAACTGTTCTGTGACCCGGCAGTTGCTCTCCTGGGCATTTATCCCAGTGGATTGAAGACGCTGTTCACAGACAAACCTGAACTTGAATGTTCGGGATCGCCAGCACAGGACCTGACTACTGTTACATGCAGTGACTGGAAGCCTGTCCTGGGAGCCGAGGAGCAGTGCGAAAGCCGGGCACAGAAGGCCGCCTCCTGCACGTTCCCGGATCATGCTCTGGAGAGCACAGCCACGGCGTCGGGATAGCACAGCCACGGCGTCGGGATAGCACAGCGGCTGCCGTTGAGGGGCTGCCAGTGGCTGTAAGGGGCGCCTCGGGTGCTCGTGCCCTGGGACATCTGGATCTGGACTCCATCATGTCCCTCTCCTGGTGCGGCGTTGACCTTGGGTCCTCGTGATGTTACCACCAGAGGAAGTGGTGAAGGGCACAGAGGGTCTCTCTACAGTTGTTTCTTACAGCTGCAATGTGAATTCACAATTTTCTCAAAGTAAGTTTAATTAAAAAACAACAACAACAACAAATGCAAACAGAAGCCTCCCCCAAGCACGTCATTAACTGCATTGGTAGAAAAGAATCACTCACTACGCGTAAACGCTACACAAGTTGGAGACAGATCCAGGGGCCTCAGATGCCTCGGTGTGACTTCATCGCTTCAGAGTTAGGAGACTGGCTCACTGATACCACTCTTTGGACCACAGTTACATTTTCACTATTGTCTCCTTGTTGGTCTTGGGTGAGACGGAATCAGCTGCGTCCGCTGGGACTTGTGACCTGGGGCCTGTGCTGTGAGAACGTCTACTCGGGAGGCTCTGCTGGCCCTGGGCCCTCACTTGGGGTGGGTGCTGTTTCCTACGGACGCGCCCAGGTGCCC
Source organism: Homo sapiens (assembly GCF_000001405.40). NCBI lineage: Eukaryota > Metazoa > Chordata > Mammalia > Primates > Hominidae > Homo > Homo sapiens. The sequence continues at coordinate 83,006,009 of NC_000017.11, read as the reverse complement.
TCTCTCCAGCCAGCTCCTCCCACTGCAAGGTGAGTGTGAGCCCTGAAGGACCTGCCCTCCTACCTCTGGATCTCAGGAGCAGAACAGAGCCAGGGCTGAGTGCTGGGAGCCCACTCCGGGGCAGAGGTCAGGCTGGAGGGGGCCGGGCAGGGCGGAGGGCGGGGGAAGGGTTGAGAAAGGCTGAGGCAGGTGATGCTCTGAGGCTCTGCAGGGCCCGGGAGGGGGTCAAGGCTACTGACAGGATGTCACCTGAGGCAGGGGTGCTGGCCTGGATGCCCGGGGAGAGGGTTGTCGGCCCTGGAGGAAGCCAGCTGGTAGCAAGGCTCTTCTCCACTTAGGGACGCTGCTTTCCTGAGCTGAATGGAGCAGGTTCAGACGGGCGGCCTGCGGACAGGCAGCGGTTTCCTCACATCCACTTTGCATGTGATTCAAGAAGTGAGTTCTTAGAAATAACTCACCTTGCATATGGGCCATTTGATTTGAGTTCATTAAGGGGAAATGTCATCTGTGACATATTCTCAATCCAGCCCAGGGCAGCTCTGTGGTTCACCGCCGAGATGCGCGTCCAGGGCCGTCTTCTGTCGTGCCCATCGTTGCTATGCTGTCCCCAAGCAAAAGCAGGCATCCCTCCTCCTCCTCGCCCTCGACTCCCGGTGTTTGCCTGACCCAGATTTGCAGCATTTCAGTTTCCTGTCTGGACATCTCTGCCTAAAACATGTGAGATGAATACACACAGGTGTGCACATGCACCTGCGTACCTGACTTTGTTTTGAGCTCTGTCTGCCGTTGTTTTTCACAGATCATTGGTTGCAGAGTGAGGAGAGATCCCCCTAACTCCACCGAACGATACACACGTTGGATCAACCAGCTGACGCCGGAGCAGCTCCTAACCCAGGTACCTCGCCTGGCGCCTTGTCTGGGGCAGGTGCACAGGTCGCCTCTGGGCGCCATCTCATGCATTATGCTGTGGCCTCTTGTGTCTGCGTCGTCGTGGGCCGTGGTCCTTCTGTCCTCGCCTTCACTCACATGCCATCAATCGCACAGAGTGGAAGATGAGAGTGGCCCCAGCGGACACATGTGCTAGGCTGGTCTCAGGCCGGCAGTTCAGGCTGGTTCAAGTTCTGAGCTGGGAAACCCGACCGCACAGGTCCACTTACACGCGGAGGGCGGGAGGGTGAGCTCAGTAATCCCACACGCAGACCGCAGAGGGCAGGAAGGCGAGCTCAGGAATCCCACACGCGGACTGCGGAGGGTGGGAGGGCGGGCTCAGGAATCCCACACGCGGACTGCAGAGAGTGGGAGGGCGGGCTCAGGAATCCCACACGCGGACTGCGGAGGGTGGGAGGGCGAGCTCAGGAATCCCACACGCGGAGTGCGGAGGGTGGGAGGGCGAGCTCAGGAATCCCACATGCGGACTGCAGAGAGTGGGAGGGCGAGCTCAGGAATCCCACACGCGGACTGCAGAGAGTGGGAGGGCGAGCTCAGGAATCCCACACGCGGAGGGCGGGAGGGCGAGCTCAGGAATCCCACACGCGGACTGCAGAGAGTGGGAGGGCGAGCTCAGGAATCCCACACGCGGAGGGCGGGAGGGCGGGCTCAGGAATCCCACACGCGGACTGCAGAGAGTGGGAGGGCGAGCTCAGGAATCCCACACGCGGAGGGCGGGAGGGCGAGCTCAGGAATCCCACACGCGGACTGCAGAGAGTGGGAGGGCGGGCTCAGGAATCCCACACGCGGAGGGCGGGAGGGCGGGCTCAGGAATCCCACACGCGGACTGCGGAGAGTGGGAGGGCGGGCTCAGGAATCCCACACGCGGAGGGCGGGAGGGCGGGCTCAGGAATCCCACACGCGGACTGCGGAGAGTGGGAGGGCGAGCTCAGGAATCCCACACGCGGAGGGCGGGAGGGCGGGCTCAGGAATCCCACACGCGGACTGCAGAGAGTGGGAGGGCGGGCTCAGGAATCCCACACGCGGAGGGCGGGAGGGCGGGCTCAGGAATCCCACATGCGGAGGGCGGGAGGGCGGGCTCAGGAATCCCACACGCGGACTGCGGAGAGTGGGAGGGCGAGCTCAGGAATCCCACACGCGGAGGGCGGGAGGGCGAGCTCAGGAATCCCACACGCGGACTGCAGAGAGTGGGAGGGCGAGCTCAGGAATCCCACACGCGGACTGCAGAGAGTGGGAGGGTGGGCTCAGGAATCCCACACGCGGACTGCAGAGAGTGGGAGGGCGGGCTCAGGAATCCCACACGCGGAGGGCGGGAGGGCGGGCTCAGGAATCCCACATGCGGAGGGCGGGAGGGCGGGCTCAGGAATCCCACACGCGGACTGCAGAGAGTGGGAGGGCGAGCTCAGGAATCCCACACGCGGACTGCAGAGAGTGGGAGGGTGGGCTCAGGAATCCCACACGCGGACTGCAGAGAGTGGGAGGGCGGGCTCAGGAATCCCACACGCGGACTGCAGAGAGTGGGAGGGCGGGCTCAGGAATCCCACACGCGGACTGCAGAGAGTGGGAGGGCGAGCTCAGGAATCCCACACGCGGAGGGCGGGAGGGCGGGCTCAGGAATCCCACACGCGGACTGCGGAGAGTGGGAGGGCGGGCTCAGGAATCCCACACGCGGACTGCAGAGAGTGGGAGGGCGAGCTCAGGAATCCCACACGCGGAGGGCGGGAGGGCGGGCTCAGGAATCCCACACGCGGACTGCGGAGGGCGGGAGGGCGGGCTCAGGAATCCCACACGCGGAGGGCGGGAGGGCGGGCTCAGGAATCCCACACGCGGACTGCAGAGAGTGGGAGGGCGGGCTCAGGAATCCCACACGCGGAGGGCGGGCTCAGGAATCCCACACGCGGACTGCAGAGAGTGGGAGGGCGAGCTCAGGAATCCCACACGCGGAGGGCGGGAGGGCGGGCTCAGGAATCCCACACGCGGACTGCGGAGAGTGGGAGGGCGGGCTCAGGAATCCCACACGCGGAGGGCGGGAGGGCGGGCTCAGGAATCCCACACGCGGAGGGCGGGAGGGCGGGCTCAGGAATCCCACACGCGGACTGCGGAGAGTGGGAGGGCGGGCTCAGGAATCCCACACGCGGAGGGCGGGAGGGCGGGCTCAGGAATCCCACACGCGGAGGGCGGGCTCAGGAATCCCACACGCGGACTGCAGAGAGTGGGAGGGCGGGCTCAGGAATCCCACAGCTAGTGTTTCAGCGTCTCCGTGTCCCGTGTGCCCCCAGCACGTTCCAAGAGCCAGGCTGCTGCATGCGATGTGGACAACAGGGTGTCCTCGGCAGTGGACTGTGCTTCTGTGAGACTGGACACGGGGCCGCCCGCGGTGCCGCCTCGGGTATGACTGGCTGCCGTCTGAGGGAGGGGACGTGGCCGTTGCCACATGGGTGGCTTGTCCCTGCCATCCTCTGTGGGGCCCTTGGCTGCCCCTGGGGGAGGCAGAGACCATCTTGTGGTCATGTCATGACAGCCCTTCCCTGTACGAGCTAGCGGCCGAGGGCGCGTGTCCTGGTGACTAGGCTGCACACTGTGAGTGAGTTGCTGTGCTTTTCAGTGAAGTTGTGAAAATACTTAAAACGGGAACTCAGGCAGACTGTGGCTACTTTTCTAAGTAACGTGCACCTCGTGCAAACCGGAATGCGGTTCGGCGTTGCCAAGCTGGTTCTGAACTGCAGCAGTCTGGACACATGTTGAGTTTCAGCCCAGCTCCAGACCGCGGTCAGAGCGCTGTCACCGAGAGCGGGTTCCCCGGAGGCCATGGCTGAGCTGCCCCGTGGGGGCAGGCTTTCTCCTGAGTGTTAGCTTTGATGCCCATAGAAGAGTTTTTTATTTTCATGTTTTTTAATTAAAATGAATCAATGTTCTTTTATCAGTTACATACTGTATTCACTTAAAACAATTTTAAAATAGACCTTCATGCCAGTATAGTGTGGGAAATTTAAAAAAAAAAAAAAGGCGCAGTGGCTCACGCCTATAATCCCAGCACTTTGAGAGGCTGAAGCAGGAGGATCACTTGAGCCTGGGGATTTAAGACCAGTCTGCGCAATATAGTGAGACCCTGTCTCTACGAAACATTATCTGGGTGTGGTGGTTCACACCTTTAGTCCCAGTTTCTCGGGAGGCTGAGGTGGGAGGATCACCTGAGCCCAGGAGGTCAAGGCCACCATGAGCCATGATTGTACCACTGCCCTCCAGCCTGGGCAACAGACCCTGTCTCAAAAAAAGAAAAAGAAAAACTTTATTGCATTTGTCAAAAGTTATGCTTCACTGTTTCATAAAGTCAAGCAATATAAAAAATTACAGAGAAAAAACGATGTTACTGCAAACCCACCACTTGTTCCTCTCAGATGTCTCTGTGTGCAGGTCACACACCCAGCACCTAGAGGGGCTCCCGTCCCCCACCCCGCCCGCCCCTCTGCTTTCTGTGACCATAGACTGGTTTACGTTTGCTGGAATTTTACGTAAATGGAGTCCTACACCCTGTGTTGACTTGAAGGATGCCGAAGTGTTCCTTCCTGGGACTTTCTGTTTCATAAAGTTCTGTTTTTCTCCTCCTTGTCCACTTTCTCATCTTCTTCCTTTTTTCTTCACAGTTTCTGGTTTGAATTGAGATCTAAAGAAGGTGCATACATTGCAGTTGTTGATAAATCCCTTTAAATATCCAGATTCCTCCGTCTTCCTTTTCCTTGACTATGTTGTGGACGATGTTGAATGATTTGCCATCGGTGCTTTCAGTAGTCCGACTTCTGCTGATTGCATCTCCCTGGTCTCATTTAACAGATTCCTCTGTCCCTGGAGTTCCTGCAAAGTAGTACTTAGAGCTAGAGGCTTTATGGGATTTACAGTGATTTGTCCATTTGTCTTGTTGATGTATACCTTTGTTGATGTATAGCTTTGTTGATGTATAACTGACATACAGCAAATGGCCCCTATTTCAAATGTACAGTTTGATCGGTTTTGACATGTGTCTGTACCCCAGTGACCCACCACAGTCAACACAGTGAACACATATATCCAACACCCCAAGTTTCCTCCTGTCCATCCCGGAGCCCTCCCCACACCATGCAACCATGACCCACTTTCTGCCTGCACAGCAGTTTTACATTTGCTGGAGGCTCAGGTAAATGCAGTCATGTGCTGTGTGCTTCACTGGTCTGGCCACCTTCACTCAGCATAATTACTGTGGGTCCAGATGCGTGGCTCGCTCACAGCAGTGGTGACCCTCGAACAGTGTGTTGGAACTGCACAGCCTACGTACACTTGGGTTTTTCTCAGCAAGTGTATTGGAGAGGTTTTTGGAGATGTGTAACAATTTGGAAAAGCTTTCAGACAAACAGCATGGCCTAGGAATACTGAAAACACTAACAAAAAGATGTGTCATGAGTACATAAAATATATAGTGATGCTAGTGTTTTTAAATCATGTAATACCAAAAATTATACACAAATCTATTATAAAAAGTTAAAATTTATCAAAACTTAACATGCATACAAACACTTATAGACCACATATGGGGTCTTTCACAGTTTAGAGAAATTAAACAAATGTAGGGATGCAGAAATGAATCACAACTGCACAAAACTCACTGCAGTGCGTGCTGCACGACTGATGTTTTACAAACCCCTCCTGCCGGCACAGCCGCGAGCTCAGGTGCTGTGAGTGCTTAAAACGCTGGGTGAGGCTGATCATCTCCGCAAGCACAGCTCCTCCCTCCAGTAAATCACAAATCACAGTAAAAAAGTGATCTCTCGGCCAGGCGCAGTGGCTCATGCCTGTAATCCCAGCGCTTTCGGAGGCCAAGGCAGGTGGATCATGAGGTCAGGAGTTCGAGACCAGCCTGGCCAAGATGGTGAAACCCCGTCCCTACTAAAAATACAAAAATTAGCCAGGCACAGTGACAGGTGCCTGTAATCCCAGCTACATGGGAGGCTGAGGCAGGAGAATCGCTTGAACCCAGGTGGCAGAGGTTGCAGTGAGCTGAGATCGCGCCACTGCACTCTAGCCTGGGCGACAGAGCGAGACTCCATCTCAAAAAAACAAAACAAAACAAAAAACAACAACAAAAAAAACCAGTGACCTCTCACAGTTTTCACACAGTTTTAATCATGTTTAAGGCGATCCTATAAACCTTGAGTGACACCCTAGGACCCATACACAGTGCCACTGGTAATGCTGGAGGTGCTCCCAAAAAGCAGAGAAAAGTCATGACATTACAAGAAAAAGCTGAATTCCTTGCTATGTACTGTAGACTGAGGGCTGCAGCTGTGGTCATTTCAGACAGATGATTCTTGTAAACAGACTACGTGAACTTAGGGTATCAATAAATACAGTACAGTACCATAAATGTATTTTCTCTTCCTTATGATTTTCTTAATAAGCTTTTCTTTCCTCTAGCTTACTTTATTGTAAAAATACAGCATATAGTACATATAACATACAAAATATGTGTTAACCGACCGTTGATGTTATCGGTAAGGCTTCCCATCAACAGGAAGGCATTAGTGGTTAAATTTTCGGGGAGTTAAAACTTATACATGGATTTTCAACTGTGCAGGGGGTCAGCACCCCTAACCCCCACATTGTTCAGGGGTCAGCTGTGTTCTGTGGTGTGGATGTACAATTTGTTTACCCACTTAGCTGTAGATGGACATTTGAGTTGTTCCAGTTCCTTGCACATTTGTGTACAAGCCTTTGTGCATGACAGTGAACATATGTACAAGCCTTTGTGTGTGCATGACAGTGAACATATGTACAAGCCTTTGTGTGTGCATGACAGTGAACATATGTACAAGCCTTTGTGCATGACAGTGAACATATGTACAAGCCTTTGTGTGTGCATGACAGTGAATATATGTCCAGCCTTTTCTCTTGGGAAAATACTTAGAAGTGGAAGGGCTGGTTCATATGGTAGGGATGTGTTTCACTTTTAAAGAAACTGCCAAAGTGCTTTCCAAATTGGTTGCACCATTTTACATTCTCAAGCCATGTATGAGAATTCAGTTCTTCCATGTCCTTGCCAACTCTTGATATGATCTTTTTTTTTTTTTAATTTTAGCTAATCTAGTAGGTATGTAGTGGTATCTCGTGGTGATTTTAGTTTGCATTTCTCAAATGGGTAATAATGTGAAACATCTTTTCGTAGATGTATTTGCCATCCGTGTATCTTCTTTGGTAAAGTGTCTGTTCACATCCTTTGCCCATTTTTGTGTTGAATTGTTTGCATTCTTATTGTTGAATTTTAAGAGTTGTTTATATATTCCAGACACAAGTCCTTTGTCAGACTTTGTAAATATGTTTTCTGAGTCAGTGGCTTGTCTTTTCATTCTTTTAACAATGTCTTTCAAAGAGTAGAAGTTGTAATTTTTGGGCCAGGCATGGTGGCTCACGCCTGTAATCCCAGCACTTTGGGAGGCCAAGGTGGGTGGATCATGAGGTCAGGCAGTTGAGACCATCCTGGCTGACACAGTGACACCCCATCTCTACTAAAAATACAAAAAATTAGCCAGGCATGGTGGTGGGCGCCTGTAGTCCCAGCTACTCAGGAGGCTGAGGCAGGAGAATGGCATGAACCCGGGAGGCAGAGCTTGCAGTGAGCCGAGATTGTGCCACTGCACTCCAGCCTGGGAGACAGAGTGAAACTCCGTCTCAAAACAAAACAAAACAAACAAAGTTGTAATTTTTGATGAAATTCAATTTATCTATTTTCCTTTTATGGACATGCTTTTTTAGATTTAAAATTTTTTTAAATTATTGTGGGTACATAGTAAGTACGTATATTTATGGATTATGTGAGATATTTGCATATAGGCATGCAGTGCATGATAATCACATCAGGGTAAATGGGGTATCCGTCACTTCACCTCAAGCATTTATCCTTTGTGTTACAAACAATACAACTATATTCTTTTAGTTATTTTTAAGTGTAGAGTTAAACTAATTTTGACTATAGTCACCCTGTTGTGCCAGCAAATTCTAGGTCTTATTCATTCTTTGTAACTATATATATCTAGATATATATCTATATATAGATATAGATAGATAGATAGATCTAGATAGATATAGATATATATATATATATATTTTTTTTTTTAAACCCATTAACCTTCCCTACTTCCCTCCCACCACCCACTACTCTTCCCAGCCTCTGGTAACCATCCTTTTATTCTCTATCTCCATGAGGTCAATTGTTTGAATGTTTAGCTCCCACAAATAAGCGAGAACATGTGAAGTTTGTCTTTCTGTGTCTGGCTTATTTCACTTAACATAATGACCCCCCAGTGCCGTCTATGTTGTTGCAAATGCCAGGATCTCATTCATACACTTCATTGTGTGTATGTACCACATTTCTTTATTCATTCATGTGATGATAGACATTTAGATTGTTTCCAAATCTTGGCTATTGTGAATAGTGCTGCAGTGAATACGTGAGTGCAGGCAACTCTTTGATATACTGATTTCCTTTCTTTTGAGCATATACCCAGGAGAGGGATTGCTGGATCATACAGTGGCTCTATTTTTAGTTTTTTGAGGAACCTCCAAACTGTTCTCCATAGTGGTTGTACTAATTTACATTCCCACCGACATTGTACAGGGGTTCCCTTTTCTTCACATCTTCACCAGCATTTGTTATGGACTGATTTTTTGGATAAAAGCCATTTTAACTGGAATGAGAAAAATTGTATGTTTTATTTGCATTTCTCTGATGATCAGTGATGTTGAGCACCTTTTCATGTGCCTGTTTGCTATTTGTCTTCTTTTGAGAAGTGTCTGTTCAGATCTTTTGCCCACATTTAATCGGATTATTCTATTTTTCCTAGAGTTGTTTGAGCTCTGTATATGTTCTGGTTATTAATCCCTTGTCAGATGGGTAATTTACAAATATTTTCTCCCATTCTGTGGGTTGTCTCTTCACTTTGTTGATAGTTTCCTTTGCTGTACAGAAGCTTTTTAACTTGATGTGATCCCGTCTGCCCATTTTTGCTTTGGTTGCCTGTGCTTGTGGGGTCTTACTCAAGAAATCGTTGCCCAGTCCAATGTCCTAGAGAATTTCCCCAATGTTTTCTTTCAGTAGTTTCATAGTTTGAAGTCTTAAATGTAAGTCTTTAATCCATTTTGATTTGATTTTTGCATATGGTGAAAGATAGGGGTCTAATTTCATTCTTTTGCATATGGATATCCAGTTTTCCCAACACCATTTATTGAAGAGACCATCTCTTCCCCAATGTAAGTTCTTGGCATGTTTGTCAAAAATGAGTTCACTGTAGATATATTGATTTATCTATGGGTTCTCTATTCTGTTCCACGGATCTATGTGTCTGTTTTTATGCAAGTACCATGCTGTTTTGATTGCTATAGCTCTGTAGTCTAAGTCAGGTAATGTGATTCCTCCAATTTTGTTCCTCTTGCTTAGGATAGCTGGGGCTATTCTGGTTCTTCTGTGGTTTCATATAAATTTTAGGGTTGTGTTTTCTATTTTTTTTTTTTTTTTTGAGGCAGAGTCTCGCTCTGTCATCCAGGCTGGAGTGCAGTCGCGCGTTCTCGGCTCACTGCAACCTCTGCCTCCAGGGTTCGAGTGATTCTCCTGCCTCAGCTTGCTGAGCAGCTGGGACTACAGGTGCGCACCACCATACCCAGCTAATTTTGTATTTTTAATGGAGAGGGGGTTTCACCATATTGGCCAGGGCTGGTCTCAAACTCCTGACCTCATGATCCACCTGCCTTGGCCTCCCAAAGTGCTGGGATTACAGGCATGAGCCACTGCACCCAGCCTGTGTTTTCTGTTTTTGTGAAGAATGCCATTGGTATTTTGATAGGGATTGCATTAAATCTATAGATTGCTTTGGGTAGTATAGATATTTTAACAATAGTCGTTCTTCGAATCCGTGAACCTGGAATATCTTTCCATTTTTTTGGTGCCTTCTTTAATTTCTTGCATCAGTGTTTTATAGTTTTCATCATAGAGATCTTTCACTCCTTTGGTTGAGTTAATTCCTTGGTAATTTTATTTTAGTTATCACTGTTGTAAATGAGATTACTCTTCTTTAATTTCTTGCATCAGTGTTTTATAGTTTTCATCGTAGAGATCTTTCACTCCTTTGGTTGAGTTAATTCCTAGGCATTTTATTTTAGTTATCACTATTGTAAATGAGATTACTCTTCTTTAATTTCTTGCATCAGTGTTTTATAGTTTTCATTGTAGAGATCTTTCACTCTTTTATTTTAGTTAATTCCTAGATATTTTATTTTATTTGTAGCTATTGTAAATGAGATTACTTTCTTGATTTCTTTTTCAAATTGTTCACTGTTGGCATATAGAAATGCTACTGATGGCCGGACATAGTGGCTCACATCTATAATCCCAGCACTTTGGGAGGGCGAGGTGGGTGGATCATGAGGTCAGGAGATCGAGACCCATCCTGGTTAACATAGCGAAACCCCGTCTCTACTTAAAATATACAAAATTAGCCAGGCGTGGTGGCACATGCCTGTAATCCCAGCTACTTGGGAGGCTGAGGCAGGAGAATTGCTTGAACCCGGGAAGCAGAGGTTGCAGTGAGCCAAGATCATGCCACTGCACTCCAGCCTGGGTGACAGGGTGAGACTCCATCTCAAAAAAAAAAAAAAAGAAAAAGAAATGCTACTGACTTTTGTATGTTGATTTTGTATCCTGAAACTTTGCTGAGTTTGTTTATCAGGTCTAATAGTTGTTTGGTGGAGTCTTTAGGTTTTTTTAAAATATAAGATTATATCATCTGCAAACATGGAGAATTTGACTTCTTCCTTTCCAATTTGGATGCCCTTTATTTCTCTTGCCTGATTGCTTTAGCTAGGACTTTCAGTACAATGTTGAATAACAGTGGTGACAGTAGGCATGCTTGTCATGTTCCCAATCTCAGAGGAAAGGCTTTCAGTTTTTCTTCATTCAATATGATACTAATTGTGGATCTTTTGTATATGGCTTTTATTATGTTAAGGGATGTTCCTTCTATACCTTGCTTTTTAGGATTTTTAATCATGAAGAGATGTTGAATGTTATCAAATGCTTTTTCAGCATGAATTGAATTGATCATATGGTTTTTGTGTCTATTCTGTTGACATGATGTATCACATTAATTGATTTGCATATGTTGAACTATCCTTGCATCCCTGGAATAAATCCCACTTGGTCGTGATGAATGATCTTTTTAATGTGTTGTTGAATTCGGTTTGCTAGTACTTTGTTGAGGATTTCAGTGGTTACAGTGATATTGGCCTATAGTTTTAATTTTTTTATGTGTCTTTGTCTGGTTTTGGTATCAGGGTAAAATTGGTCTTGTAGAGTGAGTTTGGAAGTATTCCTTCCTCCTCTATTTTTTGGAATAATTTGGGTAGGATTGGTATTAGTTCTTTAAATGTTTGGTAGATTTCAGCAGTGAAGCCATTGGGTCCCAGGCTTTTCTTTGCTAGGAGACTTTGTATTATGACTTTGACCCTGTTACTTGTTATTGATCTATTTAGGTTTTGGATTTTTTCATGGTTCAGTCTTGGTAGGCTGTATGTGTCTAGGAATTTTGATTTTTTTTCCTAGATTTTCTAGATCTCTTCCCCTAGATTTATTTCTAATTTTTCTAAATTTTTCCCTTAGATTTTCCAATTTATTGGTGTATACTTGCTCATACTAGCCACTAATTTCTTTGAATTTCTCCAGTATCAGTTGTAATGTCTCTCTTTTCATCCCTGATTTTATTTGGGTGTTCTCTCTTTTTTTGTTAGTCTGGCTAAAAGTTTATCAATTTTGTTTATCTTTTCAAAGAACCAACTTTTTGTTTCATTGATCTTTTGTATTTTCTTTATGTTGAATTCATTTATTTCTGCTCTGATTTTTGTTATTTATTTTCTTCTACTAATTTTGGGTTTGTTGCTTTTCTAGTTGCTTAAGATGCATTGTTAGGTTGTTTATTTGAAGGTTTTCTTCTTTTTTGATGTAGACACTTATAACTATTTAAAACTTCCTTCTTAGTACTGTTTTTGCTATATCCTATAGGTTTTGGTATGTTGTGTTTCCATTATCATTTGTTTCAAGAAATGTTTTAAGTTCCTTCTTACTTTCTTCATTGACCCACTTGTCATTCAGGAGCATATTGTTAAATTACCATTGTTTGTATAGTTTCCAAAATTCCTCTTATTGATTTCTAGTTTTAGTCCATTAAATAAAACTAGATATTTTAGTAGTCAGAGGAGATGCTTGATATTATTTCAGGTGTTTTTTTTTTTAATGTTGTAAGACTTGTTTTGTGACCTAACAAATGATCTGTCCTTGAGGATGATCCATGTGCTGCGGAAAAGAATGTGTACTCCGCAGCCAATGGAGGAAATATTTTGTAAATATCTATTAGGTCCATTTGGTCTGTAGCACAGATTAAGTCCAATGTTTCTTGTTGATTTTCTGTCTGGAAAATCTGTTCAGTGCTGAAAATTGAAGGTGTTGAAGAGGGTGTTGAAGTCTCCAGATGTTATTATATTGAGGGTCTATCTCTTTAGCTTTAATAATATTTTGCTTTATATATCTGGGTGCTACAATATTGGGTGCATATATATTTATGACTGTTATATTCTCTTGAGTTGACCTTTTTATCATCATATGGTGACCTTCTTTGTCTCATAATTTTTTTCTTTAAATCTATTTCATCTGAGATAGACCCTCAATATAAGTATAGCTACTCCTGCTCTTTTCTGGTTCCATTGGCATGGAGTATGTTTTTCCACTGCTTTATTTTAAGCCTGTTTCTTTAGAAGCCAGGTGTGTTTCTTGTAGGCAACAGATCATTGGGTCTTGTTTTTTAATCCATTCAGCCACTCTATGTCTTTTGATTGGAGAATTTAATCCACTTACATTTAATGTTACTATTGATAAATAAGGACTTACTCCTGCCATTTTGTTATTTGTTTTCTGGTTGTATTTTGGTATTCTCCTCTTCCTTTCCTTCCTTCATGTCTTCCTTTTAGTGAAGGTGATTTTCTCTGGCAATATGATTTGATTTCTTGCTTTTTATGGTTTGTGTATTCATTGTATATTTTTTATTTGAGGTTACCACCAGGCTTACAAATATTATCTTATTACCCATTATTTTAAGCTAATAACAACTTAATACTATTTGCATAAACAAACATGCAAGCAAAAAGAAAACTAATAAAAACTCTATACCTTAACTTTGTCCCCCACTTTTTAACTTTTTGTTGTTTCTATTTATATCTTATTGTACTATCTGTTGAAAAGTTATTATAGTTATTCTTTTTGATTGGTTCATTGTTCAGTCTTTCACTTAAGAGTAGTTTACACACCACAGTTACAGCATTATAATACTTTGTGTTTTTCTGTGTACTCATATTAGCAGTGAGTTTTGTACCTTCAGGTGATTTCTTTTTGCTCATTAATATCCCTTTCTTTCTGATTAAAGTACTCTCTTTAGCATTTCTTGTAGGACAGGTCTGGTGTTGATAATATCCCTCAGCTTTTGTTTGTCTGGGAAAGTCTTTATCTCTCCTTCATGTTTGAAGGATATTTTCATTGGATATACTATTCTAGTGTAAAAGTTTTTTCCTTCAGCACGTTACATATGTCATGCCATCCTCTCCTAGGCATGAAAGACTGACCTGTAAAGTTTCTACCGAAAAGTCTGCTGCCAGACATATTGCAGCTCCATTGTGTTATTTGTTTCTTTTCTCTTGCTGCTTGTAGGGTCCTTTCTTTATCCTTGACCTTCAGGAGTTTGATTATTAAATGCCTTGAGGTAGTCTTCTTTGGGTTAAATCTGCTTGGTGTTCTATAACCTCTTTATTCTTGGATATTGATAGCTTTCTCTAGGTTTGGGAAGTTATTATCCCTTTGAATAAATTTTCTACCCCTATCTCTCTACCTCCTTTTTAGGGCCAATAACTCTTAGATTTGCCCTTTTGAGGTGATTTTCTAGATATTGTAGGCATGCTTCATTATTGTTTATTCTTTTTTATTTTGTCTTCTCTGACTATGTATTTTCAAATAGCCTTTCTTCAAGCTCACTAATTCTTCTGCTTGATCAATTCTGCTATTAAAAAGTTCTGATTCATTCTTTAGTATGTCAACTGCATTTTTCAGCTCCAGAATTTCTGCTTCTTTTTAATTATTTTAATCTCTTTGTTAATTTTTTTAAATAGAATTCCGAATACCTTCTGTGTTATCTTGAATTTCTCTGAGTTTCCTCAGAACAACTACTTTGAATTCTCTGACTGAAAGGTCACATATCTCTGTTTCTCCAGGATTGGTCCCTGGTGCCTCATTTAGTTCATTTGGTAAGGTCATGTTTTCCAGGATGGTCTTGATGCTTATGGATGTTCATCTGTGTCTGGGCATTGCAGAGATAGGTATTTGTCATATAGTCTTTGCAGTCTATGTTTGTTCGTACCTGTCCTTCTTGGAAAGGCTTTCCAGGTAGTCAGTAGGACTTGAGTGTTGCGATCTAAGCTGCATCTGCATTCCACTTGGCTGGGGAGGCCTCACAATCATGGCAGAAGGCAAGGAGGACCAAGCTTACGTGGATGGCGACAGGCAAAGAGAGAATGAGAGAGAAGCGAAATCGGAAACCCCATGTAAAACCATCAGATCTTGTGAGACTTATTCACTACCATGAGAACAGTATGGGGGAAACTGCCCTCATGATTCAGTTATCTCCCACTGGGTCCTTCCCACAACACGTGGGAATTATGGGAGTACAATTCAAGATGAGATTTGGGTAGGGACACAGCCAAACCATATCAGCCACCTTGCTCCCCACTCCCCGCCCATGGATGTGGTTTTGATGTTGTATCTAAGAAATCTTTGGCTAACCCAGTTCACAAAAGTTTTCCTCCTGTTTTCTTCTAAAAAGTGTATAGTTTTGGGTTTTACATACAGATCTACAATCCATTTTTTAGTTAATTTTCATCTACGATCTGGATTATTATCTTAATCAGCTCAGGCTGCCATAACAAAATGCCAGAGGCTAGGTGGCTTAAACAACAGAATTTATTTTCTCACAATTCTGGAAGCTGGAAAGTCTTAGATCAAGACCTGGCAGGGCTTGCTTTCTGATGTGGCTCTTCCTGGCTTGCAGACACCCACCTTTTCTCTGAACCCTGATATGGCAGAGACAGAGGGAGAGAGAGCAGGCTCTGTGGTGTCTCTTATTATAAAGACACTGATCCCAGTAGAGCCCCACCCTCACGTGAAATCTAATCATCTCCCAGAGGCCCCATTTCCACAATACCTCAAATAGGGGGTTAGGGCTTCAACCAGTGCCTGTCACAGTCCTGGAAGACAGAATCTCCAGTGCTGTAATTCTGAAATTTGAAATCCCTAAAGATCAAAATCCCCAAATCTAAAATTCCTAGCATCTAACTGAATCCCCAAACTATAATGATGGATTTGGAATTAGGTGCCATCAAGTCTTCTGTAAGTGAATTTCAAGTTGTTACCAATAAAGTTTGTTTTTTCCATTCAGTCCAATGCATTTGGTGCAAAATCCAGATGAGTGGCTTGGCCACGTGATATGGCAGTGACAGAAACTTCCGTTTAAAAATGAGTTGAGTCTCTTGCCTACGATGGCGAGTCTCTTGCCTGTGTTGGCGTTCCTGCTGATGACACTGCCTGCGTTGGCGTTCCTCCCAGCTGATCACACACTGAGAGCTTTTAGGGAATCATGGCCACATTTGCCCAAAGAAACCAGCAAAGTGACTGACTGCTTCAAAATAATTGTGTGTATAGTAGGATAAGAAGACACTTACACAACAGTGTTCTGTTCCATCACCAGTATGGTTTGTATTAAACCTGGGGTCTGTACAAGAGGGCATGCAGAATGCATATCCACGTACCCAGAACAACACAGAAGCACAGCATGGAAGACGGGAAAATGTAAGGAGAAGGCTTATCCTGGTGTGTGTCAAATCACAGAGGAGTTTCAAAAAGAGCAGTGCCGCAGAGAAGATGAATGTGAGCTCATTCTCCAAGGAAGCCATGTCTTAAAAGAAAGCGGTTATCCATTGTGATGCAAACCTTCAAAATACACTTAATGATTGTGAAAGTCAGCCAGCTCTTAGGGACTGTTTCTGTGCAATTGCCCGTAATATACTCCTGTGGTATACTTTTTCATAAATCAGATTTTCTGTTTAGTTTTTTATTGTTTGTAATTTTTTCTATTTTTGTTTGTTTTTTCTATTTTAAATTGTCAGCATTATGTTTTACAATCACTATGCTTGTGTTTCACCTTTGCATCATTTCTTTTACAGAGCTGTAATTCATTTATGCATCTTTTTGCAAATTCGACTCCACAAAGGTGCACTATCAACAATGTTGACTTTGTAAGCATTGTGCATGTCCGTAAAAACGTTGAAACTTCCTTAGTAAATGAAAAGATGTCCTTTTTGTACATCTGCATTTATGAAAGATGAAATTTCTTGAGATCTTGGCTTTTGGGGTGAATGTGTATGTGGTGGTAACCATCTTTTTTTTTTTTTTTTTTTTTAGTTCCAGAATACATGTGCAGAATGGGGGGTACATTTGTTACATAGGCAAACCTGTGCCATGGTGGTTTGCTGCACCCATCAACCCACCACCTAGGTATTAAGCCCTGCATGCATTAGCTATTTTTCCTGATGCCCTCCCTTCCCCCACCTCCACAACAGGCCGTAGTGTGTGTTGTTCCCCCCGTGTCCATATGTTCTCATTGTTCAGCTCCCACTTATGAGTGAGAACATGCAGTGTTTGGGTTTCTGTTCCTGTTTTGGTTTGCTGAGGATAATGGCTTCCACCTCCATCTATGTCCCTGCAAAGTACATGATCTCATTCATTTTTATGACTACATAATATTCCATGGTATACCACATTTTCTTTATCCAGTCTATCATTGATGGGCATTTGGGTTGATTACATGTCTTTGCTATTGTGAATGGTGCTGCAGTGAACATACGCGTGCATGTACCTTTATAATAGAATGATCTGTATTCCTTTGGGTATGTACCAGTAGTAGGATTGCTGGGTCAAATGGCATTTCTGGTTGTAGATCCTTGAGGAATCACCACACTGTCTTACACAATGGTTGGACTAATTTACATTCCCACCAACAGTGTAAAAGCATCCCTACTTCTCCACAGCCTTGCCAGCATCTGTTGTTTCTTGATTTTTAAAAAATCGCCATTCTGACTGGCTTGAGGTGGTATCTCATTGTGGTTTTGGTTTTCAATTCTCTGATGATCAGTGATGTTGAGCTTTTTATCATATGTTTGTTGCTGCCTAAATGTCTTCTTTTGAGAAGTGTCTGTTCATGTCCTTTGCCCACTTTTTGATGGGTTGTTTGTTTTTTCTTGTAAAGTTAAGTTCCTTGTAGATTCCAGATATTAGACCTTTGTCAGATGGACAGATTGCAAAAATTTTCCCCCATTCCATAGCTTGTCTGTTCACTCTGATGGTGTAGTTTCTTTTGCTGTGCAGAAGCTCTTTAGTTTAATTAGGTCCCATTTGTCAATTTTGCTTTTGTTGTAATTGCTTTTGATGTTTTTGTCATGTAATATTTTCCCATGCCTATGTCCCGAATGGTATTGCCTAGAGTTTCTTGTAGGGTTTTTGTAGTTTTGGGTTTTACGTTTAAGTCTTTAATCCATCTTGAGTTAATTTTTGTATAAGGTGTAAAGAAGGGCTCCAGTTTCAGTTTTCTGCATATGGCTAGCCAGTTTTCCCTGCACCATTTATTAAACAGGGAATCCTTTCCCCATTACTTGTTTTTGTCAGGTTTGTCGAAGCTCTGTTTGCAGACAACATGATCCTATATTTAGAAAACTTCATCATCTTAGCCCAAAAGCTCCTTAAGCTGATAAGCAACTTCAGCAAAGTCTCAGGATACAAAATCAATGTGCAAAAATCACAAGCATTCCTATACACCAACAGTAGACAAGCAGAGAGCTAAATCATGAATGAACTTCCATTCACAATTGCTACAAAGAGAATAAAATACCTAGGAATACAGCTAACAAGGGAGGTGAAGGACCTCTTCAAGGAGAACTACAAACCACTGCTCAAGGAAATAAGAGAGGACACAAACAAATGGAAAAATATTCCATGCTCATGGATAGGAAGAATCAATATCGTGAAAATGGCCATACTGCCCAAAGTAACTTATAGATTCAATGCTATTCCCATTAAATTACCATTGACATTCCTCACAGAATTAGAAAAAACTACTTTAAAATTCATGTAGAACTGAAAAAGAGCCTGTATAACCAAGACAGTCCTAAGCAAAAAGAACAAAGCTGGAGACATCACACTCCCTGACTTCAAACTATACTACAAGTCTACAGTAACCAAAACAGCATGGTACTGGTACAAAAACAGACACATAGGCCAACAGAACAGAATAGAGATCTCAGAAATAAAACCACACATATACAACCATCATGGTTTTTGATGGATCTTGTCCAAAGACTTAGGTTGTCCAACAGAATATTTCAGATGACAGGAGCTATTTCTTTATGAATACGGTTCATCTGCTCATTAACCGTTATACCCATGTGACTGTCATTAGTGTACTTGAGTGTTTATGCTTGTAAAAATGTGTGTGTTAGTATTGTCTGTTTTATTGTGTAAAGTGGCCTATGAAGCATGCTGTCATGTTTTTGTACATTTCTCAAATAAGTCTTCTTTTTAAAATTGTAAGCAAATGTCTTTCAAATCATTATTTATTTTTTCCTTTTTCTCGCTAACATTTGAGATAAAGAATTTTTTAAATTTTTATGGACACATAGTAGGTGTATATAATTATGGAGCACATGAGATATTTTGATAAAGGCATGCAAAGTGTAATAACTATATTAGGGTAAATGGGGTAAAGAATTTTTAAAATTATTTTTTCAAGAACTACATTTTTCAGGATTGTGATTTGGGGGATTTTAGACTTTAGGGATTTTGATCTTTCAGGATTTCAACATCCTGGATTATGGTGTTCGAGACTGTGTCAGCCCCACTCCAGGGCAGGAGAAAGGCACTCTGCCTCGTGGGGGTATGGTCAGGTTAGTGGGACAGGGAGGAGCGGGGGCAGCCAGCTGCACACCTCAGTCCAAGAGGAGAAAGGTGCTCTGCACCCCATGAGGGGTGCCAGGACGTCCACCTCTAATAGCGAGGTTGTGGGAGTAATACGCCCCAACATTACGGATTTCTTGTGATCGCACCATGTAATGAAATGCTTTCTGAATTTTGAAAATGTAATTTTGATCTGCAGTAAAACTGAAACCTTAGTATAAGGATCACTGGCTTCTAACGTTGGTGCTGTTTATGATGACGGCATCAACTATTCCATTAAGTGAGTTCACAGTGATCAGGGTTCCTTGATGAGCTTTGCTTTCCGCATCAAATCTGCTTCACCAGCTTTCAAGTTCTATTCCATAACATCCTGTGTCACGCGGAAAAGCGGGGGAAGAAAAAGACCTTCTTCCATTTAGATTTACTTTTTACATTTGGAGAAGATGAATATTCCATTGATGGCCTCTTACAGGTACCAGTGGTTAAAGCGTGGGGAAGCGAATTTGTTTTCCTGCTTTTAAAGCGATTTCCTTACTTCCAGCCCAGCTTGTGGGTATAGCCTGTCCTCTCCCAACACACCTGGCATTGCACGGGAGCCTCCAGCCAGCAGCGTATGGTGGGGGCGGAGGGGCGTGGAGGTGCCTGCCAGATGTTGACGATTACCAAGGAACAGAGGCTGCTCTGTGGCCACGGGGTCGGGCTGCCGCAGAGCAGCTATTTCCTGTCTGCACCGGCGGCAGCAAGCCCAAACTGTGGGCTGCAGCCGAGTTCACGGGCACAAAGTCACCTTTGTGAGTGTCTGGTGCAGCTTCCTGGCTGGGAAGCGGAGAGGGTCCCCCACGTTGAAAGGGTGTGCAGAGTCCCTCGCCCTGAGCTCCTGGCCCGGTGTCAGGTTTCTGAGCAGGGCTCCTGAAGACAGCATGAGGGCTTTGATCCCAGGCACTCAGCACTTGGAGTGCACAGAGAACAGGCCCGGACCCTCCTGAGGAGCCCTCCTGGGTCCTCCCATCACCAGAGTTCAGAGATTCTGGGATGTGCCACTTCTTCAGGGACACACACTTTCCTGGAATACACGATGATTTTTAATGCTTTTCTTAAAGAATGCCAGCTGTCTCACGGGGCAGGGAAATGGAAAACCTCGTAAGGCCTCTCTTCTTCTTAACTGGGAAGTAAAAATTCCATATTCATTGTGGAAGCTTTTGGCCTCCGATCAACCCTGGGCTCCTGATTTTGGTTTTCCTCTTTGGAGATTCAGTCCCGCGTATTAGGGCAGTGGGAGGCGTGGGGTCGCCGCAGCCTCAGGACCTGCTGAGCACGGGCTTCTGCTGCTTTTGATTCTTGGGTAGCAGGAGTCACGTGAAAACGGTGCCACTAAACACCAAGGATGTAATTGAAGTGGAGGAGGCACAGTTTGAACCAGAAATTCATGTTCCGAATCGAGGGGTAACATGAAGACCCAGTCATAACAAATAAATCAGGTAGGTCCTCTTAGATAGAATTTTCCTTTAGCAAGTTAGTGGGAATTAACGTGTGAAGTTCAAAGAAGAGATCTCATTTAAACCATTTCTCAGCTGTTACATTAACAGAAATCACTTCCAACTATTTTAATAAGGTAACTCAGCCACCAAGTCAAGTTTTATGTTCATTGTCTGAGTCACATTTGTGATGTGGGAAGTGGCATATTTTGATTTGACTTTTGATGTGTCTGTTTGACATGCCTGATGGGATAGTCACCACATACAACGTTAAATCAGAGCTGTGTAAAATTAACACTGCTAATTCTAAACAAACCGAAAGGTGAAAGTTGTCTATGCCAGTGGCCTGGGGTGGTGCCTGCCTGAAAGCGCCCCTGTCTGAGACAGGCCCTCTTTGTACCTTCTGTCCCTTCCCCAGGGGGCTGCATCTCCTGATTCCAGGGAGGCCCAAAGGGGAGGCATGGGCAGAACCGCCACCCGGCTTCCCAGGTTGCCTTGGGCCCTTCTGGAAACTCGAGGGAGGGGGTCCCAGCAGGGCCACGAAGGGGACTCAGAGGTCCTGGCAGCTTGAAGGAAGTGGACAGGGCTGAGATGCATGCTCCTGCTCTAGCTACCCGGGGTGGGCCGCACTCACCAAGAAGGGAAGGCAGACAGTGGTGTGACGCGGACCCCTGCTGCCCTGCACGTCTCCTGGGGGGATCCCTGCTTCCCCGCCGTCCCAGCTCAGGCCCCCATAAAGGAACACTACAGACAGGGCAGCTTAAACAACAGACATTTGTGTTCTTAAAGTTCTTGGGTCTGGAGGTCCAAGCTCAGGCTGCTGGCAGGGTGGGTTCCTCCTCATGCCTCTCTGTGGCTTGCAGATGGCACCCTTTCCCTGCACGACCCTGTAGCCTCTCCCTGTGTGCTCACATGGCCTCTCCCCTGCATAATCACGTGGTCTCTCCCTGCATCCTCCTGTGGCCTCTCCCTGCGTCCTCCTGTGGCCTCTCCCCTGCATAATCACGTGGTCTCTCCCTGCATCCTCCTGTGGCCTCTCCCTGCGTCCTCCTGTGGCCTCTCCCTGTGTGCTCACATGGCCTCTCCCCTGCATAATCACGTGGCCTCTCCCTGCGTCCTTCTGTGGCCTCTCCCCGTGTGCTCACGTGGCCTCTCCCCCACATCCTCACATGGCCTCTCCCCCGTGTGCTCACGTGGCCTCTCCCCTGCGTGATCATATGGCCTCCTGTGTGCTCACGTGGCCTCTCCCCTCCCCCACGTCCTCATGTGGCCTCTCCCCTGCGTGATCATATGGCCTCTCTTCTGTGTGCTCACGTGGCCTCTCCCCTCCCCCACGTCCTCACGTGGCCTCTCCCCCATGTGCTCACATGATCTCTCCCCCGTGTGCTCACGTGGCCTCTCCCCTGCGTGATCATATGGCCTCTCTCCTGTGTGCTCACGTGGCCTCTCCCCTCCCCCACGTCCTCACGTGGCCTCTCCCCTGCGTGATCATATGGCCTCTCTTCTGTGTGCTCATGTGGCCTCTCCCTGTGTGCTCACTGCTGGTGTCTCTTCCTCTTCTTATAAGGACAACAGTCCAGGGCCCCACCTTTGGGACTCACGTAACCTTAGCTACCTCCTTAAAAGCCCATCTCCAAATACAGTCACATTGGGAGTTAGGGCTTCAACCCGTTAATCTGAGGCACACAGTTCAGTCCTCAGCACTTGGACACCCTCCTCCGCCCCGGGGCCCCTGCCCTGCCTGGTGCCCCTGCCCGCTCTAGGGCTGCATAACGGGAGCCGCTGCCCCCACGGAGCATCTGCTGTGCGACTGTTCCTGGCGGCGCCCATCCTGTCACCATTGCTGAGCTGTTCCTTTCCTTCCCCCAGCATCTGAACGGCACCTGCCACAGGTCGGCAGGAATGAGAAGTGAGAAAAATGAGACCCACTCTTCGTAGTTTCTGATCTCATGGTTCTGTGTGGGGCTGGGAATGTGTGTCTCTAACGCGTGCCCGAGTGTTTAAAATGGACTCTGAGAATGTGTCACACTGAGTCCACGTGGAGGTCAGGCTTCTGGCGAAGTGTGCATGAAAAACTGCTTCCCCCCAGGATGGTAGAGTCATTTTGACAAAGTCTACCCAATTAAAAAAGGTTGTATTTTGAAATAATTTTAGACTCACATAAAAATTGCAGAACTAAAACATATATATATTTTGAGATGGAGTCTCGCTCTGTCGCCCAGACTGGAGTGCAATGGCGTGATCTCGGCTCACTGCAACCTCCGCCTTCTGGGTTCAAGCAATTCTCCTGCCCCAGCCTCCCGAGTAGCTGGGATTACAGCCACGTGCCATCATGCCTGGCTAATTTTCGTGTTTTTGTAGAGACCAGGTTTCAGCATGTTGGGCAGGCTGGTCTCGAACTCCTGGCCTCAGGTGATCCATCTGCCTCGGCCTCCCGAAGTGCTGGGATTACAGGTGTGAGCCACTGCGCCCAGCCAAAAAATTGCAGAAATATTAATAGCACAGAGAGTTCCTATGTACCCCCCATCTCCTCCACCCCCAGCTGCTAACATCTTATATAACCAGAGAACAAGGACCCAAACCAGAAACTCCACGTGGATACGATGTGGCAGCCACAGACCCCATGCAGTTCACTTATTCTTGGTGGAGGGAGTTCTGTGAGACGTCCCCATGTTTCCAGATCAACACGACAATCAGGACATCGAGGGTCCCATCACCCGGAGAAACTGCCTTTAGAGTCACATTTTCTCCTGACCTGTCCTAGTCTGTCCAGGCTGCTAGGACAAAAATACCATAAACTGGGTGGCTTATAAACTACAAACATCTGTTTCCACCGTTTTGGAAGCTGGAGTCCCAGATCAAGGCACCAGATTTGGTCTCTGTGAGGCCTGATTCCTGGTTCTCACCGTGTCCTCACGTGGTGGGAGGGACAAGGCTCTCTGTGAGGCCCTTTCGTGGGCTCTGATCCCATTCACGTGGCGGGAGGGAAGAGGATCTCCGTGAGGCCCTTTTGTGGGCTCATTTTCCAATTACATTACTGGTTTTGTTGTTGAATCTGAGCGTTTTCTTCTGGACATAAGACCTCCATTGGAGATAAAACTTGCAAGTACATTTGATCCTTGAATAACATGAGTGTGAACTGGGAGTCCACTTACACACGAGTTTTAAAAATAAATATATTGGAAAATGTTTTGGAGATTTATGACAATTTGAAAAAAGTCGCAGATGAACTGACACCCGGGACAGCAAGAACCCTCCTTCCTCGGCCCGCTCGGCCCATCACCACAGAGGTGAGAAGGATGGAGGCTCCTCCACCCGCTCGGCCCATCACCACAGAGGTGAGAAGGATGGAGGCTCCTCCACCCGCTTGGCCCATCACCATGGAGGTGAGAAGGATGGAGGCTCCTCCACCCGCTTGGCCCATCACCACGGAGGTGAGAAAGATGGAGGCTCCTCCACCCGCTCGGCCCATCACCACGGAGGTGAGAAGGTTGGAGGCCTTTGTGATGATCCACTTCCATTTAATGAATAGTCAATGTGTTTTCTCTTCCTTATGATTTTCTTAGTAACACTTTCTTTTCTCCAGCTTACTTCATTGTAAGAATACGGTATATAATACACAAAACGTACAGAATGTACAGGACAATGTTGATCACCTGTTTATGTTATTGGTAAGGCATCCGGTCAACAGTAGGCTCTCAGCCATGTCAACCTAAAGAAAGATGCTGAGGCAAAGTTAGTACATGTGGAGGGTTTATTTGGGCCACGTGTGAGGACGGCATCCTGGGGGACGTAGATTCAGGTGGCTCCGAACATATGCTCCAGTTAGCAGCAGTTACAGTGGGTTTGAAAGAAAGAAAGAAGGGGCAAGTTCCCACACTGGTTCATTAAAATAACATAAGCTATTGACTGGCTGTAGATGGTTCTTTGCATCACAGATTCCAGGAGCATGAAGATAATGGGTGAAGGTCACATTGTCTAACTTGTGTAACATTTCTTGTGATTTTTCAGCCAGCCTGGAAACAACAGGGAAGGAAAGGAAGACAAATGCCTTTAAACAGTTGGCCCCACATGGGTGCGGCGGGGGAGGCATGATGCAGGTCTCACCCTCGCAGCTCCGCTGGGGCTGGTGAATACCTCGCGTGGCGCCGACTCCTCTGAGCCACTTTTGTTTCTCAGTGCTTAAGTTTTGGGGGAGTCCAAGGTTATACGTGGATTTTCGGCTGCATGGGGAGTGGGTCACCCTAAACCCTGTATTGCTAAAGGGCCTACCTCATTTCCTCCTGATCTGTGGCTGGAACTAGGATCATGGATTTGGCGTTTTATCCAGGATCCCTGACTCTGACCCCCTGTAATTATTTCCTAAGTAACTAGAGCAATAAGAATATCTTTTAAAGTATTGAGCCTTTTGTCCTTGGTTTCTGAAGTAAATTCTGAAAGATAAAGCTGGAAGAGTCTTTTGTTTACAAGTTCCTTCAAACACACCTGAGTTTATGTTAATGAGGCATTTTTGGAACACCCCTAGATACCGCAGGATGAGGGGGGCTGGTTGCCAGGGGAACCAGCCATGTGCTCAGAGGGTTGGAACTTTGAGCCCCACCCCCAAACCTCCGGGGAGGGAAAGGGGTTGAGGCTTAGGGTGATCAGCAATGGCCCACGAGCTACGCAACCACACCTACATCATGAACTCGTACAGTAACCCAAAGGGACGAGCCTCGGGGACTTCCAGATGGCTGAACACATGCAGGGTCCTGGAGGGTGTTGGGCCCCAAGAGGACCTAGACCGTCTACACCACTTCCCCCATACCTTTCCCCGTCATCTCTTCATCTGTATCCTTGAATAACATTCTTTTTAATAAACTGGTAGGTGTAAGTAAGTGTTTCCCTGAATTCTGTGGGTCCCTCTAGAAAATTAACTGAATCCAAGGAAGAGGTTGTGGGAACCCCGATTTATAGCTGGAGGGTCAAACAGCCTGGGACTTCAGTTGGCATTGGAAGTTGAAGAGAAGGGGTCACGGGGACTGAGCCCTCACCTGGGGGGGTCTGAGGCTGTCTCCAGGTAGATGGTGTTGGGATTGAGTTAGAGGATGCCTGACTGGTGTCTACTCCAGAACTGATGGTTTGCTTGGTGTATGGAGAACAGACCCGCACATTGTGGTGGGAGAGCAGAGGAAAAACAGCCTTTTCTACGTGGGGGCTTCCCTTTTCATCCACGTAGAATTTTTCACAGAACAAAAGTTTCTAATTTTGATGAAGTCCAATTAATTGATATTTTTTGATGTATTTTTTTAATATGCTTTGAGTGTCAACACCCAAGACTACTTCACCTAACCCTAGGACATAAGGATTTTCTTCTAAAAGTTTTATAGTTTTACATTTTACATTTAGAGCTATGTCCTTGTAGGCTGAGTTAGTGTGAGGTTTAAATCAAGGGTTTTGTTTGTTCGTTTTGGCTTATGAATGCCCACATGTTTCTACACTGATTTTGCTGAAAATCCTTCTTCCACTGGTTGCTTCTGGGCCTTGTCAAAAAACCATCTGACCACAGAGTGTGGGTCTGTCTGTTCCTGGACTTTGTTCTAGTCCATTGACCTGTGTGTCTGTCCCTCCACCAGTAACATCATCTTGATGACCAGGTCTTAAAATTGGTTAATGTGTTTCCTCTAACTTGTTTTTGGCTATTCTAGTATTTCTGCCTCTGTATATAAATTTTAGAATCAGCTTGCCTATATTTACAAAGAATCTAGCTGAGATTTTCATAGCAAGTGAGTTAAACTTACAAATCAATTTGTATAGAGTTGACATCTTTACTATAGAGTTTTCCAATTCACTATTTGTCCCGTCCTCCACTGAAATTTTCCTCGATTTCCTTCATTCACATGTTGTAGTTTTTAGTGTACAAGTCCTGTACATTTGTTAGATTTATACCTAAGTATTTGTTTTAGGCAATTATACATGCTACTGTGTGTTTAATTTTGGTTTCTAATTGTCCACTGCTAACTTACAGAAACGTATACCTAAAAGTTACAGGACTGTTCAGACTCTATTTCGTCTTGGTATAATGCAACTTACAGCTCTGGCAGCTTGCGATTTTTGAGGAATTGATCCACTTGCTCTAAATTATCCAGTTTGTGTGTTTAGGGTTATTTGATAGTATTCTCTGTGATGCGTTTAGTATCTGTGAGGCCTGTAGTAATATCCCCTTTCATTTTAGGTATTAGTTATTTGGGTCCTCTCACTTTTTTATCAGTCTTGGTTTATTATCTATTTTATTAATCTCTTCAAAGAGCCAGCTCTTGGTTTGACTTTCCTCTATTGTTTTTCTGTTTTCAATTTCATTCATTTCTGCCTGATTGTTTCTTTTTTCTGCTTGCTTTGGGGTGTCATTTTGCTCTTCCTTTGTGGTTTTTCTAATGTGGAAGCTGAGTTTTTTGTCCTCAGACCTCTCTTCTCTTTTAATGTAAGCATGTAGAGCCAGCAACTTCCCTTTACATACTACATCAGCCGCATTGTACAGGTTTTCAATGTACTTCCATTTTCATTTTGGTCAATACATTTTAGATTTCTTTTGAGACTTCCTCTTTGGCCCATGGATTATTGGGAAGTGGGTGGGGCTGCTGCTGATTGCTGGGGTTGTGGAGAAGACTCACCAGGCCCTTGACATGTGGGAGCAATGGCGTCTTCCTCCTTGTCTCTAGACTCAACTGGATTCGTACTGAGAAGGGCATTCTGAGAAACTTCACTCCCAGCTTCAACTGGTCCAACATAGCAAAATCAGATTTTTTAAAAAATAGAAGGAAGTAAATTAACTAAGAAAAATACAGAAAAATTTCCTAGAACCAAAACGTACGAGTGACCTGATTAGAAGGGCTCACCTGGTGTTGCGTGCAGGAAATGAGACCTGCATCCGGGTTCACGGTCGGGATGCTTCAGAGCCCAAGCACAGTCAGAGGGAGGAACACCAAGGAGCAGGAATCGAAGAGCCCGGAATTCCTCACTCACAGCAGCGGAATCCAGGAGACACCAGGACACTAGTTTCAGATTTCTCACAGAAAGGATTTTGAACTAAGAATTTTATGCCTCACCAAAGTGTCAATCACGTGCAGAGATATAACAACCTTTTCATATTCAGATTCAACATATCCATCTCCGATAAAACCTTCCTCGGGGCTTTGCTGGAGCCAGTCCCTAAAATTAGGAAGCAAACTGAGGAAGGTGTGAGATGGGACTCACAGACTCGCAGCCTGGGGGAGAAGCAGAAGGGACCCCAGGAGGAGGCAGGGGAGTTCAGCCCTGGGAGCCGGGAAAGGAAAGGCCACGCGTGGCTTGTTTTTATAGAAATAAAGGATTTTAGGTACAAACAGCACGTGCTTTTTTAAAATTACGGAATTACTCGGGGAGCAACGGAAAACACCTGATGCCCTCCACGTAACCAGAGGTGGCCCGGGTCGCATGGTGACCACCCACTGCCACCACCTGTGGGAACCTCCAGCCAAGCCCCAGGGCAGGAGGAGCTTGGGAAACGGAAAACAGGAGTGCACATCGGTCGGGATGGAGCGGAAATGCTGGGCACCAAACCCCGGTGATGAGAAGACAGAAACCGCAGGAAGTACTAGAGCGTACGTTTCCATGCTCGTGTGTGACATGGGCAGCGTGAAAACGAGGCTGTTCTGAGGCCTCGTTCCACCCCCCTCGGTCCCAGACTGGAATCAGCCGGCTTCTCCTCTCGGGCGTCACCGTCCTGCCCTGCGTCCAGTGCCTGAACACCTCCATTTCACAGATTCTGTGTGATTTTCTAGTTGTCTGAGGAGGGAGAGTGGTCCAGCTCTTTCACGGTGACCAGAAGTGGGAGTCACCAGCGGTGGGTTTCGAGTTGCACCCCAGACCCCCCGGAGAGCCTGAGGATTGGGGCGTTGCTCGCTCCCCACTGTAGCTGCGTTCCAGATACCCATGAGTGCTTTTAAACAAAGAAAAGTTTTTTTTTGTTGAAAATGTTAAGTACACCAAGGGGTAGAGACCACTGTCACATAACGGTACTCACCCCCCTCCCAACACTGAGCACCCGGAGTCTTTCGAAGCAACCCCAGACCCGACCTCAGTCACTCCTGAATACTCCGGTGGGTGGGGGGTGTTACTGTTCATGGGGTTCCATCCTCAAGCCGTTTTAAAGTCACGGATGCAAACACGGTCCGTGTCGGGGCGGCGCCGCAGCTGTCCTTATTCACGCAGGTTCCGACTTCGCGGCCTGTAAGCCCCTTTCCTCTTGCTTTCGGGCCTCCGTTCATGGGTGTCCTCGATCTTTCCTTCTAATAGAGAATACGTTTCCCAGTGTTCCTCTGCCTCCCTTTGTTCAGTGGGCCAGCGTTTGGCTTACGTTAAGTTTCTCCCCTGCCGTGGCCTTCGAGGTGGGCACTGCGGGTCAGCAGGACTGTCTTCCGGCCTCCCTGCCTGGGGCCACCTGGGGCCCTGACTCCCTGACGGTGGCCTCCGGCCCCTGGGAGGATGGAGTTCGGCTCTGTCCCGGGGCCCTCGTTCCCCATAAGTGGCCTCCAGCCCCTGGGAGGATGGAATCCGGCTCTGTCCCGGGGCCCTGACTCTCCATAGTGGCCTCTGGTCCCTGGGAGGATGGAGTTCGGCTCTGTCCCGGGGCCCTGACTCTCCATAGTGGCCTCTGGTCCCTGGGAGGATGGAGTCCGGCTCTGTCCCGGGGCCCTGACTCTCCATAGTGGCCTCTGGTCCCTGGGAGGATGGAGTCCGGCTCTGTCCCGGGGCCCTGACTCTCCATAGTGGCCTCTGGTCCCTGGGAGGATGGAGTCCGGCTCTGTCCCGGGGCCCTGACTCTCCATAGTGGCCTCTGGTCCCTGGGAGGATGGAGTCCGGCTCTGTCCCGGGGCCCTTGTTCCCCATAAGTGGCCTCCGGCCCCTGGGAGGATGGAGTCGGGCTCTGTCCTGGGGCCCTGTTTCCCCATAAGTGGCCTCTGGCCCCTGGGAGGATGGAGTCCGGCTCTGTCCCGGGGCCCTGACTCTCCATAGTGGCCTCTGGTCCCTGGGAGGATGGAGTCCGGCTCTGTCCCGGGGCCCTGACTCTCCATAGTGGCCTCTGGTCCCTGGGAGGATGGAGTCCGGCTCTGTCCCGGGGCCCTCGTTCCCCATAAGTGGCCTCCAGCCCCTGGGAGGATGGAATCCGGCTCTGTCCTGGGGCCCTGTTTCCCCATAAGTGGCCTCTGGTCCCTGGGAGGATGGAGTCCGGCTCTGTCCCGGGGCCCTGACTCTCCATAGTGGCCTCTGGTCCCTGGGAGGATGGAGTCTGGCTCTGTCCCGGGGCCCTCGTTCCCCATAAGTGGCCTCCGGCCCCTGGGAGGATGGAGTCGGGCTCTGTCCTGGGGCCCTGTTTCCCCATAAGTGGCCTCCAGCCCCTGGGAGGATGGAGTCCGGCTCTGTCCCGGGGCCCTCGTTCCCCATAAGTGGCCTCCAGCCCCTGGGAGGATGGAGTCCGGCTCTGTCCCGGGGCCCTGACTCTCCATAGTGGCCTCTGGTCCCTGGGAGGATGGAGTCTGGCTCTGTCCCGGGGCCCTCGTTCCCCATAAGTGGCCTCCGGCCCCTGGGAGGATGGAGTCGGGCTCTGTCCTGGGGCCCTGTTTCCCCATAAGTGGCCTCCGGCCCCTGGGAGGATGGAGTCCGGCTCTGTCCCGGGGCCCTCGTTCCCCATAGTGGCCTCTGGTCCCTGGGAGGATGGAGTCCGGCTCTGTCCCGGGGCCCTGACTCTCCATAGTGGCCTCTGGTCCCTGGGAGGATGGAGTCCGGCTCTGTCCCGGGGCCCTGACTCTCCATAGTGGCCTCTGGTCCCTGGGAGGATGGAGTCCGGCTCTGTCCCGGGGCCCTGACTCTCCATAGTGGCCTCTGGTCCCTGGGAGGATGGAGTCCGGCTCTGTCCCGGGGCCCTGACTCTCCATAGTGGCCTCTGGTCCCTGGGAGGATGGAGTTCGGCTCTGTCCCGGGGCCCTCGTTCCCCATAAGTGGCCTCCAGCCCCTGGGAGGATGGAGTCCGGCTCTGTCCCGGGGCCCTGACTCTCCATAGTGGCCTCTGGTCCCTGGGAGGATGGAGTCCGGCTCTGTCCCGGGGCCCTGACTCTCCATAGTGGCCTCTGGTCCCTGGGAGGATGGAGTCCGGCTCTGTCCCGGGGCCCTCGTTCCCCATAAGTGGCCTCCGGCCCCTGGGAGGATGGAGTCCGGCTCTGTCCCGGGGCCCTGACTCTCCATAGTGGCCTCTGGTCCCTGGGAGGATGGAGTCCGGCTCTGTCCCGGGGCCCTCGTTCCCCATAAGTGGCCTCCGGCCCCTGGGAGGATGGAGTCCGGCTCTGTCCCGGGGCCCTGACTCTCCATAGTGGCCTCTGGTCCCTGGGAGGATGGAGTCGGGCTCTGTCCTGGGGCCCTGGTTCCCCATAAGTGGCCTCCGGCCCCTGGGAGGATGGAGTCCGGCTCTGTCCCGGGGCCCTGACTCTCCATAGTGGCCTCCGGTCCCTGGGAGGATGGAGTCCGGCTCTGTCCTGGGGCCCTGGTTCCCCATAAGTGGCCTCCGGCCCCTGGGAGGATGGAGTCGGGCTCTGTCCCAGCCCCACGTTCTTTGCCTGCTTCCACCTGTGCCTGTCTGCGCCGTGCAGACACTGGTTCCCAGCCTGCCTGTGCCTCCTGCCGCTGTTCCAAGCTGTGGGGGGGACCCAGCTCACCCCCAGGGTCCAGTTCAGACTGGAAGGGAATGTGGCCCCCCACACCCTCAGCCTTGATGTGGGGCCAGGGACACCCGCTGTGGGGGGTGAATGTGCTGATTAGACCCTGGGTGGATCCCCACACACAAGCAGTCAGAGGGTCATTTACAGCCTGAGCTCACTCCGCAAATATGATCAGGATGGGAACAGGCAGCTGGCAGCCTCCTGCCTCACTCCTGTCCCTCACGAGGGGACGCAGCTCTGCCTGACCCCTTGGGGAGGCACCAAGTCCGCCCTGACTCCGCCCCGCCTGAATCTGCTGGCTGCTTTGCGGGCAGCTCCTGAGGGCAGCTGTGTTCTGCTGAGACTGAGCCACCTCTGGGCCCTGGGCCTCTGCTCGAGGCGGCCAGCGTTCAGCCAAGCTCGTCCTTCACCTCAGGGGGCCTGTGTGGTTGTCACGCACAGTGTCCAGGGTCAGCTTGTCAGCGCCGGCCACCCGGGCGGCCTCAGTCAGCACGCGTTCCCCAAACCTGTGGGGCCCACGCTTGGTGCTGAGGGTTGATGAGGAGCCAGGGAGGACCAGGAGAGTGGAAGTGGGACCTTCTGCCAGCTCCGTAGAGGACAGCCTGGAACCGGCTCAGACTGGAGGCAGGGAGGCCCAAGGGGCAGGAGAACTCTCCGAGGGGCAGAAACAGCACTGCAGTGGCAGTCGCCCATGGAGCGTGGAGTGCTGGTCCACGACACCCTCTCGACCCACGGTGAAACGCGCCCCATGGGGCAAGGGGCTGGGCTGCTTGCTGGTCAGTGGCAGGCGGGGTGGGAACACACAGGTACACGGGGCCCACCTGGGTCTCTGCCACTCTCTCCTGTCCACACGGGAGAGGAGTTGAATCCTAAGGCATCTCTTAGCAGCCCCAGCGCCATTGTGGGGCCACTGCCTGAGAGCCCCTGAGCTCCATCCCCTTTGGGTCACCTCTCTGGGACCCAGTCCGACTGTTCGTAAGATTCAAGGGTGCTGGCTGCTCTGTGCCCGCTCGTTTGACGCTTACAACTACACGCAGGTAACTTCTTAGCCGGCTCCGAACTCAGTGTGTGGTTCCCGCGGTGTAGGCTTCGGTTGCACCAGGTTCCCTCCTGTGTCCCAGGAGCAGGAAGAGGCTGAGTCCACCCCCACCCCACCCCGCCTGCCTCCACGACACCCAAGGACCAGGTGCCAGGTGAGAGCCGGACTCCAATCCTGCCCGGGCGTCATGTGCTGCTGGAAAAAGCTTTTCATCTCCTTTTCCATTCTCAGGAGCGCTGCTCCCCGGGAAGACCGTGAAAACCGGCCTGGTCTATATGAAAGACTGAAATGTTATCAGTTCCGTATCTCCGTGTTTCTTTTCCTTAAAAGTTTGTCCTTCATAGCTCAGTGATTTTACCTCGCTCTAATCAATTATCAATCATGAAATTGAAAAACCCACAGATGGTCACAGGTGTTTTCAATCTTCAGAGTCGTTATTTGCTTTGTGTCTACTCGTCCTCCTGTTAACAGACCACCAGGGCGTCTCCAGCTTTCATTGTGGGTTTGCCCTTTTCTCCTTTCGGTTCCTTTGGTCTCGGTACAGTGTCTGTGCTTCCATTTTCTGTCCTGTGTGAGCCCCAGGCCTGGGCTTGTGAGTGGGCGGTGGCCCCAAGGCTGTGCACATGGCCCTGTCCAGGCTGGCAGCCGCGGGAGCACACGAAGGCATCAGAGCTCCGTGCTGTGTGTGACACAGGGGCCCCCTCCTTCGGGGAAGCGTTCCAGAACTCTCCAGCCCCTTCCGCTCACAGCCCCAGGTCCTTCTGGCCCCTATGAGTGTGGTGTGGTCAGTACCGGGTCCTTCTGGCCCCTGTGGTGTGGTGTGGTCAGTACCGGGTCCTTCTGGCCCCTATGAGTGTGGTGTGGTCGGCACCAGGTCCTTCTAGCCCCTGTGGTGTGCTGTGGTCGGCACCAGGTCCTTCTAGCCCCTGTGGTGTGGTGTGGTCAGTACTGGGTCCTTCTATCCCCTGTGGTGTGGTGTGGTCAGTACCAGGTCCTTCTGGCCCCTGTGGTGTGGTGTGGTCAGTACCGGGTCCTTCTGGCCCCTATGAGTGTGGTGTGGTGGGCACCAGGTCCTTCTGGCCCATGGTGTGGTGTGTCGGCACCAGGTCCTTCTGGCCCGTGGTGTGGTGTGGTCAGTACCAGGTCCTTCTATCCCCTGTGGTGTGGTGTGGTCGGCACCAGGTCCTTCTGGCCCATGGTGTGGTGTGTCGGCACCAGGTCCTTCTAGCCCCTGTGGTGTGGTGTGGTCAGCACCAGGTCCTTCTAGCCCCTGTGGTGTGCTGTGGTCGGCACCAGGTCCTTCTAGCCCCTGTGGTGTGGTGTGGTCAGTACTGGGTCCTTCTATCCCCTGTGGTGTGGTGTGGTCAGTACCAGGTCCTTCTGGCCCCTGTGGTGTGGTGTGGTCAGTACCAGGTCCTTCTGGCCCCTGTGGTGTGGTGTGGTCAGTACCGGGTCCTTCTGGCCCCTATGAGTGTGGTGTGGTCGGCACCAGGTCCTTCTGGCCCATGGTGTGGTGTGTCGGCACCAGGTCCTTCTGGCCCGTGGTGTGGTGTGGTCAGTACCAGGTCCTTCTATCCCCTGTGGTGTGGTGTGGTCGGCACCAGGTCCTTCTGGCCCATGGTGTGGTGTGTCGGCACCAGGTCCTTCTAGCCCCTGTGGTGTGGTGTGGTCGGCACCAGGTCCTTCTAGCCCCTGTGGTGTGGTGTGGTCGGCACCAGGTCCTTCTGGCCCCTGTGGTGTGGTGTGGTCGGCACCAGGTCCTTCTGGCCCCTGTGGTGTGGTGTGGTCGGCACCAGGTCCTTCTGGCCCCTGTGGTGTGGTGTGGTCGGCACCAGGTCCTTCTGGCCCCTGTGGTGTGGTGTGGTCGGCACCAGGTCCTTCTGGCCCCTGTGGTGTGGTGTGGTGGGCACCAGGTCCTTCTGGCCCCTGTGGTGTGGTGTGGTCGGCACCAGGTCCTTCTGGCCCCTGTGGTGTGGTGTGGTCGGCACCAGGTCCTTCTGGCCCCTGTGGTGTGGTGTGGTGGGCACCAGGTCCTTCTGGCCCCTGTGGTGTGGTGTGGTCGGCACCAGGTCCTTCTGGCCCCTGTGGTGTGGTGTGGTCAGTACCGGGTCCTTCTGGCCCCTATGAGTGTGGTGTGGTTGGCACAGTAGCCCCCACGCCTCCTTCCCAGCCTTTCTTTCTGCTGGTCCTCGCCTTGGTTTCCCACTCGGAGGCCCCAGGGAGGAGACGGCGCGTGGCTGGCCCCAGTCGCTGCCACGGAGCTGCCCCCACCCCAGCGCTTGCCCATGCTTGGAGGACTCGCCGGGCGCCTGGCAGTTCAGGTGCAGCCCCTAGTGCTCTGTGCTGACTGAGCCCCTCCCTGGAGCTGGCGGAGCCCGTGTCCCTGCTCCGTCCTCACGGTGTCTGTGCGCGTCCTTATGCTCTTGTTTCTGGATCGTTGTCACTAAAGAATGGATTGAGCTGTTTTGCAGACAGATGCGTAATTCTGTCCGATAGAAACGTCCCGTGAGCACAGACCGGCCTGGATATAATTGCCGTGGTTTGGATGTGGTTTGTCCCCGTGAAACGTTGAAATTTGACCCCCAGCGTGGCTGTGTGGGAGGTGCTGGGGTCTCGAGGGGACCCCTTGTGCACGGATGAATGCCTCCCACAGCGCTGAGTGAGCCCTCGCAGGAACGCACTGCGCCCCACGACGCCGACCTGTGGAACGGACCCGGCTGCCTCGGTTTCTCTCCTGCGTCCTCCCTTGCCACATGCTCTCTGCGTACACCACTGCCTTCCGCTCTCCACCCGGGTTAAAGCAGCCTGAGGCCCCCCGCAAAGGCAGCTGCCCGGTCTTGGACATACCCCAACCAGAAGCATGAGCCAAATGTCCTATCAGTGACATTTTACATTCTTTTTCCTATACCAAGTCTCCAGAATGTCATGTGTATTTCACACTCACAGCCCACGGAGGACCTGCCACAGCTCCAGGGCTTCGGCCACGTGACCAGGGCACAGCCACCGTGTGCAGAGGCCTCGCATCACGGCCACGCTGGGTGCGGAGGTCGCGGCCACACCGGGTGCGGAGGTCGCGGCCACGCCGGGTGGGGAGGTCGCGGCCACGCCGGGTGCGGAGGTCGCGGCCACGCCGGGTGCGGAGGTCGCGGCCACGCCGGGTGCGGAGGTCGCGGCCACGCTGGGTGGGGAGGACCTGTGTTTGTTTTCTCAGGTCGTCCTCACCACCGTGCAAACGGCAGAAGCTCCAGGTGTCTGGCTGCAGAGTCAACCTGCCAGAAAATGCCTCTGGATTTTTCAGCAAGCAAAAGTTGAGAACAGGAAGCTAAATGGTTGCTTTGTAATCGTGAAATCCGTTTTTCTGAGGGTTGAGGGAAGGCTGTATTTGTCCGGGCAGATGTTTCACATTTGCTGGAAACTGCAGCCTCTCAGGGGGCCTCGGGGCCCGTGGGGTATTCACGGATGTGCCAAGCCCCCTGCCTGGAACTGGCACCAGGTGCTGTGGCCTTGGCTGGCCTGGCTTCCAGGACCCCCTCGGGGCTCTTCCTGATGTCCCAGGGGGCACCCTGTGTGACAGGCACCCACCTGTCACGACGCAGAAGCACCAAAGCTTTGATGTGCGAAACGTAGGTTGCTCGAAGTTATCCCATAGAACTGCGTTATTTCACTTTAAAATGTTCGTTCTGAGAGTTTCCTTGGTGGTAGCAAAGACTTTTTTTTTTAATTTTTGGCCAGGCACGGTGACTCACACCCAGAGTCCCACAACTTTGGGAGGCCAAGGTGGGTGGATCACTTGAGCTCAGGAGTTCAAGACCAGCCTGGGCAATATGGTGAAACCCCATCTCAACAAAAAATACAAAAATTAGCAAGGTGTGCTGGTCCACACCTGTAGTCCCATCTTCTCAGGAGGCTGAGGCAGGAGGAGCGCTTGAGCCGGGGAGGTTGAGGCTGCAGTGAGCTGTGATCACGCCACTGCATTCCAGCCTGGGTAACAGCAAGACTCTGTATAAAAAAAAAATTTAAAAGATGGGGTCTTGCTATGTTGCCCAGGCTGGTGTGCAGTGGCTGTTGACAGGTGTAAGCACAGCATACTGTAGCCTCAAACTCCTGGCCTCAGGCGAGGCTCGAATTCCCACCTCAGCCTCTCTGCTGGGACCACTGGCGCGTGCACCACCACGCTGGGCTTTAAAATTTTTACTTAGGCCGGGGCAGTGGCTCACGCCTGTAATCCCAGCACTTTGGGAGGCCGAGGCAGGTGGATCACCTGAGGCCAGGAGTTCAAGACCAGCCTGGGCAACGTAGCGAAACCCTGTCCCTACTAAAAATACAAAAATCAGCCCTGGGCAATGTAGCGAAACCCTGTCCCTACTAAAATACAAAAATCAGCCAGGCGTGGTGGTGCACACCTGTAGTCCCAGCTACTCCGATGGCCGAGGCACAAGAATCGCTTGAATGCGGGAGGCAGAGGTTGCAGTGAGCTGAGATCGCGCCACTGCACTCCAGCCTGGGCGACAGAGCGAGACTCTGTCTCAAAACAAAACAAAATAAATTTTCTTTTCTTTTTTTTTTTTTTTCCTGAAATGGAGTCTTGCTCTGTTACCCAGGTTATAGTGCAATGACAATCTTGGCTCACTGCAACCTCCGCCTCCTGGGTTCAAGCGATTCTCCTGCCTCAGCCTCCAGAGTAGCTGGGACTACAGGCACCTGCCACCACGCCCAGCTAATTTTTATATTTTCAGTAGAGATGGGGTTTCACCACATTGGCCAGGCTGGTCTCAAACTTCTGACCTCAGGTGATCCGCCCACCTCAGCCTCCCAAAGTGCTGGGATTACAGGCATGTGCCACCATGCCTGGCTAATTTTGTATTTTTAGTAAAGACGGGGTTTCTCCATGTTGGTCAAGCTGGTCTCGAACTCCCGACCTCAAGTGATCCGCCCGCCTCAGCCTCCAAAAGTGCTGGGATTACAGACGTGAGCCACCGCGCCCGGCCAACAAGACAAATTTTAAGGCTATGCCTTTGCAGTCAGGCCCAGGCACCCTCAGCCTTAGGCGTCCACAGATGCGACGTCTGTCCCTGCAGGTTAGGTTAGGTTCCCACTTTTTAGGGTTTTGTGTAAGTGGGGTCACACTGTGCACACTGGTGACTGCCTCCCTTCCCTGTTGCCGACAGACATCTGTGCACCGTGCACACTGGTGACTGGCCTCCCTTCCCTGTTGCTGACAGACATCTGTGCACCGTGCACACTGGTGACTGGCCTCCCTTCCCTGTTGCTGACAGACATCTGTGCACCGTGCACACTGGTGACTGCCTCCCTTCCCTGTTGCCGACAGACATCTGTGCTGCCCTGACCGGCAGTTTGTTCCCTTGGTTGCTGGTGAGGGCTCCACTGGACTCGTGGTACGGGCACCACAGGGCTTATCCATTCACTGTTGACGGACATTTGGGGGCCTCCAGTCTGGGGCTGCTGTGCGTGGAGCTGCCGTGAACACACACGGGGACGGTGCTGGGACTGCCGTGAACACACGGGGACGGGTGCTGGGGCTGCCGTGAACACACATGGATGGTGCCGGATGGACGTGTGTTTGCATTTTTCTTGGGTAAATGTCTAGGACTGGAACGGCTGGCTGCGTGGAAGTCTGTGTTTAACTCTCTAAGAGCCTGCCTGCTCTGCAAAGTGTTTATACTGTTTTTCCTTCCCTTCAGCGTTATGTAAGATTTTTACTTGGTACTGTCAGTGTTTATTTTTATTTTTACTTTTTATATTTTAAGAGACAGGGTCTCCCTCTGTCGCCCAGGCTGGAGTGAGTGCTGTGGTGCGATCACAGCTCACTGCACCCTTGACTTCCGGAGCTCAAAGGATCCTCCCACCTCAGCCTCCTGAGTAGCTGGGCCTACAGGGGAGCATCACCATGCCCAGCTACTTTATTATTATTATTATTATTTGTAGAGTTGCCCAGGCTGGTCTCAGAGTCCTGGGCTCAAGCGATTCTCCCGCCTCGGACTCCCAAAGTGCTGGGATTACAGGTGTGAGTCACTGTGCCTTATTTTCAGTTTTTAAAATTGTAACAGTCCTAGAGGGTGCAATGGTATTTCATTGCAGTTCGAATTTTATTTCTCTGTCTCTGGAATCTGCAACCAGATGCACGTAGCACCCCCACCCCCGCAGTGTGACAGCCCCGAATGTCTCCAAACAAATGTTCCTGGGGACAAATCAGCCCCAGGTGAGGGCCACTGTGCTGATGAGGACTTGTCTTAACCAGCGACCTTCCTCAGGATGGACGACAAGCAGAAAGTCTTTAGGCTTCAAAGGGATCCACAGTGAGACGAGGCTGTGTTACACGATGGTTCTCAGCCATTGTGTCTCTGCCTGACCTGCGTGTTCACACACACAGCACCTCCAGGAACGTACAGATGCTGGCGTAATCTCAGTGTCAGTTATAGGAAAACATCACTTCAGCCACCCAAGAAGTGAAAATGTCGTGGGCTCCATGGTGTCCCCCCAAAATGATATGTTGGTGTCCTCACCCCCAATCTCAGAATGTGGGCGTTGTTTGGAAACAAGGTCTTTGCAGATGCAAAGTTCAGATGAGGCCGTTAGGTGGACTTCCCTACCGAAAACTCATTTCCCTGATGACTAGTCACATAGAGCACGTTTTCACGACCTGACTAATTTACGTCTGAGGAAGTGTTTTCAGCCCTTCTCCCATCTTTAACTCATTGCCTGTCTTCTTATTAATGGGTGCTGAGGGTACTTAGTGTTCGCCGAACGTACATCCTCAGTGAAACGCACTTATTGCAAATGTTTTGTCCCAGCCTGGATTATCTTTTCGTTTTCTTTGCAGGATCTTTCAAAGAACCAAATATTTGACTTTGGTGGCATCTGGTTTATCCATGTCTTCTGCTGTGATTTGTGCCTCTTCTTACCTGAGAAACCTTTGCCTACCCCATAATCACGAATGTTCTCCCTGGATGAGCTCGTTGCCTCTTTTGTGTTCAGCTCACTGAGGTCCGGTCTGAGGCTGGGGCTTTGTGTTTGGAGCCTGAGGCAAGGGTTGAGGGCCATGGTTTGTAAGGACACCAGTGGTTCCAGCGCCATCTCTCATTTCCACCACTGACGCCCCTGATGTCTTCAGCAAACATCAAACCCCAGCCAGGCGGCTCTGCTTCTGGTCTCTGTTCTGTTCCGTTTGTCTGTCTGCCCATAAGCTGATACCAATCAACCTTGATCACCATAGCTTTGTAGTAAATCTTGAAATACAGTCATGAAACTTCAACTTTGTTCATGGTTTTCAAAATTGTGCTGGCTCTCCTAGGTCCTTTGTGTTTCTATATACATTTTAGAATCTCCGTTGAGCCAGGCATGATGGCTCACACCTGTAATCCCAGCACTTTGGGAGGCTGAGCTGGGAGGATCGCTTGAGGCCGGGAGTTTAAGACCAGCCTGAGCAGTGTAGTGAGACCCCATCTCTACAAAAGAAATGTAAGAAAATAGCCAGGCACGGTGGTGTGCGCCTATAGTCCTAGCTGCTTGGGAGGTTCAGGTGGGAGGATCGCTTGAGGCCAGGGGTTTGAGGTCAGCCTGAGCAACAGAGTGACAAACATCTCTACAAAAAAAAAAAAAAAGTAAAAATCAGCCAGGTGTGGTGGCACACGCCTGTGGTCCCAGCTACCTGGGAGGCTGAGATAGGAGGATTGCTTGAGGAGGTCAAGGCTACAGTGAGTGATGATCACAGCACTGGAGAAGGGACACGTCAGCCACGTCATGAAGCCCCTTGAGCCCCGTCCCTGTGGAGAAGGGACACGTCGGCCCCGTGGTGAAGTCTCTTGAGGCCCTGACCCTGTGGAGAAGGGACACGGATTCATCTGTCACTTTCTCGTGACACTTTGTGGAAATAAACTGCAGGTTGTTTGTGACAAGCTGTTCTTTTCCGCTAACTCTGTCAACGTTAATTGCTTCTAGGTTTTCACCTCAAATGGCCCCACGGTGATCATGCCCACCTGGTTCTGCTCGCGAGCGTGGTTCTCCCACGTGGGCCCCTTTAACGAGGGAGGTCAGGTAAGGGCCGAAGGCGGGAATCAGGTCCCTCCCCCAGGTTCGGGGCCCTGTCTCTGTGTGTGGGCTCTGCACACTGGCCACCCTCCGCCTTGCCATGCCTCCGGGGCTCTGCAGATTTAGGAAACCCCTGCCTGAGGGTCCTCCCGGTGCCCCCTCCTGGCACCTGCCAGCATCTTAGTTGTTTTGCTGAAAGCAGGGGGTTTCTGCATGAAGGCTGTGGGTGCCCTGGGCATCTGCACCTGACCTACACTGGCTCCAGGTTACTGCATCCTGGTTTAAAAGCTGTGTCTGGGAAAGCGCAGGACACGGAAGCTTTTGGCAGAGCTGTCTCTGGGACAACAGAGGGAGAAGGGGAGCCCATCCTCCCCCCGGGGGTGCACCTGCAGGCGTCTGTGTCCCCGTCCCCCCCATGGGGGTGCACCTGCAGGCGTCCATGTCCCCGTCCCCCCCGTGGGAGTGCACCTGCAGGCGTCTGTGTCCCCATCCCCCCCGTGGGAGTGCACCTGCAGGTGTCTGTGTCCCCGTCCTCCCCATGGGGGTGCACCTGCAGGCATCCGTGTCCCCGTCCTCCCCATGGGGGTGCACCTGCAGGCGTCCATGTCCCCGTCCTCCCTGTGGGTGTGCACCTGCAGGTGTCCATGTCCCCGTCCTCCCTGTGGGAGTGCACGTTCAGGCATCCATGTCCCCGTTCTCCTGTGGGGGTGCACCTGCAGGCGTCCGTGTCCCCGTCCTCCCGTGGGGGTGCACCTGCAGGCGTCCGTGTCACCGTCCCCCCCGTGGGGGTGCACCTGCAGGCGTCCGTGTCCCCGTCCTCCCCGTGGGGTGCACCTGCAGGCGTCCGTGTCCCCATCCCCCCGTGGGGGTGCACCTGCAGGCGTCCGTGTCCCCGTCCCCCCCGTGGGGGTGCACCTGCAGGCGTCCGTGTCCCCGTCCCCCCGTGGGGGTGCACCTGCAGGCGTCTGTGTCCCCGTCCCCCCCGTGGGGGTGCACCTGTAGGCGTCCGTGTCCCCGTCCTCCCCGTGGGGGTGCACCTGCAGGCATCCATGTCTCCGTCCTCCCCGTGGGGTGCACCTGCAGGCGTCCGTGTCCCCGTCCCCCCGTGGGGGTGCACCTGCAGGCGTCCGTGTCCCCATCCCCCGTGGGACGCACCTGTAGGCGTCCGTTTTAAATACTAGCTATGTCTATTGTTTTTTGTGTTTTAAAAACTCCAATTCTATGTTGGTTAGATTTTCTTAGTCTTTCTAACCCTTTTCACTTCTTTCATTATATAATTTCTATTTTCCTTTCTTCAGTGTCCCTTATTAAATTTTTAATTAAAATCATTTTCTCTTAAGGATTTTGTAATTTAGTCTTCATTTTTCATATATTTTGTTCCTTTTTTTTTTTTTTTTTTTTGAGACAGGGTCTCACTCTGTTCCTGAGGCTGGAGTGCAGTGGCTCACTCACTACAACCTCTGCCTCCCAGGTTCAAGCAATCCTTGTACCTCAGCCTCCTGAGTAGCTGAGACTACAGGTGCACACAACCATGCCCAGCTACTTTTTTCCTATTTTTGGTAGAGACTGGTTTCGACATGTTGCCCAGGCTGGTCTCGAACTCCTGGGCTCAAGCAATCCACCCCCCCGACCTCAGCCTTCCAAAGTGCTGAGATTAAAGGCATGAGCCACCACACCCAACCAATTTTGTCTCTTCTTAAAATTTCTTTTTTTAGTTAAATCGATCCAATTTTATATAAAAGCTTTATTGAGGTATAATTCACATGCCATACAATTCACCTATTAAAATGTGCAATTCAATTTTTTTTTAGCAAATTTATAGGGCTGTACAATCACCAGTCACCACTACCATCTAATGTTAGGAAGTTGTCATCCCCCAAAAAACACTTCCTGCACCCAGGGGCGCACCTCATCTAACAGCCACCTGCCAGCCCTAGCCAAGCACTAATGCACTTTCTTCAATGCTCTAGACCCACCCCATTAGGGTCCAGTTTTGCACTTAGTCCTTGAATTTCTGATTCAAGATGGGTCTCCGCCACCTCCCCGCATATCCCACCCTGTAGCCTGAAACACTGGTGGAGGGTGTGGAATTTATCTTGGTGGGTTATTTACAGGGGTCTCTGTTTCCTGGTTTGGGGTTTGTTGCTATTGTAGAGGGAGAGGCTGAATTTTTATCCATGGAAGTGTTGCCAGTTTTTAGTTTTCTCTGCTGGACTTCATGTCCCTGCGTTCCGCGGACTCCAATCGCTGGGCCCTGGCTCGAGCTCTCCCCCTTCTGTCCCCGCGTGGTGACTGCTGCTTCCTCCTGGAGGTTCGCGCTGGGGATGGGGCTCTAGAGAAGGGCGGGTGGCGCTGGGGACGAGCCCTGGGGAAGGAAGCGCGTCCCTGACTCGGCTTCCTTTTGCCTCAGGATCCGAGTCTCCACAGCCTCTGGCCCGGCCTTCCTGGGAGTGGCTTTAGCTCACGCTTTTCTCCTCCAGGCAGTTCTGGGTGCTCCATCCCCCAAGGCTGCCCGAGGATGGTTCTGTGAGCAGATTGGGGCTGGGCGGCGGCCACACTTCCTCCACTCGGCTTCTTCCCTGATGCCT
The DNA here is from genome assembly GCF_000001405.40 of Homo sapiens. NCBI lineage: Eukaryota > Metazoa > Chordata > Mammalia > Primates > Hominidae > Homo > Homo sapiens. The sequence goes on along the minus strand of NC_000017.11, from coordinate 82,963,068 downwards.
TTCTGGGTTGTGACCCCTCCCCCTCTCCCTGCGCCCCGCCAGGGGTCCTCCACACCACAGGGCAGTCCAGGCACCTGGAGGCTGATTGGGAAAAGCCTGGGGGAGGAGTGAGGCCATTTCGGGCCTCTCAGGTCTCAGCAGCAGCAATCAGGGGAGGGGAGAAAAATGGGACAGATCCTCTGCGTCCCCCTCCTCCCAGGGCAGAGGCACCACCCGGGAGCGGCTGTTGACTAAATTCTCACTTTACTGCCAGAAAATAAGAAAACCCCAAGGGTCGGGCTCTTCTGGTGATAGGAAGAGAGAAACCTTTTTTCTCTTCTTAAACCTGTAACATGTTGAGAGTTCCAGTGCTCTTTAGAGCTGCCTTTGAAGACACAGAAAATTAAAGAAAATACCTCAGTGACCCCTGCGAGGGTCCGTGTCCACCAGCACCCGCGGGAGCCTCCACCCTAAATCACCCGTGTGAGGGTCCGTGCCCACCAGCACCCACAGGAACCTCCACCCTAAATCACCCGTGTGAGGGTCCGTGTCCACCAGCACCCGCGGGAGCCTCCACCCTAAATCACCCGTGTGAGGGTCCGTGTCCACCAGCACCCGCGGGACCCTCCACCCTAAATCACCCGTGTGAGACAGCATGTGGGCTTCTGTGATTCCTTTGTCTTTATCTTATGGTGGATAAACTTTTAGCAGGGCTGACACATGATTTTGAGGTCTGTTCTTTGACTCAGCATCTTCTTACAAATCTTTCCATGTCATCGTGGTTTTTGTAAAAGGGATCGCCCTGGAGAGGCGGAGGTTAAACAGTGCCTTTTTTTTGGACGTGGAACCATAGCACTGCCTGTCTGTCCTGGGAGCAAACAGGCCAGCGGTTGGGCCGTGATAGTTTGGGGACTTTACTGACCTGCACTTGAAGTTTGTGTACCAGCCAAGGAGAGAAGAGGCTGGACTTGGTGATAGACTGGCCCTGCTGCTAGGCTCTCAGAAAACCTGCCCTTTCCTGGAGCAAAGGTGTCTCCGGGCGGCTGACCCAGGTGAGCTGCCGCAGAGAACCACGAGGAGACCAGACTCCACGCCCTGCTCCTCCCTCAGTTTTGTTTGAATTTAAGAAAGCGACAGGGGCCCGGCTCCACACAAGGCCCAGAGCCCTGGGCTGAGGATTGGGGTCACCCAGGAGAGGAGCAAGCAGAGGGCAGGGGCCACTGGGATCATGGGCCGGGGAAAGCAGGGCCCAGGTTCTCACAGGACAGAAAAGTCTGGTGGGAATGCCTGCAGAATGTTCTGGAGCAGAGTCCCACTGACATGGAGGGAGTGTTCGGGGATAAGCCCCGTGGGCTGAGGTTCAAGTTTCTGAGCTTGGACAAGTGAGCAGGGCTGGCACAGGCCCGGGGCTGCCTCCCCACTGCTGGGCTCCCCTGCCCGCAGCCCCACACGCCCACCCAGCACCACTGTCCTCTGCCCACAGTCGGCACTTTGAGTCCCTTGAGCTTCTGGGGCTGCAGCCACTGGCAGGAAAGGATGGGGACGGAGGCCGGACCAGCCATCCAGGAGCCGTGGCTGTGAGACCCTGACCCACCCCAGCCCCTTTCCTCGGCTGCCTGTCTTCCTCTTTGCCCTGAGACCTTTACTGCTCAAAATGGAATTTGGGGCAGAACCAAGACCCAGCCCACCCTCCCTTCCCCTCTTTCCCGCCTGTGGAGAAGCTCGGTTGCTCACGTCTGTTGTGGTCGCCGCCCCACGTCCCTGTTGAGCCTCTAGACCGGTTTCTTTGCAACAAAAGCCTTTTCCACCGGTTCCTGGTTGGCCGGCTGAGCGCAGGTGTAGTGTGCATCCGGGGCAGGCACGCGTTTCTGGGGCCCCAGTGATGCCTCTGCTTCTCCCGCCCTGCAGGGCGTCCCGGAGGACCTGCTGTTCTTCTACGAGCACCTCAGGAAGGGCGGCGGCGTCATCCGCGTGGACCAGAGTCTCCTGCTGTATCGCCACCACCCACAGGCGGCCACGCACTGCGTCCTCGAGTGAGTCAGCCCCGCCCGGCCCCGGGACGCCTGAGAGGCCAGGAACACGGGAGGCGCCCGAGGTCGGGGCCGGGGTTGGTGGGGCCGACCCCAGAGGCTGTGGTCAGGCTCTGCCTTGAGACCCAGGGTCTGGTGGGACACGGGGCAACAGCACATCCCGAGGGTGGCGGGGATTCGGCGTCCACGAAGGGGCATTTCCCAAGGGCGCCAGGGAGCGCCAGGGTGAAGGCCGAACGTCCTTCCCTAGTTCCCAGAGGTAAAATGACCACGCGCCGGGTCCTTCTGAAACCCTGTGCTCCCTTTAACCCGACGGGAGTCTCATGAGTGGGGTCCGGCGGGGACCACAGGCCTGGGGGGCGCAGCTGCCGTGGAGGGTGGCAGAGGCACGGCCAGGGAATCGCAGCACCCAGTGAGGACGCGCCCAGTGCTGCGGGGTCCGCCTCCCTCTCCCGTGTCACTGTGAGGAGCGGCCACGTGGGCCCGGGTCTGGGGGTGCCGCGTGGCTGCGTTGGAGCCGTGGCAGGGGTGAGGCAAATCGGGGTGAAACTGCATGTAGAATTCCTTCCTTAGATCCGGGCAGACAGTTCCCTCCTTAGAACTGTGAGGACACAGAGGTCTCGGCCACCTGCCTGCCGCGTGCCGCAGCGTTAAGTTGGAAAGCAGGCCGCCGTCCGAGGCTTGCGTCTCGGCCCCTACGGGTACTCAGGGCCCCCGGAGTCTCAAGACCCCAACTAGGGTCATGTGTGGGTGTGGGAGCCGCGATGGTCCCAGGCCTGCCGTGATGGGGTTGAGACTCTCGGCAAGATCCCAGCTCCCCAGGGGGTCTAAGGTCCAAGGTCACGGGGTGGGGCTGGGGGGTTGGCAGGAGGGCCACGAGCTTCCCCATTGGGGGCATCATCCTCACTCCTGCATGCTGGGGCCTCCCGCGTCCGCGCTCCTCTCCCTTATGCCCACCGGCACCTTGGCCGCCTCCTCATGCGGTGACGTGTCCCTGACACTTCAGCTCCTTTGCAACATTTCCAGAAATGCTGTCTTGTGCTTTTGGGAAAAACTGGGTTTCCACCTTTCCCGGTGCTAAGGCGGGGCCACGGCTTCCTCTGAGGATGTAAAAAGAGAGGCATAGGGCGCCCTGGGGAGCCTGTTCTCCCTGATTAAATGAGAACTTTTTAAAATGTGAAAAATGAAGATGAACCAAATACAGACATCATGGCTGCTTCTACATTTTACCTTCCTACGATGGGCCAACATTTTCAGACCAGAGACCCCTAGGAAAGCCCAGGAGACAAGGGGCCGTCGAGGAGGCCGGTGTCAGAGGCCCCCCAAACCTCGCGTGCCACCCACGGCCACAGAGGCCCCCCGCTTTCTTCTGGAGCCCTGACTGCTTTCCTGTCACGTGAACCCCCTGGGGTCCCTAAGCTGATGTCAGTGGATGAGGAGGATCAGGCTCGTCCCCCCGCCCCGAGACACCCAACACACCCGGGCTGCTAAGGACAAGATGCCAAAACCCGGCGAGGCTGCGTCACCTGGTGGGGAAGTCCCCGCAGCCGTCTGCAGGAGCTGTCCTCACCCAGGTTCTCACACACACACACACACTGCACGTGCACACAGACCACATGTACAGCATGCACACACATACGTGCACGAAAGTATACACACGTACTCACTGCACACGCTCACTGCACACACGCACTCACGTGCACACACACTGCATGTACACACATCTGCACGGTACATGCAGGCATGTGCACTCACTGCATACATGTACTCATACTGCATGCACAGGCCCTCACTGCACACACGTGTACACATGCGTGTACACACATCCACACAGTACATACAGGCATGTACTCCGAACACCTGCACACACTGTACACGTGCTCATGTACACATGCACTCACCACACATGCACACTGTGCACACACAACATACACCCCCACACAGTGTACACACACACCATACACCCCCACACATACACACCATACACCCCCAGTGTACACACACACACACCATACACCCCCACAGTATACACACACACCATACACCCCCACACAGTATACACACACACACACCATACACCCCCACAGTGTACACACACACACATACACCCCCACACAGTATACACACACACACACCATACACCCCCACACAGTATACACACACACACCATACACCCCCAGTGTACACACACACACACACCATACACCCCCAGTGTACACACACACACACCATACACCCCCACACAGTATACACACACACACACATGCTTCAGTGTCCCCAAGTCACTGACTGGGATAAGCATCTCCCTGTGTCCCAGGTGGGGTCCGGACTATTGAGGTGGCTGCAGAGGGTTGGGGAGGAAAAGGTAGACTCCAGGCAGGACCTCCCTGACAGTGCCTAAGCCCTGCAGCTCCCTGAGCTGACAGAGGGGACCCCGTGTCCCCCCATCCCCCCCATCCCATTGCCTGTGGGGGTTCTGCTACAAACAGGGGGTGCCACAGGGTTGGGGGGGAGTCACAAGTTTATCCCGGGAGGCGGAGGCAGCAGCAGAATCGTAGAACAGCGAAATCCTGCCCCGATCCCGAGGCTGAACCCACGAGGGCCCTGCTCAGGGGAGGCCCGTCACCAGCCAGTGTTGGTTGTGTCTGGCCCAGACCCCACCCCGGAGGAGACTCCCACGGACACAGCTCCCTTGACACAGCAGAGGGCATCCCAGGACTCGGCCAGGGCAGGGTCTGTGGGGTACCGGGCTTCAGCGTGGCTACATCGCGGCCATTGGGGAGGACAGCATCTGGGACACATCCCACGCCGTTCTGGCCCCGTTGGCCTCTGCATCCCCTGCCCCTCTAGCTTCTGGCCCGTCCAGCTCCTGGGGCTTTGAGACGGGCTCAGCCCGGGCAGCTCCAGGAGCAGGGTTGAGGGAGAGGCACACACAGGCAGACAGCGATGGGGCACGTGGGGAGGGGCTGCGGTGGGAGGAGAGAGGGCGGGGCTGGGAAGGGCCCGGGCAGCGATGGGGCTGGGCGCTGGGCAGAGCAGCAGGTCATGGGAAGGAGCCTGCTCCCCCCGGGACAGCAGCCTGGGGTCGACTTGTCACAGCAGAGGGAGAACAGAGACCAGGTTCCCAGGGGAGTGGAAGGGTTCGGGGCAGCGACCCTGAGGCAGAAGGTCGTGTCCAAGTGTGAACGCTGGGATTTTATGGGATGGTTGCATGTGTCCTTATGGACAAAGGTTTCTCTGGGAAACTGGACTTGGGTCAAGTCCAGTCCTCTGCGTCCTACAGAAATTCTGCCTTCCAGAACCTTCTAGATTCTTAAGTGACAGCTTCTCATCTGTCCCCACCTGTTGGGGTCTAATGGAAGGGGTGGATCCCCACCTAGGCATGTGGCTACGTCCAGCTGGGGCAGGTGGCCTGACTGTAGGACAGCCAGTCTCTCTTAGGCATTGGGCCAGGTGTCCACTCCACTGGCAACGTGAGCTGAGCACACATCATGTCCCTGTATGTCAGCATCTGTGTGCATCTGTGGGGCCTCCGGCCTGCCTATCACCCTCTTCTCCACCGCAGGACGACCATCTGGACCCACCGCGTCCGCTTCCTGGAAGAGCAGGCCCTGCCCCGCTGGGCGGCCTTCACCATCTGGAACGCTGGCAAGCAGGGGCGCCGGCTGTACCGCAGCTTGACTGCCGGCAGCCAGCGCAAGGTGAGCATCCTGCCACCCTCCAACACTGCCTGCCCTGCCCCCGTACTGTCCCACAGCACAGGCCCTGGCCCCGGCCTGTCCAGAGCTGCCCTTCTGTGCTTGTCCCCAGGTGGTGGCATTCTGTGACGTGGACGAGAACAAGATCAGGAAAGGCTTCTATTGCCACGAGGACTCTCAGGTGTGCAGGGCCGCATGGTGTCACCCTTGGGGTCAACCACCTGCTCCGGGGCTGAGGGACAGCTGCTCCGAGCCTTCCCCCTTGGCAGAGTCCACCTGGGCCGTGCTGGCTCCTCGGGGCCTCCAGGGAGCCCAGCCCCCATTCTTGGGGGGAGAACCCCGCTGTCCCTCGTGGGTCTAGGCCTTGGGGTAGCCCACCCTGGTCAGTTCTGCAGTCGGGTGTCAGGCGGGGGTGGCGGGAGCCGGGTTCCTGCTCTGAACACCTGCCGCAGTCTGTGACCCTGGCACGTTATCTGCTGCCCAAGCCCTGGCTCCTGTGTGAGCCAACTTGGTGGCTGCGTGCACCCTGAGGGCGTCTCTCCGGGGACAAGCTCCAGGCTCGGGCAGGACTGATGGCCACTGTCACTCTCAGGAAAGACCCAAGCCCCGAATCCCCATCCTGCACTTCCGAGCCGCCCGGCCACCCTTCGTCATCTGCGTGAAGCTGGTGAGTGTGGGGCCCTTGGCCGTGGAAGGGCTTGGGGATCCCGGGCTCTGCCACCTGGACAACCCGCCCTGCTGTGCAATGACTGTGTGGCCTGGGATGAGACCCCAGCCGATGGTGGGCATGGGGACAGGTGCCACAGCCGTCCACAACAGCACCACAGACCAGGCTGTGGGGTGGTGGCCGCTGCCCTGGGGGCAGGAGGCAGCTGGAGAGGGTGGCCTGCATGGGTGTGGGGGGGATGGATTCCGGTCTCTCTTCTGTCTTAAAATACCCATAAAGCCAACATTTGTTAGAAACTTGCAAAGCACGAGGCCCTGCGGTGCCATGTCTGAGGGGCCAAGGCCAGGACCTCCAGCTCCCGTGGACTGAGGTGGCTGCATCGGGGATGTCCTCAGCCCCTGAGTGTGAACGACCCTTGCCTGGGGTGGGCAGGTGATGGGTGCCTCGGGCTCCAAATGCAGCCTTTTTCCCCAAGCGTGGGGAGTCCAGGCTGGCTGCGGGGGGCTGAGGTGAGTAGTTTTTTTTTTTAATTTTACTTTAAGTTCTGGGATACATGTGCTGAACATGAAGATTTGTTACATAGGTTTACATGTGCCATGGTGGTTTGCTGCACCTATCAACCCGCCATGTAGGTTTTAAGCCCCGCATGCATTAGGTGTTTGTCCTAATGCCCTCCCTCCCCTTGCCCCCCACCCTCCAACAGGTCCCAGTGTGTGATGTTTCCCTCCCTGTGTCCATGTGTTCTCACTGTTCAACTCCCACTTATGAGTGAGAACATGCGGTGTTTGGTTTTCTGTTCCTGTGTTAGTTTGCTGAGGATGATGGTTTCCAGCTTCATCCATGTCCCTGCAAAGGACATGAACTCATTCCTTTTCATGGCTGCGTAGTATTCCATGGGCTATATGTGCCATGTTTTCTTTATCCCGTGTATCATTGATGGGCATTTGGGTTGATTCCATGTCTTTGCTATTGTGAATGGTGCTGCAGTAAACATATGCGTGCATGTATCTTTATAATAGAATGATTTGTATTCCTTTTGGGTATATACCAATAATGGTATTGCTGGGTCAAATGGCATTTCTGGCTCTAGATCCTTGAGGAATCACCACACTGTCTTCCACAATGGTTGAACTAATTTACATTCCCACCAACAGTGTAAAAGCATCCCTACTTCTCCACAGCCTTGCCAGTATCTGTTGTTTCTTGATTTTTTAGAAATCGCCATTCTGACTGGTGTGAGATGGTATCTCATCATGGTTTTGATTTGCATTTCTCTAACGACCAGTGATATCTCATTGTGGTTTTGATTTGCATTTCTCTAATGACCAGTGATGAGCTTTTTTTCATGTTTCTTGGCCACATGTCTTCTTTTGAGAAGTGTCTGTTCATGTCCTTCGCCCACTTTTTGATGAGGTTTTTTCTTGTAAATTTAAGTCCCTTGTAGATCCTGTATATTAGACCTTTGTCAGATGGACAGATTGCAGAAATTTTCTCCCATTCCAGAGGCTGCCTGTTCACTCTGATGATAGTTTCTTTTGCTGAGCAGAAGCTCCTTAGTTTAATTAGATCCCATTTGTCAATTTTGGCTTCTGTTGCAATTGCTTTTGGTGTTTTAGTCATGAAGTCCTTGCCCATGCCTATGTCCTGAATGGTATTGCCTAGGTTTTCATGTAGGGTATTTATGGTTTTAGGTTTAAGTCTTTAATCCATCTTGAGTTAATTTTTCATAAGCTGTAAGGAAGGGGTCTAGTTTCTGTTTTCTGCATGTGGCTAGCCAGTTTTCCCAGCACCATTTACTAAATAGGGAATCCTTTCCCCATTGCTTGTTTTTGTTAGGTTTGTCGAAGATCAGATGGTTGTAGATGTGTGGTGTTATTTCTGAGGCCTCTGTTCTGTTGCATTGATCTATGTATCTGTTTTGGTACCAGTACCATGCTGTTTTGGTTACTGTAGACTTGGAGAATAGTTTGAAGTCAGGTAGCGTGATGCCTCCAGCTTTGTTCTTTTTGCCTAGGATTGTCTTGGCTATACAGACTCTCTTTTGGTTTCATATGAAATTTAAAGTAGTTTTTTCTGGTTCTGTGAATAAAGTCAATGGCAGCTTGATGGGAATGGGATTGAATCTATAAATTATTTTATGGCCATTTTCATGATATTGATTCTTCCTATCCACGGGCATGGAATTTTTTTTTTCCATTTGTTTGTGTCCTACTTCCCTGAGCAGTGGTTTATAGTTTTTCTTGAAGAGGTCCTTCACATCCCCTATAAGTTGTATTCCTAGGTATTTTATTTTCTTTGTAGCAATTGTGAGAGTTCACTCATGGTTTCAGTCTCTGCTTGTCTATTATTGGTGTATAGGAATGCTCGTGATTTTTGCACATCGATTTTGTATCCTGAGACTTTGCTGAAGTTGCTTATCAGCTTAAGGAGTTTTTGGGCTGAGACAATGGGGTTTTCTAAATATACAATCATGTCATCTGCAAACAGAGACAATTTGACTTCCTCTCTTCATATCTGAATACTCTTTATTTCTTTCTCTTGCCTGATTGCCCTGGCCAGAACTTCCAATACTATGTTGAATAGGAGTGGTGAGAGGCCATCCTTGTCTTGTGCCAGTTTTCAAAGGGAATGCTTCTAGCTTTTGCCCATTCAGTATGATACTGGCTATGGGTTTGTCATAAATAGCTATTATTTTGAGATACGTTCCATCAATACCTAGTGTATTGGGAGTTTTTAGCACTAAGGGTGTTGAATTTTATTGAAGGCCTTTTCTGCATCTGTTGAGATAATCATGTGGTCTTCGTCTTTGGTTCTGTTTATGTGATGGATTATGTTTATTGATTTGCGTATATTGAACCAGCCTTGCATCCCAGGGATGAAGCTGACTTGATCATGGTGGATAAGCTTTTTGATGTGCTGCTGGATTCAGTTTGCCAGTATTTTATTGATGATTTTCACATCAGTGTTCATCAGGGGTATTGGCCTGAAATTTTTTTTGTTGTGTCTCTGCCAGGTTTTGGAATCAGGATGATGCTGGCCTCATGAGTTAGTAGTCCCTTTTTTTCTATTGTTTGGAAGTTTCAGAATGAATGGTACCAGCTCCTCTTTGTACCTCTGGTAGAATTCGGCTGTGAATCCATCTGGTCCTGAGCTTTTCTTGGTTGGTAGGGTATTAATTACTGCCTCAATTTCAGAACTTGTTATTGGTCTTTTCAGGGATTCGACTTCTTCCTGGTTTAGTCTTGGGAGGGTGTATGTGTCCAGGAATTTATCCATTTCGTCTAGATTTTCTAGTTTATTTGCATAGAGGTGTTTATAGTATTCTCTGATGGTAGCTTGTATCTCTGTGGGATCAGTGGTGACAGCCCCTTTATCTTTTTTTATTGTGTCTACTTGATTCTTCTTTTCTTTGCCTGGCTAGTGGTCTATTTTGTTAATCTTTTCAAAAAACCAGTCATTGATTTTTTTGAAGGGATTTTTGTGTCTCTATCTCCTTCAGTTCTGCTCTGATCTTGCTTGTCTTTTGCTAGCTTTTGAATTTGTTTGCTCTTGCTTCTCTAGTTCTTTTAATTGTGATGTCAGGGTGTCGATTTTAGATCTTTCCTGCTTTCTGATGTGGGCATTTAGCACTATAAATTTCCCTCTTAACACTGCTTTAGCTGTGTCCCAGGGATTCTGGTACGTTGTCTCTCTGTTCTCATTGGTTTCAAAGAACTTCGTTATTTCTGCCTTAATTTTGTTATTTACCCAGTAGTCATTCAGGAGCAGGTTGTTCAGTTTCCATGTAGTTCTGCGATTTTGGGTTTCTTAATCCTGAGTTCTAATTCGATTGCACTGTGTTCTGAAAGACTGTTAGGATTTCTGTTCTTTTGCATTTGCTGAGGAGTGTTTCACTTCCAATTATGTGGTTAATTTTAGAGTAAGTGCTGTGTGGTGCTGAGAAGAATGTATATTCTGTTGATTTAGGGTGGAGAGTTCTGTAGATGTCTATTAGGTCCGCTTGGTCCAGAGCTGCGTTCAAGTCCTGAATATCCTTGTTAATTTTCTGTCTCAAATATTGACAGTGGGGTGTTAAAGTCTCCCATTATTATTGTGTGGTTGCCTAAGTCTCTCTGTAGGTCTCTAAGAACTTGTTTTATGAATCTGGGTGCTCCTGTATTAGGTGTGTGTATATTTAGGATAGTTAGCTCTTCTTGTTGCATTGATCCCTTTACCATTAGGTAATGCCCTTTTTTGTCTTTTTTAATCTTCATTGGTTTAAAGTCTGTTTTATCAGAGACTAGGATTGCAACCCCTGCTTTTTTTGCTTTGCATTTTCTTGGTAAATAACCACGGGTGAGTGGTTGATAGAGTGAGCCAGGCCCCAAGCGGTACTGTTGGGGGGTTGTGGGGGACACACAGACATGGGCACCTGTGACAGCTAGAAGCACGCCACACCAGGGCGGGTCACGGTTCCTGCCCCGCAGAAGCCGTGAGGCCAGCGTGTGTTGGTCTACACTGCCCGGCCTGTGATGAGCTGTCACACAACTAATCCAAGTCAAGTCCAGGCAGAACAACGTGAGCAGAGCCTCTTGGGCACAGCTTTCTGGCAACTACTGGCGCACCTCATTTTATTGCACTTCATTGTGCATTTTATAAATTACAGGCGTGTGGCAGCCCCACGAGAGCAACCCCATCAGTGCCCCTCTTCCAGCAGCACGCCCACTCCACGTCTCCACGTCTCCCCATCTCCACGTGTTAATTCTCGCAATATGTCAAACTGTTACTGTATGTGTTACGGTGACCTGTGGTGTCACTACTATCTCGGGGCGCCCATATGAATCAGTGAACTTGATTGATAAAATGCGAATGTTCTGACAGCAGCTGTCGCCTCCCCGCTCCCCCCCACCCCACCCCTCCTCAGGCCTCCCTATTCCCTGAGGCACAACATTGAAATTAGGTTAACTAATAACCCCACAGTGGACTCTAAGTGTTCAAGTGAAAGGAAGAGTCGCACGTCTCTCGCTTTAAATCAAAAGCTAGAAATGTTTAAGCTTAGTGAGGAAGGCATGTCGAAAGCCACGACTGGCAGGAGAGGCCCAGCTTTCAGCCTAACGGTTAGCCAAGTTGTGAATGCAAAGGAAAAGTTATTGAAGGAAATTAAAAGTGGTCCTCCAGTGAACACACAAATGATAGTGCGGATAGGGAGAAAGTGTTAGTGGTCTGACAGATCAAACCAGCCACAACATTCCCTTAAGCCAAAGCCTAATACAGAGCGAGGTCCCAACTCTCTTCAATTCTGTGAAGGCTGAATGATGTGAGGAAGCTGTGAACATAAGTTTGAAGCTAGCAGAGGTTGGCCCACAAGGCTTAAGGAAAGAAGCCGTCTCCGTAATATGAGTGTGAGGTGAGGCAGCAGGCTCTCCAGAAGATCATGCTACGGTCACAATGGAGGTGGCCGCACTCAACCACAGATCTTCAGTGTAGAGGAAGCAACCTTGAACTGGAAGAAGACACCATGCAGGCCTTTCATAGGTAGGGAGAAGTCAATGCCTGGCTTCAGAGCTTCAAAAGACAGTCTGACTCTTTGCCGTGACTTTAAAACCCATCTATGCCTAGTGTTCCATTATTGGAACGCTAAGCATGTGCAAGTTTATATTCTGCTTAAGGTCACTGCCAAGATCTGATTGCAAAAATTCGAAAAATTGCAACCTCAGCCATAAATGGGTTAAGTTGAAGGCAGTGGTCGCCATTCTGAGAATCCTAGGATTCTTAGGAATGAGGCTAAATCTGCTCTGCCTGTGGCTCTAGAAATGGAACGGCAAGGCCCAGGTGGCAGCACATCTGTGCACAGCACGGTTGATGGAATAGTGTAAGCCCACCGTTAGGCCCAGTGCTCAGAAAAGGAGATTCCTTTCAAAATACGACTGCTCATTGACGGTGCACCTGGTCACCCAGGAGCTCTGAGGCTGATGTACGAGGGGTTCGTGTTTTTGTGCTGACACAGCATCCGTTCTGCAGACCGTGGGTCCAGGAGTCATTCCAACTTTCCAGTCTTATTGGAGAAAGACGTTTTCTAAGGCCGTAGCCGCCAAAGATAGTGATTGCTCTGATGGATCTGAGCAAAGTAATGAAAACCTTTGAATAACCGTTGTCCAAGTTACCGGGGACATTTAGGTGAGTAAACGGGAGGCTCCGAGAAGCAGTTATAAAATGCAAATTCTACACGAATCTGGTTTAGTTTTTCAGAAACAGCCTCTTCAGGATCTACTTCTCAGGGACCCCCTCTCCAACCCCGTCAGTGCCGCTCTTCCAGCAGCATGCCCACTCCACGTCTCCTTGTGGTAATTCTCGCAATATGTCAAACTGTTATCGTATGTGTTATGGTGACCTGTGGTGTCACTACTATCTTGGGGCACTCATATGAACCCCAAGGCACTTGGTGAAAACCCTTCCCAGGGAGCCGGCTGAGCATGGGAAAAGAGGTTCCTCCTTGTCCTGCACACGCTGTGTCCTTGGAGGGCCCAGAGCCCCCACGGTCACCTGTCTCTTGCTTGTTCTTCCAGGGGCAGCTGGCAGTGTGGCCTCACAGCACATGCTTGTTCCATCTCTTGCTCTTTTCACGTGTGTAGATTGGAGGTTATTCCGTGTGAAGCCGCTGGAGCCCCCGGGCTCTACTGTTGCTGTGACTTTTCTATTCAGGGAAATTTCCAGCTTATTTGAGCCATATTAGCAAAGTGACAGGAAACCAGCCCTATGTACCCATCCCTGGAGCAAGCGTGTCCATCTTATGTGTCCTCCACACCTCCAAATCCCCACGCTGGTGTTGTGGCACTCATTCTAGCCTAATTTCATCCATTATTATTTCCCTATCTCAAGGAGATAAAAACTGTTAAAAGGACCATAAAACCACCATCCCACCACAGAATTCCAAATATCCCATCGATGTTCAAATCTTCCTAATTGCCTTATAAATTGCTTCATGTTTTAAGTTTGCTTGCTGGAACCCGGCAGCGTCCGTGTGACCTTTACGACATGACCTTTCTGTCTCCCTGACGCCGACGCTCTTTTCTTAGTTCAGCTGAAGAATGGGCTTGTGTATCCTGCACTCTGCCGACCGGTTCCCTGTGGTTTTGCGTGTTCTGCTCCATCCTTTTGAGAGGTGGTCAGACCGAGGCCGCATCAGGCTCCCCTGCAATTCCGTTTGGCGGGAGCAGCTTGCGGGTCTCAGGGCACCTCGGTGGCACTGTTGTTGTGCCTTCCTCCACCGTTAGCTGGAAGAGTAAAGAGAAACCCAAGGTTCACGTTTGTCACTAAAACACCCGCTCTTCGATTATATGGATGTTTCATGCATTTGTGATACAGTTACTTACTGATGTACCTTTTGGCCATTTTTAATCATCTGCTGTTTAAAATGCTGCTGCAGTATTTGTATATATACATAATTTCGCTCAAGTGGCTCTGTGTGGAATAAATTCTAAAAATTTCTGGGTCAAAGAGCACACACATTCAATCCCAGTCTGGCTGTTCACCACCCGCAGCTGCTGTGCCAACCCAACCCACCAGCGATGGAGCACCTGCCTCGTGCCCTTAAAGGGAGGGAAAGCATCTTCTCACATATTTATAAACTGCTTTATTTCCCCTTCAGTAAATTATTATTTTCATTAGCCCATTTTTCTATTGGTCAGTATTTTTCATAAGGAAAACTCTCCGACATGCTGCAAATTTTCCTGCCATTTGATATTTTTGTATTTTTGCCATTGTGATATAATCAAATTAAGTGACTTTCATTTATGGAGTCTGATTCATTCTAAGACAATCACTCCTGGTTGTGAAATTTAAAAAACAACATTGTCCCATTTTGCTTCTGGGATTTCTAGTTTTTAATTACATCTTTGATACAACTGGAATTTCTTTTGATTACAGATGCCAATTTTTCTATTTGGATAATTGTCCCAACATCGTTTACATCACTGCTTTTCCAGGAACGAAATGCCGTCTATGTTGGTTGTGAACGTGCATTTGGCACCTGGCAGGGCCAACCCTCATGGCGTGTGCGTGAACACATCCCTAAACCATAGTCTAATTTATCCTATTTTTGTAGTTCATGTGAGCAGAATCCAGTGTCTGTGTTCTCGCATCTGGTTTTCACTCCACGTGTTTGGGGTGTGTGCGTATCGCTGTGCATGGTGTGGACTTTCTCCACGTCCCGTGTGCAAACGCCACCCCACCCAGAGGCCACGCCAGGACCCAGGCCTGTGGGCAGTGGTTCCCGGTTTGCCCTTGCAAGGACGCTGTGTCCTCCTGCGTGAGCATCCCTGCCTCGGGTCTAATCCTGGGAGTGGAAGGCAGGTCGTGGGTGTGGCTGCATCCTCAGCTTCTCTGGATGATGCCCAGGAACATGCCCAGAGCCAGAGGGCCCAGCTGCTCGGCTCCCTCACACTGGGCTGGGCACTTGGTCGCCAGCCGTTTGGGGAGTGTGTTCTCATGGTGGTTTCAGGTGTGAGTCTGACCAACAACCCCCCGTGCCCGCTGGACACTGGAGTTCCTTCCTCTCTGGCGGTGTTTCTCATCAGGGTTCCCCACCGGCCTACTGCACGCTGCGTCTCTCCTGACCTGTAGGAGTCCCCTACACCTCTGGCTGCTCGACTTTGTTGGTTTAATGTTTTGCAAATGTCTTCCTCCATTTTGTGGTTTGCCTTTTCATTCTCCTAATGGAACATGTTGCTTTACAGAAGCATCTAGTTTTAACAGAGTCTTGTTTAAGACGGTGTCAACACGCACTGGGCTGGCCTGGTCCCTGAACTCAGGTGTGTTTCCTTTGCAAACTCTAGAGCAGAGAGACAAGGGAGGAAGGACAGATAGCGGCAGAGTGTGTGGAAATGTTTTCCAGGAAGGATGGCTTTGAGTGACAGCATCATTTGAGTGACAGCAGTGGTAGGTGGTGTAATGGATTCTGATGTGGTGGGGGTAAGGGGCGCAGCCAAGCTCCGATTCCTCCTGCTGGGCCCAAGGACCAAGGACTGTGACAGGAATGCATAGTCCCTCCTCTGTCCTGCCAGAGGCCAGAGACTTGTGTCCACCACTCTGCCGGGCTGTCTTCAGGAACTTGTTCAGGAGGTGCTGGGGTGCAGGGCACGTCTGAAAGGCATTTCTGGACACCTGCTGTGGCCTCATACAGGAGAGTAGGTGACCTGGCCAAGGCCAGCACACAGGACAAGATTAAGCATCCAGGGACCCGGGGTCACAGCCCTCACTCCATTGCAGGGGTGGGGATGACAGAGGCCAGAGGAGATCAGACAGGGGCAGCTGTTGATGGTTCTGAGATGCAGTTTCTGTCTGAGGGGCCTCCTCCCACTCCTGGCCTGTGCAGAGGGGTGGGTGTGTGGAGGGAAGGTGGGTCTGCCCTGGTCAAACAGCAGAGGCATTGCCTGTTAGTCTCATTCCATTCCGAGTGCCCCCAGGGAGAGTCAGCCACCTTATGTAGAGAGGCAAGGCCAGAAGGCAGGGGGGGCCTCCCCTCTGGTGACCAACAGGGCCTGTGGTACAAGCAGTGCCGGCTGCTGCCCTCTCTGGCCTTTGTCTCCTTCCAGCCTCTCCGCTATTAGCAGAGGAGCAGAACACTTGACAGGTGGACACAGGCCACCCCCAACCCCTGGCCCTGGAGGAGGCTCCACAGTGGCCTCCTAGAGCCAGGAGACCGGACTGAGCTGAATCTGCTGCTCCTGACAGGACCTCACAGGGGGCGCCTTTGAGGACAACCTGAGGTCACTGCACTTGCAGGAGGGCCAGGACTTCCTTCACTTCAGCTGACGGACCCATGGCAGCTGCTCCCAGGTGGGTCTTTTCACCGAAGAACCATCTGGGTTTGTTTCTTTATTATGTTTCATTTCCTTTTCATTCTGCTCTTATTCTAATTTTCTTTACAGTTAGTCCTCTGCTTATGTTCAGCTCATTAATTTCCAGCCTTTCTTCTGTAATGTATAATTCACGACTTCAGAATCGCTTAAGCACCACTTTAGGTGAACTCTATCTGTTTTGATTAACTTTTATCTTTCATTATATATTTTATAATTTTCATTATTTCTTTTAAAGAGATGTTTTTAAAAACATTTTTAAAATTTCTGTGTACACACACACACACACTTGGGTTCTGTAACTGTCCATTGGGTCAAGTTTTTCTCCTTCAACCGTGCCTTATGACACTTTATTGAAATGTACCAATTCAATAAAATACACTATGGTAGTAGGTGATCAATTTCTTCTTGAATGTTTGCTTTAGTATCTTCTAAGACTGTGTTACAAATGTAGGAAAGTTCTATCAATCATCTTCCTGTTGAACTGAGCCTTTAATCATCATATAGTAATCTATTCCTAATAACACTATTTGCCTTCCTTTAACTGGAGAACTTTGTCATTAACAGAGGTTTTAATCCATTCACATTTATTGTGTCCCAAAATATTTATTTCTAATTGTGTGTGTGTTTTGCAGCTTGTTCTGCCTTTTCCTCTTGCCATTCTTGCATATTTTGATAGTGTATTTTTTATTCTTGTTCCATTTCTCTCCTACTAGTATAGAAGTTATCTTCCCCATACATTAACTGTTTGTGTGTGACTAAATACTTCAACATGCACCTAGCCAAGCTGATAACTGAATTATCTGCACTCTGTTCCAGGAGAACATAGACTTAAGATGCTCTAAATTCAGCCACCAACTCTGCCACTGATTTATATGCTGCTGTTGTCCATTTTAAGCAATTCTACGTGCTTTAAAAAAAAATCCACATATAAGCCATCTTTCTATGTTTTTATGGTCACAGTTTATTGCTTCCCTTGCTCCACATTCCTCCAACTATCCAACTGCGATCATTTCCCTCCTGCCTAAAGTTTATCCACTAAAGCAGTGGTTCTCAACCAGGGGCACCCCCAGAAGATATTTGGCAGTGTCTGGAGACATTTTTTTTTCTTTTTGTCACAGCTGGGTAGGGGGATGCTGCTTCCATCTGGGATGTTGCTGAACACCCTGCAATAAACAGGACAGCTCTCAAAACAAATGACTCAACCCCAAATATTAAGCCAAGATTAAAAAACCAAACAGATAAGAATGGCATATTTTTATCTAAATGACTTAATTTTGTTCTCTTCTTTAATGTTATGCTGTGGGCACAATTCAAGCAACTTGACAGCTATTTTCTCTCAGCATAATGAAGACCTTGGTCTACTCACTGCTCAACTCCAGTGCTGCTGCTGGGAAATTGGTAGTCGTTTATATCACTCTGTCCTTCTTACAGTTCTGCAGTTTCACTGTGGCAGGTCTAAATGTGAGACTGTTAGGCTTCTGTATCTGGGGACTGTTGCATGTCAGTATGGAATATCTGCATCATTTCATTTCATTCTGAGACCCCAATTACCCAAAGGTTAGACATTCTTCAATGTCTCTTGATGTTGCTGTCATATCTTCCAGTTCTCTGGATAATGTTTTCAGATCTTCCAGTTTTCTAATTCTCTCTTCAGCTGTGTCTAAGCTATCCATTGAGCTTTTCATTTCACTTCTTACATTTCTAGGGGCTCTGTTTTTTTCTAATCTCTTCTTGATCATTTCTAGCCCTTTTCAAAAATGTACTCATATTATAGCCTACATTCTACCAGAGAGGTTTTGTATTTGCATCTTCTGCCCTTGTCTGGGAATACCACTGGTCAGGGCCAAGTCAATCAAATTTTCCACTTTAGGAGTTTTGGGGATCATACAGGTAGTATTAATTCAGGCCACTTCAGGGGAGATAGATTGAGATAAGAGTCTTGCTGCTGTTCCTTTGAAAAAGACTTATTTAGGGTCCCAGCTTTATATAGTGGTCCATTAGATCTGGCCCTGGGCCTTAAATTCTCTCATCCATTCTGCTATCAAAATAGCGTGACTAGATTCCAGGGCTCAGCAGAAACCCTCAGGATCTCCAAGGTCTCTGCTCTCACATGGAGGGTTTCTGGTTAGCACCTAGAACGTGTTTGTGGGTACACAAATCCCACATCAGCTCCCCGGTCCCAGGGATACTGGCTTCTTGCTGCTCTCTAAACTCACAAAGCTTGCTCCACTTCTGGGACCACAAGCATTCTCTTTTCTGCCATTGGACACAGTCTGGACCTCTGCCCAAATGCTGCCCCTTCAGAGAGGTTTTCTGAACACCTTCTCGGAGTCAACACCCAACATGCCATTCCATTGCCCACTTTATCTTTGTTCATAGCACTCAGTGTTGCCTGCCTTGATGGTGCTTGCTTGTTCATTTGCTATTGTCTGCCCCAGCTATCATGTGAGCAAGGGGTTCCTTGCCAAACTCTATCACCTGGACCCTGGTGGGCTCCAGAAACGGCTGCTGAAAGAGGGCTTTCCAGGCCACCAGGTGTCTGGTGAGCACAAGTGCCCCAGTGATGGATGGGATCCAGTGGGAAAGAGGCAGTGGCCAGTGGAGTGATCCACTTTCCTCGGGTTGCTAAGTTAGACCGACATTAAAAGAAGAACTGCTTTGCCACATAGTGTCACTGATGGGTCTGGGTGGGTAATCGACCTGCCTCCATGTCTTAAAATGCCATTTATCTGGAATCTTCTTTTAATTGCACTAAGAACAGTTCATCATGTTTTTCTCAGAAGCCACTTGTTCCTTCCATCCTCAGTGCATCCCAGGCCAGCAGGAGCTTTGTGAGCTGCAGGCATGGCGATGGTGCGCCTGTTCCACACCCAGCAGGCGCAACCAGAGTCTCGTGTGTGCCGACCACAGGAGCCAAGCCTTTTCCACTGTGTGGACTCATGTGGCCAAGGCTAGGCCTGGTCACCCAGGACCCTCACCACGTGACCCCAGCCAATCGGGACAGTTCAAGGAGGAGGAGACCCCTATTACACAGGTTGGAATAAAATATTTAAATCTCGTAAAAATGTAACCCAAGGCTCTTTTAGGGTATAAAGACCATTGGCCACCAGGTCAAACACAACAACAGTAGTGTGTTAACCCCACACTCCTGTGTGGCCAGGTCGTCACACACATCCCGTGAAGAGCTGTCTGCTAAACACACAGCACGGACTGTCACAGTCCTGGTCTTGTGGTCCTGGTGACCTCACAAGCCTCACAGATGCGGTGGCACCTCCCAGTTCTCGGCCTGCCCATGTTCCTGTGTCCAGGCCCCATCCCCACCTGAGAGCAGGCCAGGGAGCCACCCTAATCTACACCACGCACATGGCACCCCTGGGCTCCTCACATAGGGAAAGGGTTGCTCACCCAAGCCCTTGGGCCTCTGAGTGGCCACACCTGGGGCTGCTTTGGTGCTGCTGGCCGTGGTTCTGCACCTCAAGCCCTATGAGCACAGCACAGGTCCCAGAGATGGGTGTGGGTTGCTACCACAGTGAAATTTTTATACACGTTCCCCTCACCAGCTTTGGGATGGATCAGCACGAGCTCAGACACAGAGACAAAGGTAGCCTCCTGCCCTTTGCCTAAAAACCCAAGTGTGGACTCTGCCCAGGCTCTCCTAAGACAGTGTAATTATTTCAAGAATGGTATTTATTTCCGACATTACTGTAGAGGCACACATTGGACTCTGACGATTCCCCTTGCAGCAGACATTTGTGAAGCTGCTGGTCGGCACACCCATCAATCAGTGACTCCTGCACTGCAGAGGGGCCACATGCACGATGCTCACGTGTGCACAGGGGGGAGGACAGCACCCCCACCAGGCAGACGGGCCCAGAAACAGCATCTGCCCAGCACTCCAGACCATGCCTGCCACCAGGGCTTCTCAGTTCTCTAGCATTTGAACCTCTGATTTAACATTCATCTCTCTCCAAGACTGGGTGGGGCACTGCCTGTGGCCAGACGTCTCCCACAGCAGGGACAGCACCAGGCAAGAAGGGGGCCTGGTCTCCAGGCAGGAGGAGTGCAGCCCACCTCCCCTCTGGCTGACCCCTGGGCAGTGAGCCTTTCCATCACCCCTACACACATCAGGCTCAGAGACAAAAGGCAGGAACTTCTTGGTACATGATTTTATAGGAAGCACATTTGTGTTCAAGTGAAGGCAGAGGCGTCCACCCCAAGTCACCAGAGCGCAGGTGCAGAGAGGAAAAGCTGTCAGCTAGTGCCAGCCTCCAAGGGCCAGCGCTACCCTTCAACAGCTGGAGGCACCACTGTGCGAGGCTTTCCACACCGGCCTCCCTCAGGAACAAGACATCCTCACCAGGCAGGGGTGAGGTATGGGCTCCAGGACTGGCTTCAGCAGGCACCAGGCTGAAGAAGAGACAAGACAAGCTCAGGCTGGTCAGCTCCAACACACACCATTCCCAGCCAGGGGACCCTCACCCCTCTGGGCCCTGTGTGGGGACTGACACGGTTCCTGCAGGAAACCATTTGTGCCGTTTCCCACACACCCGGCAGCCTGAGCTATGTGGCTGACAGGTGCTCATGACTAACGTGTCCTCGGAAGGGCACCCCATCTGGGGAGCGGGAAGGGAGGTTCACTGCACTGCTCTTAACCTGCATTCACACGTTTGAAATTTTTCCTAATAAAAATGTAAAAAGCACATTTAATTCCAAAGTCTGCTGTTGAGTTCAGCCTTTACACACACAGAAATGGGGGAGGCTGTGTCCTGATGCTCAGCCCATCCCCACTGCCCCCATGTATCTAGACATGGTTCTCCTCCTCCCTCTCAGATATAACCTCCTGCCGGAAGGAGGCTGAGAGGAAGGAGCCAACCCTGGTAACTAGAGAGACAGCACAGCAACCCTGGGCCCCAGCCCCCGAGAGAACTGAGGTACTTGTTTTTGTTACTTTAGAAGAGTGACGGGCTGGTGAGGTGCACAGGGGCAGCTTCTGGGGGCCTCTCACCCAGCCCCGGCCCCACTCATGGGAAGCAGATGAGGAGGGGTAGGGTGGCACTCTTGGCACTTGGAGCACAAACAGACCCCAGGGCCAGGCATGAGGAGCCTGGATCAAGCTGGTGCCAGCTCCACCCACTCCCCGGCCCCCCAAACGCCCCAGAGCAAGTGGCCTGGATGCCACAGGGGCCCACAGGTGTGGGCAGTGGCCAGAGAAGGCAGCTCTGCTGGTCCCGTAATCCCAGGGGTCCTGACATGAGACGAGGGAACGGGCCGTGTGGACGTGCTGGCAGAAGCTAAGCACAGCCGCTGGCCCCAGAACATTCCAGAGCTCAGGGAAGCACAGGCACCTCATGCTGTGAAGGTGACAGGGTTACCTGGGGCACCAGCTGGGGCCTGGGTACGCCCAGAAGGTCACACAGACGGTTGCGCTGCTCTCTCACCACTGCAAGCTCCGCGTCCCTGTGAGGAGAGGGAGAGCCGTGAGTCTCTCGAGTGCCCACCGGAGAACCTCAGGTGTGCGGAGGTCCCGCGTCAAGCTTCCATGGCCGCAGTCAGGGAAAGGAGACCTCACCCCCGACATCCATAGCCAGGCTGAGGGCAGAAAAGACGTCACAGGAGCACGTTCTCCAGCAGAGCCTCGAGCCTGAGCCCTTTCCGGAATCGCAGGAGGACGGTTCCTTCCCAACAAGGGGTGCCCCTCGGGAAGGACCACGCCCAGCGCAGGGACTGCGGGAGGACAGACCAAGCGAGGCCAAGGAGGGGCTGACAAGGGTTTTCCAGGTTTTAATTTAGCTGTTGATGCGAAATAAAAATTCTAGCAATGCTGTGGAGATATCTGGGGCATGTTTTTCGTTTCTAATTTAAAATATTCTCTTTAAATTCTAAGGATTTTTTTTTTTAACAGAAAGGGGATTAAACGATAGGAGAAGCCCCCAGGCCCACCCTGCTAGTTCCTCCCTCCCTGATGTGAGGAAAGGAGGCCACCCCGACCCAGCCTCGCTGGAGGAGGCCTCGCCCCGCTCGGGACACCTGGCTTCTTCAGTCCTAAAGCCAATTATTTTAGAATCTGGTCCAGAATGCACCTTGGTGTTTTTTTTTAAAAAAATCATTGTAAAAACGGGTCTCCAGAGCAGTAGTTAAGATGGCCATTCTCTCAACGCATGTTGAGAAGACAGCCCAGCTGCTCCCGGTTCCTCTCCTGGGACCACGTGTTTGTTTAGGAGCAGACACACACTCCTCCCCAAACCAGAAAACCTCGCGGAAGCCCTGGAGAGGCCACCTCTGTCCTCCGAGGCCACAGCGGCTGCCTGGTGCGTGAGCTCTATGGGAACCCAGCCCTGTTGGAAGGTCACTGTTCCGAGGAGACACCTAGGGAACGTCACCTACGTCCTTGCTGGATTCAACAAGGGGCGTGGACCCCACAGACCTGTAGCAACGCACCGGGATCAGCACGGAGGCCCTCACAGTCGGCACTCAAAACAGAGCAGCATCCACAGGCAGGACACCTGGGACTCCACCACCCCGGGTATGCCATGTGGACACCCACACAGCCTCTGGTTGCTTCAGTCCTGATCTCCAACACGGGGTGACGAGACTGCTCCCCTTTTAGAAGTGTGTGTGTGTGTGTGTGTGTGTGCGCGCGTGCAAGTGAGCATGTGTGTGAGCCAGCATGGGTGCCCATGCCCATATGTGTAAGACACCATCACTGCTGTTCCCAGGAACATACCGGTTGGCCCAGGACACCTGAGCCTGCACTTTCCCCACTCTGCTCTCATTCAGACCCTCCCACCCCCAACTCAATACACACATCTTTCAAAACCGCCATTCTACTCCACCCATGGTAAAGAAGCCAGCCCATGTTGCAGAAACTGTGCCTGCCAAAGTAAACGTGGAGAGTGGCACTATGGCCTCCTGAGGGCCTCATGGCCCTGAGGAAGGGGGTGGACATCAGAGCAGAGGCGTGGGGAGAGCTTTTCTTATTTCCGCCTGTGCCTCTTGATTTCCAACAGGTGCTCACACGGCCTATTCCAAGAGAACTTTAGAGAGGTCTGGGGCAGCAGCACCTGCCAGGCCTTCAGTGCCCTCTGCTCCACAGGCCACCAGACACAGCCTTGTGGTACAGGTGCCCGCTCCCCTGGTGGGATGGATGGCTTTGCTGTGTTCCTGACACCTGACACTGTTTGGGGACAGGGCGGTTGAGAAGAGGTTTCGGCTACAGCAGCACGGCTGCCTTGTAAAACCTAAGCAGAGGATGTGGAGACCTGGGAACCCTCTTTCCTCCTCCTATCAGAGGGTTTTGGGAGAGACGAGTAGACACGGTGGGGACAGGAAGAGGGGCGGTGCCAGGCCCAGGTGGCCGTGCAGGAAGGGCCTTCACTCACCACGCAGTGTCACTGAGCACAGTCACCACCTCGTCCAGCACATCCGCGCCCACGACGTCACTGTAGGTGAGCAATGTCTCGTACACCTGGCTGGCCGTGGTCTTCCGGATCTGGGACAGGGATGCAGTGCATTTGCCGGAGGGAAGCGCCACCGCCCCACCCCGGAGAGACGACAGGACCCAGGCCAGGGAGCCCCGTCAGTGGAAGGCGTCAGGAGGAGGACGCTGACCCTGCATCCCATCCCAGCCACAGCAGGGCTGCAACCAAGAGGAGGTGCCTTCCAGGCCCATTAACCACCTCCTCCCTCCACAGACACACAGCTAGCTGCAGGATCCCAGCAGTGAAGATGACATCATTCTTGTTTAAATGCTTTATTAACCAACCTGCTCCCTCACCAGAGAAGCAATCTCGCCTGCTCTCTATTAACTAACCTGCTCCCTCACCAGAGAAGCAATCTCGCCTGCTATTAACCAACCTGCTCCCTCACCAGAGAAGCAATCTCGCCTGCTCTCTTTTCATCAGAGAAGCACTCTCACCTGCTCTCTATTAACCAACCTGCTACCTCACCAGAGAAGCAATCTCGCCCGCTATCTATTAACCAACCTGCTCCCTCACCAGAGAAGCAATCTCACCTGCTCTCTTTTCACCAGGGAAGCAATCTCGCCTGCTCTCTTTTCATCAGGGAAGCAATCTCGCCTGCTCTCTTTTCATCAGGGAAGCAATCTCGCCTGCTCTCTTTTTGAGTGGTGCCCTGGTCATCATGTCTCACTGCGCTGGTGGTCTGAGCCCCGGGCCCACCCTGGAGGTGCTGAGTCGGCAGCACAGGGCCCAAGAGCTGCACTGCTGAAGCCCCAGAGGTGCCAAGCCTGAGGGTCCGGCACCCCACTTCGAGAACCACCATACAACATGAAGTTACTTTTGCCTTTTAGGAAAATGTCACCTTTGTATCATCTGAGGTTTTTTTTGCAGCCAGGAGAAAAGAAATCCTAGAAATCTAATAGCCGGGGAGTGCTGGGGATGAAGGGCACTGCCCCTAGGTGTGGCTGAACCACTTCAGCCTGGGTCCTTCTGGAAGCTCCTGAGCCAGATCCCACCGCCAGGTCACCCCTCAATGTATGTCCATAGAAACGCCAGCCGGACAGCCCGTCCTTAAAGCCAGAACAGTGGCGTCCAGAGCCCCTTGGCAGCCGCGTGCCTGTGACGCGTCGTCACCCAGGCGCGTTAACGAGAGGGGCTCGGCTGGAAAGCACACCAACACAACAGTGCCAGCGAAGGCCTTCTTGTCACTGAGGGGCTTGTGTCCACACGGCAAACACACGTGAGCAGGGGCAGGCACTCACCAGCGGGAAACGGTGGCAGAGGAGCAGACACAGCTGCAGGAGGGCCTGCCTCCTCACGTCGCCGGGGAACTGCACCATCTCGCAGAACCTGCCGGGAGCAGCACATGGCTCCAGGTGAGCCCCACCCCGCGCAGGCCAACCCCAGCAAACCCCGGACCCAAAGGCCCATGCAGAGACCTGGGCAGAGCAGATCCGTGAGCACAGTGCGGGCCTGGGGCCCCAAGCCGGAGGTGTGTGTGTGCGTACATCTGCACTGTGCCTACACACACGAGTGTCGCACTTGGAAAGTCACTGTGGGAAGTGAGGACGCCTCACAGAGGATCTCCTGCAGGGCCGCTCGCCCTGCCATGAGGACCCCCACCTCAAGGAGCCACAGAGCAGCCAAGGTGCCTATCGCTGGCTGGCGCACCTGCCCAGTGTCCACCTGAGCGCCGCAGAGCAAGGCACTCAACAGCGACCCCCAGGGCACACAGGAGAATCGGGGAGGCAGCCCCTGACCACGCAGCTCCTTTCCGGAGCCTCCCCTCCCGCCAGGGCAGAGCGCGAGGGCAGCAGAGGCAGAGCTCGCCTGTTCCCGCGGGAACTCCCTCCACCAGCACCTGGGCTGCCTCACCTCCCATTGCGACTGCTTTGAACATTGGAATGCACGATCTTAGGTTAGCTTGAGGAGTAACACTAACTGCTCCTCTCCCGCCTGGAGCCGTGGACTCCTGCCCTCAGCCAAGGGAGGCTGCGCCCTGCCATTCCGTCTAAGGCCAGCAGCACTTGAAACTCACACTGCGATGCCTGACAGGAGCTTCTGGATATCTTTTGAATTCTTGATTTCTTTCTTACAGAGCGCAAGCAACTTCACAGCAAAGGGGTGGCTGGAAGAACAACACACACTTTAGAGATGAGCTTTCACAGGCAGCCCCGGGATGCACACTTTTTCTGTCTCAAAGAAGGTCAACTCCGTCCTCCCAGTGGCTCAGTCCAAGAAGCCTGCAGCCCTGAGGCCCCTCTGCCAGCAAGTCCGCTGGTCCCCATCCCAATACCTCCACAGGCCGGCCTGGTCCCTAGCGGCTGTGCCACCACCTGGCCGGCCTCTGCTGTCTCTTGCTCTCTTGCCTGTGGTGCAGCAGCCCCCACGGGGCCCCACCTCCCTTTCCAGGCCCCAGGGTCTGTCCCCAACACAGCGGCGGCCAGGATGCCCGTGCTCCTCCACCACTCCCTCCAGAGGCTACCTGGCCTGGGCTGCTGCAGAGCCGGGGGAAACTGCCGACACACAGAGGACACACAAGGCTGTGCAGTGTTGTTTTGAGCCTTCAGTGGCAGCAGGGACAAGGGCTGAGGCTTGGTGCTGACAAAGGCACAGCCCTGATGAGCAGCTCTGAGAGGGCACCTGGAAGGCCACTCCAGGGAGGAGAAGGTGCGCACCTCCCTCTCTCAGTGGGGAATGCAGCCAAGCTCCAGCCACCCAACAGGCCAGGAAACCCTCACTGCTGACCGTGAGTCAAGGAGACCCCAGGCTGCTGCTACCCTCTCCTCAGGTGCCCAGAAAAGGCAAACTAAGGTCCTGCCTGCCAAAGCACAGGCTTAGCCCAGACCTCGGCTTGCTCTGAGGTGCGACCCCTCAAACGCAACGTCCCGAGAGAACACAATACCAGACAAGTAAGAAGACAAAGAAACCCGCTCAGGTTGCAACTCAGACACACCCAGCCAAACAGGCAGGAAAAGAGCATTCAAGAGGATGAACACCGGGCACGGAAGGAAGGGCCGCAGGGAACGGCGAAGCGGAAAGCGCTACAAGCAGACGTGGAAACACGCGAGACAAAAAACCTACACCTGAAAAGACGCAAAACTCCACAATAAGAATTCCACAAATCACAGTTAAAAGTCATTTAGAGACATCTTCAGAGAGAATCAGCAGCTGGCAGGCGGGCCAAAGGTAATGAAGCAAAGAGAGAGGGAAAAGACGTGTGAAAATTGCAGAGGGGGTGACCGAGGGAAACACGTGAGCGTGATAATGACAGAAAAACCAGGGAAGGAGCAAACCTGGGCAGGGGGTGGGAAACCCGGGCCGTTTCCAGGGAGCACAGGCAGACTCAGAGGTAACACTCAAAAGCAACAACAGAAGCAAGGAGGAAGTGGGAAAATATTTTTAATGTGCTACAACGAAACAGCTGCCTGAATTCTATATACCCTCTGAAAATAATCTGCACATAAAATGGGAAAGCTTCACCGCAGCAGACCCCACTCGAGGAAATCCAAGGGAGTGTGCTCTAGGGAGAGGGAATGTGAACCCCGATGGGGGGGGTCCCAAAAGCAGTAAGTGATGAGAGACAAAGAAAGTAAAAACGTGGAAAATTCAAAGTAACGCAAATTACACATACCACAATGAACAGGAAAGTACGTACATCTAAGACAAAATATCCGACAATAGCAGCACATAACTCAAGACGGAAGCACGCGGAACCAACACGTTCTAATATCCTTGCTATTGTCCAATAAGGACAAAATGCTGAAAACTGGACTTCGCTAAGAATACGTGGTGTCATTTCTAATTTCTAGGGTAAGCGTTAACAGAAAAAAGTAAAATGTCCCAAACAAATATATGAAAACAATGGAATGACAAAAGCAATTCTACTAATCCAACAAAAAGCACAGGTGGGGGCGGGGAGGGGGCACTGGGAACGCAGCACAGGGAAAAGTCCTGTGAGTGGCAGGCTGAGAACCAAGGGGATTATAAAGGTCATGAAGGAGGCAGGTAAAAGCTACAGGCTGAATTTTTACAAAACCATACACTGTTCTAAGAGAGGCGTACAAAAACATACATGTATGAAGATACTGAAAGTAAAACGATGGAAAAAAGTATACAGTTCAAAGTCAAGTGAAGCAAGACAAAGAATGAGTGGAGCAAAAAGCATCCTAGAAATGGGTGATAAGGGCAAGATTCAGCCCACAAACACGCTTCAAAATCTGAAAAGCCAAAACTGACAAAACTGTAGAGAGAAATACAAAGCTGTATTCATAGCAGGACATGGCAGGAGGTATTTTCTCTACCATCCTATCTTGGAAAAAAAATTTTTTTTTTGAAACAGAGTCTGGCTGTGTTGCCCAGGCTGGAGCACAGTGGCTCAATCTCAGCTCACGGCAACCTTCGCCTCCCAGGCCCAAGCCGTACAGGCACCACCACACCCGGCTAATGTTTTTGTATTTTTTGTAGAGATGGGGTTTCACCAAGTTGGCCAGGCTGGTCTCAAACTCCGGAGCTCAAGTGATCCACTCGCCTTGGCCTCCCAAAGTGCTGGGATTACAGGCGTGAGCCATGGCGCCCAGGCTTATTTTGAAATTTTTAAGCCAGAAAAATATATGTCAATATTTTAGGCCAGGTACGGTGGCTCACGCCTATAATCCCAGCACTTTGGGAGGCAGAAGTGGGCAGATCACCTCAGGTCGGGAGTTCGAGACCAGCCTGACCAACATGGTGAAACCCCATCTCTACTAAAAATACAAAATTACCTGGGCATGGTAGCACATGCCTGTAATCCCAGCTACTAGGGAGGCTGAGGCAGGAGAATCACTTGAACCCAGGAGGCAGAGGTTGCAGTGAGCTGAGATCGCACCAATTCACTCCAGTCTGGGCAACAACAGCAAAACTCCATCTCAAAAAAAAAATTTAAATGGAGTATTTAGCATTGTATTAAAGGATAATACGCCACAACCGAGCTGGGTGCACCTGTGAACATGGAGGCTGTTCCAACAGCAGGTGTAAGAAGGTCAGTCAGTGATGCCCCATTAAGAAATTAAAAGGGGAAACCCTTCAATGCTGTTAGATTTAAAAACATGTGCAGCGTCCAGCAAAGATGGAGCAACAGAGACCAGATCTGCCTCCCGCCCGAAGGTTAAGGCAGAGCCAAGTCCAGCAGGTGGCAGACTCCAGCGGGAAGCCCGTGGTGAGAAGCGGGAAATTCCAAGTCTGCAGAGCTCGCTCAGGTTCTGAGCACCAGAGGGGGCTTCCTGGGGGCCGCTGAGGACTAACCTGGGCCTGGGTCAGCCAGTACCTGAGTACGAGGACGCTGTCCAAGGCTGGGGACGAACCACCCAAAAGATGGCCAGAAGCCCCGGCACTGCCCCAGCAGCGGTGGGAAGGGAAGCGCCAGGGAGCAGAGACCTTAAAGGGGCAGAAAACCCTGGAGACCAGCACAGCTCTGGGTCCACCTGACAGCTTAAGAGTAGCGCCCAAGCCAGGCTCAGTGGCTCACGCCTGTAATCCCAGCACTTTGGGAGGCCGAGGTGGGCAGGTCACTTGAGGTCAGGAGTTCGAGACCAGCCTGACCAATGTGGTGAAACCCTGTATCTACTAACAATACAAACAATCAGCCAGGTGTGATGGTGCACAGCTGTAATCTCAGCTACTCAGAAGTCTGCGAGAGAACTGCTTGAACCCGGGACGGGGTTGCGGTGAGCTGAAATCGAGCCACTGCACTACACCCTGGGCAACAGAGCAAGACTCCATCTCAAAACAAACAAAAAAAAAGCAGTGCCCCCAAAAACAGACCACGCTGTCTCCGGATGACCCAACGTGCCCCAGATACAAATATATCCAGGCCAGACGCAGTGGCTCACACCTGTAATCCTAGCACTTTAGGAGGCCAAGGCAGGCACTTGGGGCCAGGAGTTCAAGACCAGCCTGGGAAACATAGTGAAATCCTGTCTCTACTAAAAATACAAACATTAGCCGTACATTAGACTACAGCGCATGCCTGTAGTCCCAGATACTTGGGAGGCTGAGGTAGAGGCTGCAGTGAGCTGTGATTGTGCCACTGCACTCCAGCCTGGGAAACAGAGCTAGACCCTGTCTCAAAAAAAAAAAAAAAAAAAGACTGGCCCAACACGGTGAAATTCAATGAAGCAAGAAAATATGGCAGCAACGAGATGACCACTCAGAGCCAACAACCCAGCTGAGACCAGCCTGGGGCATCCGCGTGGCGCAGAAGCAAGGAGCTCCAATCTCCTGGGCAAGTCCTCGCCAGGTCACCGGCCTCTGCCCTCTCCCCTGCGAGTCTCATCCCCGTACAGCCGAGGCCCCTTCAGGCCCTGCGGCTCCCAGCACAACCCTGAGGCCCACCCCTGGCCCGGTGGGATAGCTGGGGGGAGAGTGCACAGCAGGGCCCCCGCCTCAGCCCCAGATGGGGCTGACTGCACTTACAGTCATAATATGTCATTATGTAAATATGTTATTATTGCGTTATTTTGAGGGCCAGCTGTGATGACGGTATTTACAGTCACCATAACTGACCCAGAACGCACTGGAAGATCATTTCCTGGAATTCTGATCTCTGTGTCTGATGACTTTTTCTTTAATACATGAGCTACTTAGGCTTAATCGGAAAGGAAGTCATGAAAAGCAGAGCCTCACTCCTCCTCCGTGGTGAAGATGTCGAAGCAGCCGTGGGTGAGCACGTGGTCCAGCGTCTTCAGCAGCGGCACGGACACCCTGAGGGGAGAAGGAGCTGTGAGACCCTGGACACCAGCAACAAGGACGCCCAACTCCCTGAATGGCTGAGAGTCAGCAGGATCCCAGTGGAAAGCGACAAGCCCCCTTTATAATTTACGTGGAAACGCAAAGCTTCAGGAAAAGACAAAACAACTGTGGAAAGAAGAAACAAGGCTGGAGGCTGACGCTGAACTTCGAAAATGATGGTAAAGTGGAAGGGATAGAAACAGCACGGCCCTGGTGCAAAGTGAAGCAAACACGTCGGGCACAGGAGAGTCCAAAGTAAACCCACAGTTTCTTACAAAGCTGCAACGGCAATGCAGCGGAGAGGGGAGCCCTCCCAGCAATTGGGGTGGGCACCGCTGGGCGTCAAGGTGCCTGTGCCGACGCTATACCATGTAAGAAACCTCACTCAAGACGCGTCCCAGGTCTAAATACACAACCCAAAACTATAAATCTTCTAGGACAAAACAGAAAATCTCAGTGACCACGGATTAGGCAAGCTGTCTTAGACACACCAGAAAAATCTGTGCCTCAGAGAACAAGGGGAGATGCTGGGACGTGAGGAAAGTGTGAGGCCCCCGCTCGGTGCGTGAAAGGACAGGCAGGGAGAAAACACCCTCAAGTCACATGTGTGACAAGGGAGGATCAGACCACAACAGTCAGGGAAGGAGAACAGAAAAAAATGAAGACACTTCTCCAAAGAGAATATAAAACAGCAACGCGCCAGTGAGAGTGACCTCAGACAGCATCAGCAGAAAGACATGACACGTGGGCGTTCTGGAAACCCTCCAGCAGCTTTCCAAAGCTAGACATTCGCCTCTGTGTGAGCCAGCCTGCGGCGCCTCGGTATTTACCCCACAGAAAAGGAGGCTGGGGAGGTCCCCTCTGGGCGACAGGAGCATCAGGAGAGCTTTAGCACAGGCCGACTAACACACAGGAGAGCTGGGCTCCGCAGCCCACAGAGAGGGAGGCCCAGCTGTGCACACCTACCCACAGGCTCGCACACACAGACTGCCTGCAGCTCTACCAGCAACAGCCCCGATGCGGCAACAACCAAAATGCCCACAGACAGATGCACTGTGGTGCCTCCACCAACAGACACGACTGGTCAGCAAGGAGGAATGAGCGAACGGCAAGGCGGAATGAGCGACCGGCACGGAGGAATGAGCGACCGGCACGCGGCCCAGCGCCTCAAGTGACCATGGGCTGAGGCTATGGTGACGCAGGTCAGGGGCACGGACTCGAAGGGCTGGGAGGAAACCTTGGGCTGGAGCCCACCGTCCTGACTGGGGAAGATTTTAAGGGTGGACACCTATCAAAATCGATCGAACTGCCCCTTTATGTGCAGCTGATTATAGTCGTAACGAGAAAAGAAAACATGGCTGGGCCGAGTTCCTGTTTGCCGAGAGCGGCATCTGTGCTCTCATGGGAGAGGCTGCCGAGGCCCCGCCCGAGGGGACACCAGGCCCGTGTCCTCGTCCTCGCACATGCTGGGAACAACCCTTCCAGAGGATGTTCCCAATTCTGAGGTCAAGGCCCACAGGGTCTATACTCTGCCTCCATGTAAAGCCAGAAACTTCTAGAAAGCAGCGATGTTTCTCACTTGACATTCCATCCTCAGGAACACAGAGCTCTCACTTGCCGGGTGGCTGATGAGCGTCCGCAAGCACGTCCGTGGGAGCACCAAGCTGGAGGAGCTCCCACAACGCCTTCCTACACACAGGGACCACCTTGTACTCATACTACCTTTACGTCCATTGTACACACAACGGTCATTTCCCTGCCTCATGTGGAGGCTAGAAGAGGAGGCGCAGGGGCTGAGGCCTGGCCGCCCGGAGAACCATATGCTGCAGGCACATCTTCCTCGCTGAGCCACCAACTGGTACAGCGTGTGTCTCGCTTCTCCCTTCAGACCCCAGACAGACCCTGCGAGACCCCGGGAATCTGTGGGAACGTGGTGAGAGGCACCAGCACCACTCACGCCTCTGAGGCCCCAAGAGACACCACTCACCTCTCATTCAGAAGGTTGTCCTCAAAGATCTGCAGAAGGGTCCCGCTGAAGCTGCCCAGGGCCTGCGGGTCGCTCTGAATGCCCTTCATGTACTCAAAGAGGCTCTGGGTGGAGTGCCGGATCTGCAACACGGAGACACCTCAGAAGGCAGTGGGACCCCCGAGCCTGCCACCCCTCAGGCTTGGCTACAGCCGGTCAAGCATCTGCTGAAGAGCAGAACTGCTCCGAGCTGCAGAGACGCGAAGGTCTGGCCCCAAGCGGCTGGTGCGGACGCCAGCACGGAGCCACTCACAGTGCAGACACCCGAAGCAGACACAAGGCTCTCGGCAACGGCAGCTCAGCCTGAGCCCTCACTTAGGACATGCGGGAGAGCACGTGACGAAAGGCTGCGGCCACTCACCTTGGGTTTCGCTCACGTTTCCCACTGAAGCGGGATTTGATAATCCCCGCAATTCCCGAGTGCAGAATGTCTCGGGGCCCCGCTCGCATGTGGCCCGGGTCTCCCCGCACGCGCCCGCACGGCGCAGAGGGCACCTCACGTCCTGGGGCCCGGGTCTCCCCGCACGCGCCCACACGGCGCAGAGGGCACCTCACGTCCTGTTACGTGTTTTCTAGGACTTAGCAGCTGTCACAGGGTTGCCACATAAAGCAGGTCATGACCCAAGGTGCAGGGGCCACGAGTGACAAGATGCAGAGAGGCCTTCAAGTTCCACAGCTCAGCCACAGACCAAGGCTCTGGAGACCCTCCCCACAGACATGAGAAGCTGGGCCTGGAGCCCTGAAAGTGGAGGGCGGAGGCCGATCTAGAACCTGATGGAGCCCAGGTACCCACATGCAGGCATCAGACACAGGTCCTGGAGGATTGAACCCCGAGGGGACGCTGGGAGCTCCAAGGCTGCGGCCGCAGGAAGAGAGTGGCGCTGGCCCTGTCCCACCTTCATCAGACTCAACCATCCCACAGGCCCTAAGCCTCCTGGGTCATGAGGAAGACACTGGGCCCCTGACCCCCTAACCAAATATGCCCGAGAGAGATAGAAAGCAATGGAAGAAAAGGCCCAGCTCCATACATGCTCCCAAGAGACAGGGAAGCACCAGGCACTCCTGGAGCCACCTCCTGCCCCAGCCAGCCCGACGCCTCCTCACCGTCGACTCCGTCAAGCCGCCCAGGGACACGACTAGCCCCAGCAGGACGTGGTAGCGGTAGGTGGGCAGCCCAAGGAGCTGGGTGATGCGTGGGAAGGCCTGGGAAGGTGCACTCCAGTTCACGGAGGCCACATCGGACCTGCAAGAGAGTGAGTGAGACAAGGCCGGGCTGCCAATGATCTCGCCATGGCTGCGGGGCCAGCACGGGGGGCCTACACCCCGACAGTACCTGGGAAACAGCTTTTCCAGTTCTCCTCGGTGGGGCACGTGGGGGATGGGAGGGCTGTCAAAGTGCAGGAGCGTCAGGAACACGCTGGCGGCGTGAGCACGGAAACGGTCAATCTTCTCACTGGCCTGCTGGGCCACACAGCACATGATGCGCTCACAGCTGCAAACCGAGAGCAGGAGGTAAACCAAGGGCGGGCGGTAAATTAAGAGCGGGCGGTAAACTGAGCACAGGCGGTCCGAGCCGTGACTCCAGCCCAAGCACCACGAGGACATGCGGGCTCCTCGGGACATGGTGGCTGAGTTGGCAGCTGACACCAGGACACTGGCTCGGAAGAACCACACTCCGTTACCTTCACATCCCAGGAGCCCAACCCTACAGGTGCGCAGCAAATACATGCTACGTACTTGTTACACATGTGCTACGTGTTACATGCGTGCTGATGAGGTCTTAGGGTTGAAGCAGGGACAACAAATAGGATTACAGGAGCGGGTGGAGAAGAGTGATGGGGACAGAGAGGCCGGGGATGGGGAGAGAGAAGCTGGGGCTGGGGAAGAGATGGGGAGGGGGAAAGAGAAAGAGGTGAGAACTAAGGAAATCAGGCCCTGGGATCCCCACGGCCGAGTGTCCCTGACAGAGAGACTGACAGCAAGGGCAGGGCCTGGACCCCCATGACTCAGTGCCCCCGACAGAGACCCGCAAGGGCAGGGCCTGGACCCCCTGACTGAGTGCCCCTGACAGAGATCCGCAAGGGCAGGGCCTGGACCTCCATGACTCAGTGCCCCCGACAGAGAGACCGACAGAAAGGGCAGGGCCTGGGGGTACCCACAACCCCGTGCCCCCGACAGAGACACACAGCAAGGGCAGGCCCCAATGGCAGCCTCAGGTGCAGGGAACTGAGTGATGGCTCAGCTGGTCCTGGCAGGAGCAGACCCCCAGGTTCAGGGTCCTAAGCTGAGAAGTCCCCACCTCCTGCCCGGCCCTACCCCGGGAAGCTGGCTGTCATCAAACTGGCCAGAGCACCGTTGGAGGCCCAGGCTGGGGAGCAGAGCCTCGTCCTGGGGGCACTGGGCAGAGGAGGATGGGCCCCAGCTCACGCCATGGCTATGGGGGCAGGAGGAGGGGCCTGCACAAACCTGGGGTCAGGGACCAGAGAGGCTCTCTGGGAGGAGGGTGTGTGCCCAGCAGTGCAAATGCCACTGAGCACCAGGACCGCCCGCCCCGCCAGCCTCCCCAAGCTCGGGGCTGCCCTCTAGGATGCAGAAGAGCTGCGACGTGACACTCACGTATGGGCCTCGATCAGCTCAGGCTGGCTCCGAGCCAGCAGAAGTGTCAGATCCATCAGACTGGTCATGGCGGCCTTGCGGACCCTGATGGGACAAGGAGAGGCAGAGACACCCAGCTTGAGAGGGGGGTTCCAACCCTGGTTCTGCCCACCACGCCGGCAGCCTGTGTGAATTCGACACCCGTGACTAACCCCACACAGAGCCCAGGCACGCTGCCAGGGAGTCACGGGGCCTGCAGAGGTTCCCTGTGCGCTACAGGGACGTGTGCAGGGAGCCACCCACAGCCACACACACCGGGGCCCCGAGGCATCCTACACACACAGGCGTTTCAGGGGTTATCAATCCCACTACAGCAAGAAATGTTGGCAAAACCCAATGTAAGCAGCCGGCAGCCTTTCATTGAAGACGCGTCCTCCCTCACACCCTGTCAACGAGGACGACACAGGCCCAACACCTGAGGACGGGCTGGACAAGCACCTGCAAAGCCCTGCCACGCAGGCTCACCCGGGAGCAGAGAACAGGTCATCTTCCCCAGAGCCTTTAAAACGCAAAACACGGCACAAATCTACAAAGATTTCTCCCTGCAGAAAAGCCCGGGGCCTCCGAGTTTCCACGGAATAGATGGGCTTCTCAGAAGAAGCGCTCACCCACTGCTACGTACGTACCAGGTGCCCACGTCCCCTCTGCTGTCCGTGGTGTAGTCGTCCATGCAGCCCAGCAGCGCACAGTAAATCTGGGAAACATTCTCTCCGCACACAGCTTCGTCTGGGGCTCCTGCTTTCACACCAACAGTCTGGCAAATCCTGAAATTTAAAATGTGTGAGCTAACAAACAAACATCGGTGAGCCTCATCTTCCACATCGCAGAGGGCTGATGTGTGTTCCTGATCCTGAGAAGACACGCTCAGAACAGTCCAGGACCCTCGGGTAGATCAGAAACACAGAGCTCCTTCCACATGTATGGAACGTGGGACGTGCTTCCCCGAGGTCACGCTCTGCCGTCTCTCCGGTTGAAAGGTGGATGGGGACGCCCCCTGCGGCTGGTCCCTCCCACTTCCCACCCTGACTAGAGGGAACGGATGCTGGCATAGGAGAGAAGGGGGCGTGCGTGGCCCCCGCGGGACTGCTCCTCTTGTGTGCCTGCAGGGAGGAGAGGGCATATGGCGTGGCCCCAGGTGCGTGTCTGTCAACGAGTGCAGAGATCATTCCAAACACTGGCTGGCAGGGTCAGCTCCTCTTTGCCAACCTTGGGCCAGGACACATTCTCCAATTCTCCAAGGGGCCCAGTGTCCCTAAAGAAGTTTAACATTCACTACGACTATGACAGCAAGAGAATGAAAGAGCCTCCAGCAGCTGGGACTGACGATCCTCTGGAAGAGAGGAAACCTAGGAAGTGAAGAATCATAAGTCCTGCCTCTGAGCAAAAACATCCCCCTTAGCGTTCATCTGCTGGCCTTTCAGAGACTTACGACTTTAGGGAGGAACTGTTGGGACTCACCTCGCAATGGCCTTCAAGCCGTCTCTCCTGGACTCAGCAAAACTTACGTCCTCGGGGGAAGTGTGGGTAACTGCTCTTAAACCTGTGAGAACCTGGAAAGCAATAAAGAATCACAGAAGAACCATAAGCTATAACAAAGTGCACTCTTTAGGGAGGTGGCAATGTTGGCCCGGAGCCACAGACCCCACACCATGAGATAGGCAGCTCCTGGCACCACCTTCCTCACGGCCATCCATGGCCCCTGGTACAACCCAGGAAGGACACCCGGGGAGAGGTCACCTCCAGCCTCTCCACGGCCCCCAGTACAACCCAGGAAGGACACCCGGGGAGGAGTCACCTCCAGCCTCTCCACGGCCCCCGGTACAACCCAGGAAGGACACCCGGGGAGAGGTCACCTCCAGCCTCTCCACGGCCCCCAGTACAACCCAGGAAGGACACCCGGGGAGAGGTCACCTCCAGCCTCTCCACGGCCCCCAGTACAACCCAGGAAGGACACCCGGGGAGAGGTCACCTCCAGCCTCTCCACGGCCCCCAGTACAACCCAGGAAGGACACCCGGGGAGAGGTCACCTCCAGCCTCTCCACGGCCAGCCCCCACCCCAGGGTGTCACTGGGGGTCTGGCCACACCCTACCTGAGGTCCCCCCCTTTTGTCCTACGCTGAGACCTGGGGTATTGACAAAGGAAGCTGCTGGGTCCCGACAACCTCATCTGTCATATCTCCAAGTGATCCTGTTTCACATTTATCTGTGTTTCAACTGGATAAACCCCCACATGCGAGTTTTAGATGGCATGGCGGCTGCGAGGCCCACCCGCCACACAGGCAGGAGTCCGTCTGGAGCTGCAGATCCTGAAGTGCCAAGGCTGGATCCCATGGGGAGGGAAGGGCGTGGGGAACCCAGTGGCCAGGGCCTATTCCAGCTTCAGACGCCAGGTGGCCGGAGGGGAGACAAGCAGGAGTTCCCGGCAGGTTGGTCAGTGGGACCAGCACCACAGGAAAGCGTGAGAGAGCAGGTCACTGAGGCCAGCGTGGGGCTGACCTCTGGGAGGACGTGGAACCACCTCTGCCCCGACCTGGATGCAGGATGCACGGCCGCAACCAAAACAGGACCCGGCTCCACAACGCACAAAGGCAACTGTGTTCTCCTCACTCTCGGCAGCTGCTTCTACAAACAACACCTTCTCCTCCCTCCCAGAATTCAGCTTTTTCAAGTCTGTCCTCTGACAGCAAAGGGTTCGCCAGGGCCCTAAGGGGCCACAGACCTTGGGTGCCCTCTGCCCCCTTCCTCCTGGCCACAGGTGCCGGTTTCCAGGAACCCCCTCCCAGCTACAAGCACTGATGGGTTTATTAACGGCTGGGCCTACCTCATGCCCCAACACACGAGGCTCCCACACCCTCGCCCTAGGCCCCGTCCACTGCGCGTGGCCAGCCTCACCTGCTGGAGCCGGCCTTTCAGAAGGAAGCCTGGAAGGGCGCCCAAGGCCAACGAGAAGCCACAGCGAGTCATCTCCTCGGGGTTCCGAAGCTCAGCCAGGTACTGCGTGATCAGCTCCTCTGAAAGGAAGCAACGAGTGTGAAGAGAGGCCCTCTGCTGCCCATCGTGTACAGCCACACCCGACGTGTGCCCCAAACAGGAGCAAAGCCACAGTGAACAAAGGAGGAGCCGCCTGAGGTTCCCAAAGCAGACACGTTTCCAAAGTGGCCTACCTCAAAATAGGAATCAGAAAGAGAATTTTTTTTTTGAGAGAGTCTCATTCTGTCACCCAGGCTGGAGTGCCGTGGTGCAAGCTTAGCTCGCTGCAGCCTCAACCCCACACTCAGCCTCCCAAGTAGCTGGGATTACAGGTGTGTGCCACCATGCCAAGCTAATGCATGATTTTTATATACTTATAATAATTTTAAGTGGTGATTCACACACTTTTGACGTGATTAATAATGCATGTTCTATCATATGACATAAAGGAACACTGTGGGCCAACATATGTGCATGTGACACTTTAAAAATAAAAGTACGATTCATGAAGCAGATCCCTCGAACATGATGTGCGAGAAGCAAGCCTGAACTTCAGCACGGGGGTGCAGGATGTACAGTGAGGCGGCACAGCAGCTACGCACGGGACACGGCGTAAAGCCAGCCTAATGCTACTTTCATAAAGAAGGAAAAAACAGCAAAATGTATTAACGAGTGAAACACACAGCAGAAAAATGTCACGGTGCATACAAAAATTCTAAAAACACTGACCGAGTGCAGTGGCTCACACCTGTAATCCCAGAACTTTGGGAGGCTGAGGCAGGTGGATCACCTGAGGTCAGGAGTTCGATTCCAGCCTGGCCAATGCAGTAAAACCCCGTCTCTACTAAAAATACAAAAATTAGCCGGGTATGGTGGCAGGCACCTGTAGTCCCACCTACTCAGGAGGCTGAGGCACAAGAATTGCTTGAACTCAGGAGGCAGAGGTTGCAGTGAGCCGAATCACGCCACACCACTCCAGCCTGGGTGATGGAGCAAGAGGGTGCCGTCAACAGAGACGCGTCCCTGCTGAGCCACCTGTTCAGAGCTGATGCAACATCCTGGGCAGCTGCAGGACCTGCCCACAGCTCCTCGGCTGGGAACCTGAGACCCGAACAGTCCCACTCCAGCCATGATCGTGGTGGCTCTGCTCCACTGCACAACCGAGGCCTCCTCCGTGCCCAGACACTCCCCAGCAGCTTCCTGCTGGAAGCCCCTGGAGTCTTCAAGAAAAGGGCTCCCCACTCACCCTGAATTGCGGGATCTGCCTCCCCCGGCTCCTTCATGTAATATTCACTGCATAGAGCAGCCAGGGCCGAGACTGCTGCATCCTAAAACAAAGGCAGCACGGTGAGCGCACAGCAGCTCTGCTCGGAGAAGCCCCCGGCCAGGGACAGAGCAGGTCACTCTGAAGTCGGAGAAGCACCTGACCAGGGACACCGTGGTCACCCTGAGGTCAGAGCAGCCCCTGCCTGACCAGGGACCCAGCGGGTCGCCCTGAGGTTGGAGAAGCACCCGGCCAAGGACACAGCAGGTCACCCTTGAGGTCAGAGAAGGACCTGACCAGGGACACAGCGGGTCACCCTGAGATCTCGGCACAGCAATGACTTTCGAACCAAACCAAAAGAACCCCTAAGTCATGCTACTCCTTTCCAGCACGCCTGCTCACCATCATCTGTCAGATACACGCATCACTTTACTACCACTACAACTAAGAAACTGAATGGATAACCTGATTATTCCTTCCACAATGTCTGTCTTCTAATATGGAACAATAATAAAATGGAGCATATTTTTCTTTCCCAGAAATAGTTATGAAGAAAAAGGCATACACTATGCACCCAGAGTAACGGGGCAGGGCCTTCAGGCCAAGCCACGTCAGCCTCATTTAGAGAGACAGGGCTCCGGGGGCGCACTGGGAACAGGAGTTGGGGCCGGACAGCAGGAGACCCCCGGGAACCCATCCCAAGGCCACCAGGAACCGTGGTGGGAGGGACGGCAATTGCTGCACAGAGCAGGAGCGGGCAGAGAGTCACCAGTCCCGCCGCGTGCGGGGCTCAGTGCCACTGTCTCCTCGAACCCCCACCTCTGCCACCTACGGAGGAGCCTCTCGTGACCACACAGCCAGCAAGTGGCAAACACCAAACCCACGTGTTCTTTCCACCGCTCCCCCGAAGCCCAGGAGCCGAGGCCAACAGAGCAGCCTTGGAGAGGCACTGGGGGCGGGGCAGGTGGGGGCCATGAGCAGAGGAGGTGCGTCGTCTACAGGGTGCTGCATTCCACGAGTCACCACCTGTGCCAATCCCAGGGGCAAAGTGCACCAGCATCATGGCCAGTGTGAATTAATCATGGACTTTTGAAATAAAATTTTGAGGCACTGATCATGATGCATTCAAATTCAATTAGTAGAACGGTACTTGGATCCTACAGAATGTTCAAGTTCCTTAAGAAAAAAAAAATAAGAAAATTGAAGATGCTAAGGAAAAAGAAATGCTAAGCATGGAGGAAGTCAGAGAATTACAAGACACCTAAATGTACTTCCATTCTTCATCCTCAATATCAAAACCTAGTCAACGTTGGTAACCATGGTTTTTTTTGTTTTTGTTTTTGTTTTTGTTTTTGAGGCAGGGTCTTGCTCTTGTCACCCAGGCTGGAGTGCAATGGCGTGATCTCGGTTCACTGCAACCTTCGCCTCCCAAGTTCAAGCAATTCTCCTGCCTCAGCCTCTTGAGTAGCTGGGATTACAGGCACGCGCCACCTCGCCCCGCTAATTTTTGTATTTTTAGTAGAGATGGGGTTTCACCATGTTGGCCAGGCTGGCCTCGAACTCCTGACCTCAAGTGATCCACCCGCCACTGCGCCGGGCCCATGGTTTCTTATCTATGCAATGAGATCAGCGTTACAGCTCTGTGAGTCCAAAGTCCACCTGTAACCCCCAGGACGGGAGGGGAGGGCAGGTGGCCGGGGACACACACACACACTGGCACCCACACAACATGACCAGGTCAATGTGTGCGAGCAGAGGTCCTGGGGTGCTGTTTTCTCATCTGCACAGGAGCATCATAAAGGGAGTTTCCAAACCTCAGATCCTACAGGACACGGAACTCAACAGAGCACAGTTACTATTGATGCAGAAAAAGTATTTCAAAGGTAACTATAATTAAAACAGCCAGAAGCAATAAAAAATTAAACATTCGGATTCCAATGGCTGTATTGGATTTTCTGGTTATAAACCGTGTAGACGCTACCATCCGGGATTCCAAATAGAATTATGCCCCCATTTGTCAGTTATCAGGCTACTGCAGGGACAGCCTCATGATGCACAGTCGCCAACACAAACACCATCCGTGACTAACACACTAACACCGCCACAGCGCCGGCCGGGAACGCCCATGCTCACTGTACCTTCATCTGCTGGCGGGAGTGACTTGAGATGAGATGGAGATGTCTCAAAGTGTCATTTATCAGCCATTGCCAACCATCTGTCAAAAAATCAAGTTAGCGTACCCAGGCAATCAAAAACACCATGAAATCAAAAACAACAGCAAAAACAGCTTCTATTAATACTAATCTTAAAGTCGATGGTAACCTTTGAGAGGAATCTGTGGAAAAGCCAAAGTGAACATTCTCCACGTTGTGTTAAGTCTAAGGCCCCTTCCTCTCATGGCTGTTAAATTGTGTAAGCTCTTATTGAGGGAAATACCAGCATTCTGTAAATTTTTATACATCACATTTTGGGAAACTTTTATTCTTTTGTTACCCCTAAATCTTTTCCTTCAAACGGTCTCCCCCGGCTCCCACCAATATAAACCCAAATCTTTAACTCAATTAGATCCTGCACAAGCAACAAATGTGAAGGCTATTCAATTAACAAAAAAAAAGTCCTAACTTCTGAGGCTGCTGAGACAGCCCCGGGACACCACAGCCCTGGGGGCTCCCTTCACTGTGCTCTGGCAGCCCAGTGTGGGGGGCTGCTGAGGAACTGGAGCCGCCTCTGCCCACAGGGTCCGTGGTGTCGGCGGCCGGCACGCTCCTGGTCCACGAGGGCCTGGGTGGCTGCAGCTCCCGACTGTCTGCCTGGGAGAAGAACTGACCCAGAGTGCCGGGCCCTGGGCATGGAAGCGAGGAGGTGGGGGTACTGAGGTGACGGCGGGGAAGGGCCCTCCTGTGTTGGGGGGAGAGGGCGGTGGGTACCCATTATTTAAGCAGGTTCTTGTAACAACTTCAAGG
Organism: Homo sapiens; assembly: GCF_000001405.40. Lineage (NCBI taxonomy): Eukaryota > Metazoa > Chordata > Mammalia > Primates > Hominidae > Homo > Homo sapiens. The sequence continues at coordinate 82,920,752 of NC_000017.11, read as the reverse complement.
CAACGTATCCGATTAATATCTTGAACCTTTAAGCTATAATCGTTTATCGCCCCCATCCTAACAGGTTCATTTTTACCTTTTAATCTGAAGTCATTCTGTAAGAAAATGCTATTATTAAAAACAAAAGCACTTACCAATTACGGTGTCACCTCTAAAGGGCATTTTGGAAAGTGACAACTTTTCTATTAAAACACACACTGGAAAAAAAAAAAAAAAGGATAGACGCAATGTTACTTTTCTAAAAGCGCCTGCCACAGCGGCTTGCCTTTGCCACATTCTGAGTTGTGTGCGGCCAGCTCCTGCCCCTCACCCGCCCAACCTACCCTGCTGCCAGGGCTGGAAACATCCCAGAACCATTTCAGAACCACCATGAGAAGCCCAAGACGCCTCCTCCGCTGAGCAGCCTGAAGAAAGTGCTGCAGACCCAGCCACGTGGCAGAAGGCCCATGTGTGAGCCCACGTGCACTTCAGAGAAGCCGGGCCGGCCTGTCAGGGAGCTGCAGACGTCCCTGTGACAGGCTGTACGGGAAGCATAGCGGCTTCTGCTCCTAGACCTGTCACTCAGGACCCAAGCGACAGACAGCCATCACCTGCAATGCTCCAGACCACAGGTCATGCCTGTCACTTCCCCACATAGCTCGTCACTCACACTCTCCATGACCAGAAACGTGGCCCTGACCAGCCACGAGGGGGCCAGGACGCACGAGACAGAGACGACTGGACAGCATCAGCAGCTCCCACGGCCACACACTGCTCTAGCTCCCACCGTCTCTACCTAACAACGGAACCCACTCGCAGACGCCTGCTGCACACTTGTTCATGGTATTTGCTATTTCTCCTGAGGGACTAAACTCTCCTTCCATTTTTTGTCACCGTGAACAAGGAGGCCTGACCGTGCTACAGATGCGGAGGCCGTCGGTCCACCTGGCGTCCCTGCACACAGGACAGGGACCACACACACACTTCCCATCGTCACAGATACTGCCACTCATCAAACTGAACAGACCAGACAACTCCTGTTCCACGAGAGACCCTGCTCTGTGTCTGTCAGCACCAAGATTCTTCAGTGCCAACCGCAGCCGACTGGAAAGAGGAAAACGGTCCTCTCGATGTGAAGTAACCTGGTACTTCCATGCCTCCGAGGTGAGGCCGGCACCCTCACCGTCCACGGCCACGTGAGTCTGCTCCTCTTCTGCATGAAATGCCCACACGTCTGCTCTGCCCCATTTCATACTGGATCCTTTACCTCGTCACAGGCAGTTTTACAATTTAGTCTTTGTACACTAATTAACTTTTTACCTTTTCGACTGTAGAACAGACGTTTATTCTCAATCTCCGTTTTCCCTACCAACCTACACATGGTCTATTCTTCAATATAAGGCCCAACATAATTATCTCCTTTTGTTTCTACCTTGTGGAATTATTATGATAAAATCTGTTAGCTGGGGATTACATGCCAAGAGGGGGGAAACAAAAAGAAACAAAAAACCCCAGAAAACCAGTTCTTACCACAAGTTAGAAAAACCCAGCGAGGGGCTGCTGGGACCTGACATTCAGGGTCTTCTTTAAACTCAGAGGAGGGGAGGAGAAAGGAAGCGCCGGGCGAGACTCTGGGCCCCCCCCGTAAACTACTTCTCTTTACTTCTGCGCAGATTTGAAAATTTCTAAACTAAGAAGTTTTCTTCAGAGACTGACACTGTCCTACAACGTCTCCTAAAATTTCTTCGAGGATTTTTATGATGGTAGTTTTTATGCGTAAGTTATTAGTTACTCTCACATTTAGTTTTAGATACGACTTTACCTTCTTCCACGTGGGCACCTGTGACACCATCACTCACTCAAGTGACACGCCTTTGTCCCAGCGCGAATCCTTTCAGCTCTGAACAGAGTACTGCTCTGATGTGTGTTGAGGACTGGGAAATGAAAGTCTTAACTAGTTTTTAAAATAATTTTCTTGGAGATGCACCTGCATGTGAACTTTAAATGTATTTTATAATCAAGTTAAAAACGGCACGCGCGGCTCAGCGGTGCCTCAGCCTCTCACGAAACGGCACGCGGGGCTCAGCGGTGGAATGAAGCGGTGCCTCAGCCTCTCACGAAACGGCACACGGGACTCAGTGGTAGACATGAAAAGGCTTGTACCCACATCTCGCACAGGAATATTCCTGGCAACCTTGTTCACAACAGCAACAGATAGAAATAGCCCCAGTGTACTCTACTGAGTGCTGGTCGAACACACTCTGGTAAAACCCAACCGTGGGCTAGGAAGGCACAAACTGTGAACACATGGACAGCTGGATGGGGTCTCGGCACCACGCTCACAGAAAATGCCCACCTCGAAATGCCACGACCATACGAGTCGATCATGGCATATTCTAGAAGGGACAGACTGGTGGCAGGGGGGCAGGGTGAGAATGCAAAGGGCAGGGGCTGTCTCTGTGGGAAGGATGCAGGTTTCTGATTTGAGTGTGGAGTTAGTTACAGAAATCTACACAGGGCATCAATCTGCACGAAACTAGACACACATGGCCACTCCACACACACATGAAGCCACGAAACCGCACAGGCCTGCAGTCCAGTTAGAGGCAGGGCCTCGACACCGCAGTCCCGGCTCCAACACTGTCATACCCGGAGTCACCGCGGAGGAAGCATGGGAAGCACAGCCAGGCTCTATTACTAATCTCATAACTTCCTGTAAGTCTATAATTATTTCGAAATGAAGAATATTTTTTAAAAACTAACAGACTAGATAACGCAGACCAACCCTCCACTAAGACATTTTTAAAAGCCAGACAAAATGAAAACACACAGGAAGTGCCTGCAGTTACCAGAGAGCTCACGAAGACCTGAGAGGGACAGAGCGGCGGGGGCCAACTCTCCCCGGCTCACGGCTGACTCCAGGGGGCGCCACAAGAACCAGAAACCCCCAACAGTGCATCCAGGAGCATCTCCAGCTAGCAGGAGAACGGGAGTCCAGGATGACCAAAGGGAGAAGCGGTAGAGCCCTCACCACAGGCTCTGAACCCAGAGGACCACACCTAGAAATAGGTGTAAAACGTGGGCCAGCCCAGCACGGACCCCTCCTACGTCCCAAAACCCAATGGAGGTGACCCCGACAGCAAGCACCCGCCTCCCGTCAAGAGCCAACATCAAGTCTCTCTGGGAGAGGAGAACATTGCAGACCTCAAAGCATTTCTGTCATGTCTTGTTCCTGCAGCTTGGTGGAGATGCTTTTCATGTATGATATACCGTCCTTCAGAAACAGCCACAGAGGCTCCAGATGATGACATTAAACAAAGATTTTAAACCATGCTTAATATGTTCCAGGATGTGAAAAAAATGAAAACTATAAAAAATAAGTTCTGAAAAATAAAAAAATTCAAGGATGCGTTTAACGGCAGATAAGGCACACCTGAAAGAATTTGTGACAATGAAATTTAAATCAAAGAAAATGTTCCTGTAATCCCAGCACTTTGGGAGGCCAAGGTGAGCAGATCACAAGGTCAAGAGATCGAGACCAGCCTGGCCAACGTGGTGAAACCCCATCTCTACAAAAAATACAAAAATTAGCTGGGTGTGGTGGCGCATGCCTGTAGTCCCAGCTACTCAGGAGGCTGAAGCAGGAAAATCGCTTAATCCCGGGAGGCGGAGGTTGCAGTGAGCTGAGATTGTGCCACCGCACTCCAGCCTGGTGACAGAGCAAGACTCCAACTCAAAAAAAAAAAAAAGAAAAGAAAAGAAAAAAAAAAGTCCAAACTGAATAAGACAAAACCAGAGGAGGGAGTGTAAGGAGGCGTAAAGAATTAAGTGCGGTGATCCAGACAAGACGTGGGTAATAAGAGTCCCAAAAGGAGAGGAGAGGCCAGTGAGCAATGTTCAAAGAGATCATGGCTAGGAATTTTTCTAAAGTGAACAAAACATCGACAGAAAATACAGATTATGGAACAAGTATGAACCCTAGAGCCCCAAGTCAGATAAACACAAAGGGAACTTGTTCTAGGAATATCACGGTAAAAGTGCTGAAAACCAAATAAAGATAAAAATCTCAAAAGAAGCCAGCGAAACTTAAAAGATTGTCTCCAATACAGTAATAAGTAGACTGGCAGCTAACCTCTCCAGAAGACAAGAGACTATTATCTTTAAAGTGCCAAAACACAAACGAATGAATAAATGCAAACTAAAGTTTCATTCTTAGCAAAAATAACCTTTAAGAATCAAAGTGGGGAAAAAAAAAAAAACAGCACCTTTGGGAGGCCGAGGTGGGTGGATCACCTGAGGTCAGGAGTTCAAGACCAGCCTGGCCCACATGGTGGAACCCCATCTCCACTAAAAATACAAAAATTAGCCTGCCACGGTGGCGCATGCCTGTAATCCCAGCTACTCGGGAGGCTGAGGCGGGAGAAACACTTGAACCTGGGAGATGGAGGCTGCAGTGAGCCGAGATCGCGCCACTGTGACTCCAGCCTGAGCAACAAGAGTGAATGAGACTCCGTCTCAAAAAAAAAAAGTGGAAAAAGCCATTTTGGTATAAACAAACGAGAGGGTGCCACCAGCAGACACACACTATGGAAAACACTAGAGTGTTCTCCAGGCAAAGAGAAAATGGTCCTCTTAGAAGGTGAGAAATGCAGGACAGAACAAGAAGGAGAAGCAGCAGGTGGCTGTGTGGGTAAATCCCAGTGAATTCCCACGGAACAAGAAAGAGAACAGGGTATCTGTACAGGTAAATCCGAATGAACTCCTGTGTGATTTAAGATACAGGTAAAAGCGAAAGGCACGACAGCACCGGCCATGTCTCTGCTGAGGGGACAGGGGAGGTGGCAGGTGTGTACAGGGCATCAGAGATGGAGCACGGAGCCCTCACCCCCACAGCAGGAAGTCCATTAACAGCGTGTCCCCGGCTTGCTAAGTCACGATCCTCCACACACCTGTGGCCGACTCAAGGCTCACCAGTCCCTCTGGTTTCCCTCCCGTCTTCGGCATGAGAGGAGAACTTTTCCTGATTCTCGTGACGCCTCTGGTGCAAGGCTGTGAGCCAGATGACCCCCTTCCTCCCGGCCCCTGCCCTCGGTGATCCACATGTGAGCAGGATAAAAAAACACCTGTGGTTTTAAGACACTGAAACTTGGGGATTGTTTCAAGAGCAAAACGCAGTCCACCCTGACTGACAAACCCCTCCTTCATCGCTGCTTCACTAAACAGAGTTCCTGTTTCTTTCCTTTGATTCTAAAGCATGAAATGCAAGAGCCACTGAGACTAAGACGGAGACAAGGGGACGCTCATCTTCCTGGCACCGGGGGAAGCAGCTCAGTTCAGGCCACGCTGAGGACATCCAGGATGTTCATCTCCTCTCGTGAATATTCACGACAAAGGCCAACCTGTATGACATTTCTTTGATATGGGGACGCAGACGACTCCCAAGGGTTGAGCCACTTTTCCCACAAAATGTGCAAAAAACGTCTGAAGAAATCTGCGGTTCGACACCTCCGGGGCACCTGCGGCCAGGGCGCACCTGATGCTCCTGCGGGCGGCATGTCACCGACATGCCGGCGTCCTCGGGGGTAAGGGCGCCATCCTCTGGCCTGGGTGAGAAAGTGACCAGCAGCCCCTCCCCGTCTCCCACATGTAGCCCGTGAACCCGCAGATTTCTCACCCCGACAAGAGCTTGGAGTCTTGTCTCACTTGAAAGAACACATCTAAAACTAAGGATATCAGGAAACAGCTGCGTACATACAGAACTCAGAAATACAGAAGCAAGGAAAACAGACAGCTAAAAAACTGAAAGGGTTGCCTTTGGAAAAATAAAAATGTGGGACTGGGAGATGCGGGGCCAAGACCACAGACGCTATGCAGAACTATTTCCCCTTCTGAACTATTCCTACTTGAAAGCTGAAAGGGAAAATAATTTCCTACGAAGTGTAAAAATGAACGAGGAGGAGAAAAAAACCTGAGTTGACACCAAGGCTCAGTCAGGATCACCAGGGACACAGCCGGCTTCAGAGCCTGCAGGCCAGAGTCTCCTGGGGCCAGCAAAGGCCATGGAGGGGAAGGAGCTGCACAAGGAGGGCCGGCGCCGGGAGCTGAGGTCACGGCTGGGGAGTGCAGGCAGCCAAGGGGCCCCCAGGGAGGGCGTGGGCAGCATGGGCAGCTTTCCACGGGACACGCCCGCCACGGTGCGAGGCGACATGTGCAGGAGTGCCGCGTTTGCACTCAGCGGTGTGAGGGAGTGCAAACACCGCACTCCAGCAAACACACTCATGGTGCAGACACAGCTGGAGGCCGGCAGGGGGCCCAGAGCAGGGATGCCTCCCATAAAGATGCCCTTCTCCACGATGCCCCCCAGCAATCCACACCCTGCCGTGAACCCTGAGGGATGCATCCCAACAGCACACGTGCCCCAGAGCAGAGGGCAGGGTGGGAAAGCTGGAGTTGGGGGTAGAGAGAGGCAGACAGAAACCACCCTGCACCCAGCACCCCCAACAACAGACCACAGCCCTCCACCATCCTTCAGAGCAGAGCACCGAGAACCCGGATGGCGTGAAGACGCCAAACACCGAAACCGCGGTAAGGGCGCCTTTTTAAAACCCGGACGAAGCACATCAGTGTTTAGGTTCCACGGTTACTTGTGCAGCCTGCAGTGCCTGCCAGCGGGGAGCAGTGGGTGTGGTGGGTGAGGAAGGGACAGGACAGGGTGGCTACTTTGTCTCAAGTCTTTCCAAATATCATCATCAAAAAGCCCAACTAGAACCCACAACATTCCCCCTCTCCCCGCTAAGTGCAAATGCAGCCTCACGCCCAGGGAGGGCACGTCGCGTGGAAAGCTGCCCACGACAACCACACGGAGGCTCCAGGACCTGCGGTTTTTCCATGGTTTCCTCCTGAGCTCGTGACAATTCTGCCCATCATGGGTAGGTGGCAGCAATGCACAGGCCAACGGTGCCCTGCGGCCAACAGCGGCCAACGCCCAGCAGGACCCCTAAGGGGCGGTCACTCTGGAGCCTGGGGGACATCAATGTGGCTGCCCTAACCACACATTCAAGAAGAAGAGCAGATTACAGAGCAGCACCTCCCCAATGGGCCCCGCTTCACGGAGCAGGAGGGTAAAGGAAATTCAGCCAAAATGGCGTCCTGGGGACTCGGAACGCATTCAACTCCATCGCCGCCAGCTACAGGGACTCGGAACGCCTTCAACTCCGTCACCACCGGCCACGGGGATTCGGAACGCCTTCAACTCCATCACCGCCAGCCACGGGGACTCCAAACGCCTTCAACTCTGTCGCCGCCGGCCACGGGGACTCGGAACACCTTCAACTCCGTCGTTGGCCAAAGGGATTCGGAACGCCTTTAACTCCCCCCTTTCATGGTGGGCAGTGGCTCCTGTGCAGACTTACTGCTCAAACACCAAGAGCGACCCTAAAAGCAGACCCCGCAGCACACGGGGAGCACGTGAAGGTCGTGTGAAGGTCGTAGGACTGCCTCCAACTGCCATCTCCAGGGCACGACCCGTGTCGTGGGTGGGAAGTGGGGGACATTGAACCCTTCTGAGAGCACTCGACACCCCACTCCATCCCAAGCCAAACTCCTAGATCCAGAAACGGCTTACAGGTCACCAGCTGTCCATGACATGTGGGGGATGGTCTTGATCCCACTAAGGAGGCAACTCCGGGCACCCATGGGTACGTCGGAAAGGTGACACCCCTGCACCGTGTGCTCTGGAGGCATCTGAGGGACAATGACCAAGTCTACATCCAAAACATGACACACCGGTCTTAGCCAACAGGGACCACCTGCAGAACTGGCAGTCCCATGCCTCTGACGTCAGCTGACAGAAACTGGCTCACGTTTCTAGGATTGACTTTCCCGTGACGTCCATCAGACTCATGAGAACACTGAGCTAACACCAGCAGAAATGCAAGCTGGCTGCTCTCAGTACAGAAGCCCGGCCAGCCTGGCTGGAGATAGATGGCTGCAGGCCTCGGGCAGGTCCCTATCAGGTCAGGGCTGGGAGGTGTGGACAGAAAGCACAAGAGGCTGGTACAGCCCTGACATCCGGCCGTGGGTTCCCCGAATCCCAGCCTGCTCTCCTCTGCTCAGACCACGCAGACCTCAGCAAAAGTCTGCACACAACCGCGATTTTTCCAAGCTTCCTCACCAGCTGTGCCTCCACACTCACACTCACAGTCCCACAGCGAGGGGCTGAGGGTGGCGTGGGATGGGCTGTCCACAACAGCAGGGCCCCAGGAGCTGTGTCGGGGAATCCAGCTCCCTGGACCTTGGGGTCGGCTGCTGCCATCAGGAATGTCTATGAAATCAGGCTTTTCCTTTAATACTCTGTGGAACAGTCTAAAATGTGTTCTACGCTTCCCTCCTCCTCACATGCTAAAAAAGAATCAGCAAAGAAAAAATGCCCGACTGTCCTAACCCCCGGGGGGTATCAGAGGCTTGGGAATCAGGCGCAGAGGTTCGCCTGGACTCGGGTGTGTAAGGAGCTTCGCCTCTGCTCAGCTTTCCTCTTGCCCCCGCCTGAGCTTCCTGTGCTCGCCCAAAACGGCTCTTGGTCCCTGCGCTGCTCAGTCCACAGGGCACGACCAGGGCTGCTCTGTCCACGCTGGGGCCGTGCTCGGAGGGATCTGCAATGTCCACTGGGTCCACAGGCAAGCACTGGCCCCACTGCCCCAGCTGCCTCTGCTTCCTGAGAAATTTCCAGAACCAGTGGCTCCTGGGTGCAACCCCTCCCAGCTCACAACTTCCTCTTTCTCTCTCTCAATCTCAATCTCTCAATCTCTCCCTCGTAGGAACCACTGGACAAACCAAGCACATCACAGATGCCGCCTCCACAGAAGAAACACACCCAGCCCTTCACCCTGGGGGCTAATGGGCCGCCCTGCACGCCACGAGCACACCTCCCTCAACGATGGCTGCGGCAAAGGGCTGCAGAGGGCTGCAAAGGCCTTCAGACTTACCTGCTTGTCTCATGAGCTGTCCTCCCAGACCCCTGAAAAGGAATGAAAACATCAGAATTAGAAGAACCTCTTGACGTATAAAACACCATGAAATATGCTTGCCAATGTAACCTCAGGCTCCAAAAAGCATTAAAATGAGAACTAGTTGAATGTGTTACTGAGCATGAGCAACCTTTTATGAAAAGAAAGGAAAAAACGTGGTACAGCCATCTTCCAGAGGTCTCCCATCCTAGCTGGGGTGATGCTGATTTTTAATTTTTACTGGACATTCTAGTCCTGACTGGTATCCCATCACAGAACTAATTCCAAGCAGCGCTCAGCTCTTACTTTATAGAAACTAATCTCAGATGCCAGAAAGAGCCCCCTATCCAGCCTAGAGAAGCAGTGCACTGCGGTTCTACCATGAGCGAAGCTAGGCGGAGCTCCGGGCTGCTCTGCCCATCTGGGACACCTGCCCCAGCCCTGGCGCTGACAGCGGGACCCTGGTGCACAAGGGCAGGCGCGCTGCCCTGGGGAGGGCAAAATATTCACTCCTGAGACCCTGGTTTCTGGCCCACACAGAGTGGCAGGGTTGGATGTCCCCTCCTGCAAGTAGAAAACTGGACAGAATGCAACATATGAAATGCTGGCTCCAACACCAGGAGGTGAAGAGTACAGGACTGAGGCCCAAGGCAGGGGTCCTCCAGTACCCCAAGGAGCACCTGAAGGAGCCCTCCAGGCCCAGTGTGTGGGGTGGAGCCCAAACAGGGCCACCCGCCCTGCTGACTGAGGAGGTGGCCAGAAACTGGTGGGAGCAGCCAAGGGACCTCTTGGGAGCAGCCTGGAAGGACTAGGAGGCAGAAAGGGAGGCTTCACCCCTCGAAGGTAAAGGAGAACAGCACGAGGTTCACTACCCCACACAAGTCCCAGTAAAAAGCCACTAGGAGGCTGGGCGCGGTGGCTCAGCCTGTAATCCCAGCACTGTGGAAGGCCGAGGCGGGCGGATCGCTTCAGGTCAGGAGTGCAAGACCAGCCTGGCCAACATGGTGAAACCCCGTCTCTCCTAAAAATACAAAAATTAGGTGGGCATGATGGGGGGCACCTGTAGTCCCAGCTACCCGGGAGGCTGAGACAGGAGAGTCGCTTGAACGTGGGAGGTGAGCTTGCAGTGAGCCGACATGCTGCCACTGCACTCCAGCCTGGGCGACAGAGTGAGACTGCTTCTCCAAAAAAAAAAAGTCACTAAGAGAAAAGAAAAGTGAACCACAGAGCTGGAGAAAGCACTGGCAGATCCTGTGTGTGACAAAGAGCTGGCATCTGGAATATATGAAGAGTTCTAACAGCTCAATAAGACAGACGATAAAATTTTTAATGAGCAAAAAGTCTGAACTTTTTAATGAGCAAAAAACTTCACGAAAGACCCAGGAATGCTTCGTCAGCACAGGGAAAGAGGCTCAGCACCAGGAGCCCTGGGGAGAGGCAGACTCCAGCAGCAGCGAGAGGCCTCTACTCACCCAGAGGGCCCACGTTCAGAGCCGACCACACCAAGGGGTCACTTGTGGATGGGGACGTGCAGCAGCAGGGTCTGGGAAGTTGGCTCGGCTGCTGAGAAGTCACACATGTGCCCCACACCCTGCGATGCTGCTCCTGGTAGTCAGCCAGGAAACGTGAAACGTACCAAGACTTGTACGTCTAGATGTGCACAGCAGCTTCCCTACAATAGCCAAAGGCTGGAAACCCAGATGAGCCTGGGCTGGTGAGTGGATAACACGGCGCCGTACATGCACACCACGGAACACACAGCAACACAGGTATCTCAAAGACACGTCGGGGAAGAAACCACACCCAAAGGCTTCCTACTGTGTGACACCCTCGGTAGCAAATTCTAGAAAAAGCAAAGCAATCTGTCAGAGCAGACAGGCTGCCTGGGCTGCAAAGGCACAGAGGGAAACCCTCAGGGAGGCACCCGGCCAGATCTCGGGGTTGGGGAGGCCACACCCCTGCCTATGACCAGCAAGTCCTGGGAACGAGGAAACGCGATGACACCTGCAGAGCTGAAAACCTAACCAGGTCAGAACCTCACGCGCCTCCCACAGCGGGCCGGGTGACACCCGCTCAACCCAATCACACAACCAGGTCAGACCCTCACGCGCCTCCCACAGCGGGCCGGGTGACACCCACTCAACCCAATCACACAACCAGGTCAGACCCTCATGCGCCTCCCACAGCGGGCCGGGTGACACCCACCCGCTCAACCCAAACACACAACCAGGTCAGACCCTCATGCACCTCCCACAGTGGGCCAGGTGACACCCACTCAACCCAATCACACAACCAGGTCAGACCCTCATGCGCCTCCCACAGCGGGCCGGGTGACACCCACCCGCTCAACCCAAACACACATAGGCAGAGAGGGAAGCGAACACACCCGCCCCGCCTGCTCCTGACAGCGCAGTTCTTCATTAGGACACAGATATAAGAACTTTGGTTTTGTAAAGCTCACCTGTATAACTGACGATCATAGAGCTGAAAATAAAAAACTGAAAGTTATTTAATGATTTAAATTTTAAAATAATACGTATACGTTAACAACTGTCAAAAACAAGAACAAAGAGAAAATGGCAGAAGATGCCATGCCAGCCAGGAGAGCCGCCTAGGGGGCTGAGGACGGAGGCCCACCTACTGACGCAGATGGCCTTGTTTAACCTCCAGACAGGCCCAGAGCTCCCTTGAAGGGGAAACTGAGGCACAGAGAGAGGGAGGAGAGGGCCAGAGTAGGGAGCTGGAGCCACCTGCATTCTGGCCCCAGAGACCGACGTAGAACCCACCCAGGCAGCCTCTTGTGCAGAAAAGTAACTGTGCCAAACAGGATGCTGATGTTTCTTTTTTTGTAAGAGAGCTTAAAAGCCACGTTGTGATGGCCACTACAACTAAAATTTACTGAATGCTCACACTGTCCCAAAAATTCTCCTCAATTCTTTAAAATGTATTCTTTAATTCTCACAAAAACTCAAGGAGATCGGCTCTATTACTGCTTATATTTTACTGAAAAAAGGGAGCCATGGCTCAGCGTCAGTGGGGAGGCCACGTTCATGGCTGCTGCCCGGGGCCACCTCCCCGTCTGCACTCTGCAGCCATGCTTGTCTCGGTCAGAGGGGGAGGCCAGACACCACATTAAAAGTGAAAAATGTAAGCAAACAAAATGGCTTTGCCAAAATCATAATGAAAGTTAATGGCAAAAATAGGATAAGAATCCGAGCTGAATCTTAAAGAATATAAAGCTATCTGGACAACAGACAAGTAAACCACGTAATCCCTCGTGAACAATTTTTATATTCTCCTGTAACACCAAGATCCATAGTTCATACTTTACCTCTGGGTCACAGAAGCCTTTGAGAATCTCTCAAAGCCCAGAAAGATGAACACACTGTCTCCCCAGAGAAATCCGACAGACGCACACACAAAATTCTGCTTTACTTTCAGGAGACATCAGACCCCAGCTGCAGATGCACGGCTGGAAACCAGAGGCTTCTGTGCTCGTTCTGTGTGCCCCCAACTCCACCAGGAGAGCACGGGGCCCAATGCCCCCACCCAGAGTTGGCTGCACGCTCCATCGTGGGACCGCAGCCGCGCGCCCCGGAGGGAAACCACACTCCAGCTGCAGCCGAAACCTCCACCGACTGCACTAGCTTCATAAGCCTTCCTCAGAGACCAAGGACATGCTGGCTACGTGCACAGAAAGTCTGCACTCATTTCCTAGGAGTCTCTTCCCCTCCCAGGGCAACCCTCCAAGGTGGCTGTTCACAAGCATGACGCCAGCAGAGAGCCTGTTCCCAGAGTGATCACACCGCAGGTCCCCCACTGAGCCCAGGACTGATGGAGCACAGTGGCCACCAGGACTGCAGACCCTGCCTGGGGAGGGTGGGAGGCCCTAAGGGGGCAGGTCCTGTGATGCCTCCTGAGGGTACACCCAGAGGCTGCACACAAACCTGCTGGTGAATCTGCTTCAGGCCCTGCACTGCCTGCTCGTCCAGATGGTCCGTGACGGGCCTGCAGAAGTTCAAACACAGAGCTGAAGTCACACTCCCCAAGACCCTAACCCCGAGTACACTCGGAGGAGCTGAGGCCACACTCCCCAAGACCCTAACCCCAAGTACACTCGGAGGAGCATAGGCTCAGCAAGGTCTCATTCTTGTTCAGGTCCCAGTGGGTCCCAGAGACCTCTGCAGGACATACCTCCGATTATTTTTGTATTCTACTGTATTGTTTTACATTGCATTCTTTTGTTATTTTAGAGATGGGGTCTCACTATGTTGCCCAGGCTGGTCTCAAACTCCTGGGCCCTAACAATCCCCCCACCTCCGCCTCCTAAATAGCTGGGATTACAGGCGTGAGCCACTATGCCTGGCCCATTTGTGATTTTAGATGAAGCAGTGCCTGGTCAAAGGAAGAGGATGTTAGGGCATCCCCTTAAAGCTGTGACCCCTGCCAATGTGACCACCTTGGAAAACAGACAGGTCCAGGTGAGGCTGAGACGACAGCTCATGTCCACTGACATCCAAGGGAAGGTCCCTGGCGAGATCAGACCTGGGCTGGCATGCGGGGGCCTGGACCAAGCCCTGCCTCATGAGGCCCCCTCACTGGCTCAATCTGCGCAAACCGTGTGCTTTACGCTGGCACCTGCTTTCCTGCTGGGGGTCTGGAATTTTGTTTCGTGCCAGGCGGAGGTGCCCACGTGGCCAGACCCCAGTCTAGCCTGGGCACTGAGGCTCAAATGTGCTTCCCTGATAGACACCTCACAGGTGTGGTCACATCTCACTGCTGGGGGAATGACACAGGCCCTGTGGGACCCGACTGGAGGACCCTGGGAGCTCCCGCCTGGTTCTCCCCAGACCCCACCCCATGTGCCTTCTTCCACAACCACAGAGCAGCGCCATAAAGGCCAGGTCTTGCACGGGCATCAGCTGCACCCACACGAGCGAGCGTCCCTGAAGGAGCTGCACTCTGCATCTGAGCTCGGGGCCGACCAGAGCTTCCTCAGGCTTGGGCGGGAGGTGGGCCCATACCCTGCTCTCAACCCGTTCCCAGGGAACTGTCTCCAGCACAGGGCATGAACTTAAAAACGTTTCTTAAACTGGAGTCCGAGAAGCAGGTTGCCGTCACTATGGTAAGTCCGGGAGTTCTTACTCTTGAGGAAGACTCGACTGGGAAGAAACGTAAGACGACAGTCGATGCCTTACAGCCTCCTGCACACAACTTCCCAGTGACCCCATGTTTTTCATGCTTTATTATTATTTGTACAAACATAGCCAACTGAAAAATTCAAAAGAAACGTGTATATTCTCTGGCATTTTAAACTATGGAACGTGATGAAGAAAGGATACTGAACATGCAAGTCGCTCAATGCCGTCTTGGAAAAAGGACCTTTGCTGTTATGACCTCGCTTGTCACCTCTGAGACCAGGAGGTGCACAAGGAGGCAGCAGGGGCAGGACAGCCGTGGGGAGATGCCCGGCCCATCCGGGTGCTGCACCCGCCCCGCTGAAGAGGTGGGTGGTCCACCCACGGCATGACCGTCAGGAGAGAGGGCCACTTACACACTCCATCAATACAACCTGGGGCCTATCGACTGTGACACTGGTGCAGATAAACAAAAATGAGAAGGGATGAGAGAGTCTCGAACTGGAGAGCACTGTGATTACATGGTGAGGGGATCAGGGACAGAGCCCTGTGTCTCCTCGAGACCCACTCTTCCTACCTGTTCTCTTGGGCTGCAAGTTTGTACAAGGCGTAAGCAACTTCTGCGCAGGCGAGAATCGACCCATGCCTCATGTGAAGATCTGGACTCAGTGTCATGGACAGCAGCCTCGGGAAGACTGCAAGAGACAGGGCCGAGAGGGCAGGTGAGGGTGTGTACATGTGGACGGCCTGTGGGAAGCCCACACGCACCCACACAGGGCCGGGAGGGCAGGCGACGGCGTGCACACACGGACGGCCTGTGGGAAGCCCACACGCACCCACACAGGGCCGGGAGGGCAGGCGACGGCGTGCACACACGGACGACCTGTGGGAAGCCCACACGCACCCACACAGGGCCGGGAGGGCAGGCGACGGCGTGCACACACGGACGACCTGTGGGAAGCCCACACGCACCCACACAGGGCCGGGAGGGCAGGCGACGGCGTGCACACACGGACGACCTGTGGGAAGCCCACACGCACCCACACAGGGCCGGGAGGGCAGGTGACGGCGTGCACACACGGACGACCTGTGGGAAGCCCACACGCACCCACACAGGGCCGGGAGGGCAGGCGACGGCGTGCACACACGGACGACCTGTGGGACGCCCACACGCACCCGCCCACACTGGCATCCCTCAGGGTCATCACCCCAGTGCCCAGGACGGCACCCGTGGTGATGCAGATGGCCCCTGAGACACCAAGGGCAACAGGACGGAGGCTGCGGTGTGCTGGACATGGCCCGCTCCCAAGTGCCCCAGACGGGGTGGGTAACTCAGACAGGAGAGGGAGCATGGAGGAGGACGACACACTCCCCAGGCCTTCCCTGTCGGTGTAGGGTGGCCTCTGGTCCTGGCAGGAGCTCTGCCTGGCTGCCTGGGCGGTGGAGGGGGCGGAGCAGGACAGAGGCAGGGCTGCCCCCAGGGGTGGTGCCTCTACTCTGAGTTTGCTCAGAAAGCACAGACTCCTCAGAACCCTCACGGACGCAGAGGGAGGCGGCTCTGCCACACCTGCGTGGGGAAACCAAGCTCCCCGAGCCTAAGCCTCCCCAAGTGCTGCCAGGCTTGCGATGGTTTGAGAATCAGAGAGGCTAAGATGTGGCGGCTGGGGGTGATCGGATTTTCGAGAATCAGAGAAATCTACAAAAGGTCACAGTCCTGTTCTGGGTGTCCGTGCTCTTCAACCGGGTGGAGGACAAAGCTGAGCCCCCTCAGTGTCAGCAAGGGTTAATTATCACTGAAAAGTAGGGGAGCGCCACACTAAACCCGTGACGTGGATGCCTCATTAACAGATCACGAAGCTGAAAGATCCCTTAGGAATGAACGAGCCCCCACAGGATGTTCAACACAGGCGTCACATCAGTAACTCCACTGAAGAGCCACAATCCAGCCTCCAGTGTAGCCCCTGTAATAAATGTCGGGGGAGTGACGGTACACACATTGAGAAATGTGTGTATTCTTCCCCACATTTAAGTCAGATGATTATTTATTCCAAGTAGAAAAAAACAAGACAGAACAAACAGGATTTCTCTCTTCACTGATGAAGTGTAAGAAGTGCAGACTTAGCTGAGCCATTCCAAGGTGATGTTAGTCCTGGGCAGACTTTGAGTCTCCCATTCAGGCCTTTTCTTTCTATACACGCTGCCCAATTCCAAAGTGCATTCACGTGTGGCAGGTGCAAGCCACCTAGAGACCAGGGAGCGTCGTGTGGCAGATGGAAGCCACCTAGAGACCAAGGAGTGTCGTGTGGCAGGTGCAAGCCACCTAGAGACCAGGGAGTGTCGTGTGGCAGATGGAAGCCACCTAGAGACCAAGGAGTGTCATGTGGCAGGTGCAAGCCACCTAGAGACCAAGGAGTGTCGTGTGGCAGGTGCATGCCAACCAGAGACCAGGGAGTGTCGTGTGGCAGATGGAAGCCACCTAGAGACCAAGGAGTGTCGTGTGGCAGGTGCATGCCAACCAGAGACCAGGGAGTGTCGTGTGGCAGGTGCGAGCCACCTAGAGACCAGGGAGTGTCGTGTGGCAGGTGCGAGCCACCTAGAGACCAGGGAGTGTCGTGTGGCAGGTGCGAGCCACCTAGAGACCAGGGAGTGTCGTGTGGCAGGTGCGAGCCACCTAGAGACCAGGGAGTGTCGTGTGGCAGGTGCGAGCCACCTAGAGACCAGGGAGTGTCGTGTGGCAGGTGCGAGCCACCTAGAGACCAGGGAGTGTCGTGTGGCAGGTGCGAGCCACCTAGAGACCAGGGAGTGTCGTGTGGCAGGTGCGAGCCACCTAGAGACCAGGGAGTGTCGTGTGGCAGGTGCGAGCCACCTAGAGACCAGGGAAGCAGCACTGCATGTCAGGCATCCGGCGGGACCATCACGGGCTCCGGTGTACGTAACACAGTTCAGCGGCTCCCTGCCCTGCAGGCGGACACACTCACCGCATCCGTCCTCACAGCCTATCCACTGATCAAGTCCACAGCTCTTTCCTCAGATGCTTCTCACCAAGACAGAAGCACAACCTTATTTTCAGCCCCCAGCCTTTGAAACCAGCAACCCAGGCCTTTCTGCAGTGCATGCATGGTGCCCGCAGGCCGGCCGGGACACACACCCACCTTGCGTGGCGCTGAACTCGGGTGCCTGCTGGGCCAGGTTGTGCAGCGCCCTCGCAGCCAACTCTCGGATGACCCTGAGAGTGAGGAGAGAATGTCGTAAGTGCCTTCATTTTATGATTCTAGCTTTATTCAATTCATAAAAAGAAAGTGAGGGAGACAACACACGAGTCCTCAACCGGCCACTTAGCAGAGGCTCACTCACTCACTCACACGAACCAGTACAAGAACCTCCGACTCCAACAGACGACAAGGACAGTCTACAACAGCGAGGTCACACGGCTAACCACGGTTCTTCTTGGGACACAGCTGCCTTTCCTTCTCAGGGCCAGGTGGCAATTGGGTGTCCGGCCTCCCCACCCCCACGCTACTCTGAGGTTGTGAGTGTGAGATAGAGCCACGTGAAACCACCCCTCCACGATTACAAGGGGTGAACAGAAGGAATTTCCTGAGGCTCACCCACCAAATCTGGGGCACATATCCAATAACTGCCTCATCAGACACACACTGAAAGCACCCATGGTTGAACATGCGGACCGCGAAAGGCTGACCCAGGACCGGCTCAAGAGGCTGGAGCCCCTCCTGAGCCCACCCCTCCTTCCAGAGCTCCATGCAGAGGCAGATGGTCAAGCTGGGAGCGACCCGCAGAGCTCATGCCCCAGCCCCTCCAGACCCAGCTGGAGCAGCAAGTGGTCCTGACTTAAAATCATCATGAGGGCGACCATGTAACAACAAAGAAGCAAAATGTGAAGGTGAAAACATGCAGAAGGCGGGTGTCTGTCCTCTAATTATTTAAAAACACCAAACCCACAGCACCACAGTGAAACCAGGCACAATGGCAGACGCCCGCGCTGGCAGGACCACCTGCCACAGCCCCTCTGGTGTCGGCCGAGGGCCCTGCTCAGGGTCCACTTCTAACGGTAAACAAAGAGCTCTTCGAGGCAGGTGGCGTCTCATGTGCCAGGACTCCACACCCTGAGCGACACCCAACTGCATGCTGTCTAGAAGACCATCGCCTGCAACTCTGAGGGAACAGAAAAGACAAAGCACCTGAGAAGCGGAGGCAATGCAGTCTGCAGCCGCAAGCCCAGCCCGAGGCCTCTTCGCGTAAGGACGGCCCTCAGCTAAGAATGGTTTTCACATTTTTCAAGGGTTACATAAACTAAATAAAATAAACTAAAGCAAAGCGTATGGAACAGAGATCTACCACGTTTATCCAGCCCCTCAAAGAAAAGGCTTGCCAACTCAGGTACTACACCAGTCATCAGTTACTTTAAGGCAAGAAATCTCACACGAGACAATGAGGGCCGTTCCGCAAAGATAAAGGGTCAATACATTAGGAAGAGACAAAAAGCGAAAGTGTATCTGCCTCCAATAAGTGACCCCGCCCAAAACACGTGAAGGAAAGGCCGACAGAACTGAGGCAGAGACAGACAGCAACAGCTGGAGAGTCCCACAGCTCCGACGCCACGGGCATATGTACCAGCTGGAGAGTCCCACAGCTCCGACGCTACGGGCATATATCTGTAACTTTGGTTTTAAAGACGTTATTGACTAATCGGCTGATACAACTGACAAATTAATTAATTTTCCCTAGGTTCGGTTTAGGGGACCTTGTACCTAATGGAGAGAGTTTTGGTGTAACATTTGCAGGGACACCCCGAGTCTCAGGAATTCACACCCCTCTCTGTAAGCGAATGAAGGGAGGGTCTTCCCCCGGCAGCCCGAGTGCTACCCAGGAGTTCCTTTCCCAGAGGCTCCCAGTCCTGAGGGCCCTGCCTGGACCACAGTAGGCAGCCGGGCCGCTCCCCAGGCAGCAGGACCACGGCAGGTAGCCGGGCCGCTCCCCAGGAAGCAGGACCACAGTAGGCAGCTGGGCCGCTCCCCAGGCAGCAGGACCACCGCAGGTAGCCGGGCCGCTCCCCAGGAAGCAGGACCAATAGTAGGCAGCAGGACCACAGTAGGCAGCCGGGCCGCTCCCCAGGCAGCAGGACCACGGCAGGCAGCCGGGCCGCTCCCCAGGCAGCAGCAAACGCATCCCCCATGGATCAGAAAGGACCCCCTCCACATCACACCAACTCTGAAACTGAGATTCTGGACTCGCACCCTCACAAAGCCACCTCCACCCACAGGCACCTACCGCTCCTCGAGGCTCCGTGAGGAGTGCCACAGCACGGCACTGTCCTAGGAGGGGACCCTCTGACCTCCTCAGGGCGGCGGTCACAGCACTAACGCGCTGTTTATGCTCCAGACCGCACTTCACTTTTCCTTTCTGAGACACATTTAACTGCCTATGAAATGCAAGGAAACCCTGAAGCTGCTACTGTAATGATGAAAACGGCCACTAAGAACTGCTGGGCTCCCAGGAGACAGCGCAGAAACCACCTGTGGAGCCACATGGAGCAGAGTCAGCGGGAAGCACTGCTGAGGGAGACAACGCAGAGTCCGCCTCCAAGCTACGCCCGCGCCCCCTCGGACGGCAGCGGCACTCCACAACACGCCAGCGTGGACATTTGCACGGGTACACCGCCACGTCGGACACACTGGACCAGGCGCTCCAGAAGTGGAACTGGAGACAGACCATGACTCAACACATCCGGCATGAAGACTGGAATTCATATTACTTCTCAGAAGTTATTTTAAAATACGACATCCACAGTGAGAAAATACACTCAAGGCTTATAAGCTCAACTGAATCTCTCCTTTGGGGGGAAAAAAAGCTCTTAGAAAAACAAAAACAGAAAACCTACCCATCCCAGTGGCTGATCTTCATGGTAACCAGGTGGTCTATCATTGGCTGCGTGTACTCAGGAAAGCCGGCAATAAACACACTGGAAAAGACAGCATGGAGAGGTGGTGAGACGCGGAAGAACGAGAACTCACTGCCTGTGGGTGGGAATTCAGCACAGTTACTTTCAAAACCAGTTTGCCCATTTCTTCAAATCTACCACGTGATCCAGCCATTCCCTCCTGAGCAGTTACCCAAAAGAAAAGAGCATCTGTGCACACACGGGCTTTACACAAACGTGCACACAGCTTCATGTGTAACGGCGAAATCTGGAAACCACCCTGACATCATCCACGGGGAAAACAAACCGTGGTTGATCCACACAATCGAATACTCAGCAACAACACACACAATCTGAATCTCAACTACCCTAAGCCAAAGAAGACTGACAAAATGAGTGCACACAGCTTTGTTTCATTCACACAAAATTCAAGGACGTGCAAAAAACTCATCTACACCCACAGAGGCAGATCAGGGGCCTCAGGGTGGGGGAGGACCGAGGCGGGAATTACAAGGAGCAGACATGGGGGGGCTCCAGGGTGATGGCTGTGCTCAGGCCTCCGTCACACACAGGAAGCTGTGCGCTCTGGTTAGTGTGTGCCAGCTGCACTTCAGTAAAGCCCTGCACTCCATATACAGCTAACATATGCCCATTATACCTCGGCAAAGCTGTTAAAAACTTTTAAGAAAATCAAAAGGCAAACCGACTTGTAACAGAATATATAAAGATAAACCCCAAACAAAAAATTGATACAAAATTTGTACATAAACATCACAAAAGAAAATAAATAAAAGGCCAATAAACACATGAAAAGATGTCCAACATCAGTATTCAGCCAGGAATGCTAATTGTTAAATCGTTACCCCCACTCGAATGGGTAAATTTTAAAAGACTGGTAAATACCAAGCGTTGGCACAGATGTGGGAAAACCAGAGGCTGCATACGTTCTGGTGAAAGTACAAGATTATACAGCCACTTTGCAAAACAGTTTGGCAGTTTCTCATAAAGTTAAATATATAAAAATTCTAACTCTTTATCTGAAAGAAATGAAAATACACATCCACATGAAGATGATTTCTAAATAAATATATACAACTGCTTTATTCATCAGAGCCAAAAATTCAAAATAACCTAAATGTCAGGCAAACTCACAGAAAAATTGTATAGCCACAGAACAGTGCACACAACTCACCAACCAAAAGGAGGTGCAGACACACGCGCTGCGGACACACACGCTGAGGACGGGCCCCAGGCGCACGATGCTGAGCAAAGACTCACCAACGAAAAGCAGCTGAGGACACGCGTGCTGAGGACACGTGCGCTGAGGACGCACTGCGGACACGCACTGAGGACACGAGCTGAGGACGCGCGCGCTGAGGACACGTGAGCGGAGGACACACGCACTGAGGACACACGCGCTGAGGACACGCACGCTGAGGACACGTGCGCTGAGGACATGCGCTGAGGACACATGCTGAGGACGCACTGCGGACACGCGCTGAGGACACGAGCCGAGGACGCGCGCACTGCGGACACGCTGAGGACACTAGCGGAGGACACATGCACTGAGGACACACGCGCTGCGGACGGTCCCCAGGCGCACTACGCTGAGCAAAGAACCTGACACACAGGAGTGTGTTCCCTCTGGTTCCATGGATACGACCTTCCCCGAGGGGCAGCCCTGCTCCGCGTCGAGGGCAGGGCAGCAGCACACAGGCTGGGGGGAAGGAGTGTTGGCCGTGGAAGTGGTGGGAGCTCCACTCCCAAGGAAGATGCAGGTGACGCAGGTGGACACACTGTCAGCCCCTCCACAACCGTCCACTCCATACAGGGGCAGCTGAAAGCGTGTAAATTATGTCTCAAAAATAAAAGTTACATCTTGTGAAAACAACACGGAAGACTTTTAAACAATAATCTCTAAGTAGGATATGCCTTTCTAATTATGACTCGAAACCCAGAGCCACAGAAGAAATCGATCCCTACCAACACATATGCCGAACAAAGTCTACCAGGAAAACACCAAAAACAAAGTCAAAAGTCAAACAACAAATCTGAAAAAACAACCGCAACTGATCTTACCAACAGGAGGCTTCCCTAAAATAAACCAGTTCTTCTGAATCAATAAAAAAAAAATAGTGTAGCAGAAATATCATCAAAAAGTTTACAGAAAATACACACACACTTCAACCACTTGAAGCGGTGTTCAGCCTCCTGCACATAGGAAAAGAAAACGAAGCCTCTGCTCAGCTGTCCAACGGCCCAAGCCCCAGGGTCTGCAGCAGAGCTGTGGGAAGCAGCCGTGTGCTCCCACCAAAACCCAGAGCCGTGCCGTGTGCTCCCACCAAAACCCAGAGCCGTGCCGTGTGCTCCCACCAAAACCCAGAGCCGTGCCGTGTGCTCCCACCAAAACCCAGAGCCGTGCCGTGTGCTCCCACCAAAACCCAGAGCCGTGCCGTGTGCTCCCACCAAAACCCAGAGCCGTGCCGTGTGCTCCCACCAAAACCCAGAGCCGTGCCGTGTGCTCCCACCAAAACCCACGGGGGCTCAATGCTCACGAAAACCAGAAAACCAGCCGGGGAGAACAGAGCCATGCCGTGTGCTCACACCAAAACCCAGAGCCATGCCATGTGCTCACACCAAAACCCAGAGCCATGCCGTGTGCTCACACCAAAACCCACAGGGGCTCAATGCTCATGAAAAACAGAAAACCATCGGGGAGAACAGAGCCGTGACGTGTGCTCACACCAAAACCCACGGGGGCTCAATGCTCACTCCAACAGAAAACCAGCCGGGGAGAACAGAGCTGTGCCGTGTGCTCACATCAAAACCCACGGGGGCTCAAAGCCCCTCAAATGTGGGGCGTCCACACAGTGAGAACCACTGAGGAACCCTGAAACACAGGCAGCTGATGAGGCAGGCAGCAGATGAAGGAAGCTACCTGCACGGATTCTAAAACGGGGGAGCCCCAGCGACAGGAGGTCAGTCAGGATGGCGCCTCCTGGAGGGAGGGTCATGTGCACCACACTGACCACAGTGGTGGTCATTCAACAGCTCACATCTGCCAAACCCGCTGCCACACTTAAACCCATATTGAAAACTGGCAATTTTACTATATGTAAACTATATGTAATAAAGTAGATGTACAAAGATAAAGCTGATTTTTTTTTTTTTTTTTGAGACGGAGTCTCATTCTGCTGCCCAGGCTGGAGTGCAGTGGCGCGATTTCGGCTCACTGTAACCTCCGCCTCCCGGGATCAAGTGATTCTCCTGCCTCAGCCTCCCGAGTAGCTGGGATTACAGGGGTGCGCCACCATGCCCGACTAATTTTTGCATTTTTGGTAGAGACGGGGTTTCACCATGTTGGCCAGGATGGTCTCGATCTCTTGACCTCGTGATCTGCCTGCCTGGGTCTCCCAAAGTGCTGGCATTACAGGTGTGAGCCACCGCACCCGGCCCAAAGCTGATTTTTTTTTAAAAAGGCTTTGACTTAGGAATATACAGGATACTGAAAGGGAAAGCCACGGAGCAGGAGGAAATATGTAGCAAGGAAGCATCTGAAAAAGGAATTGTATGCAGAATTCATGAAGAATTCTCAAATTCTCAACAGGAAGAAAACGACTAACCTAATAAGTAAATGGGCGAAAGATGTGTTAAACACGCCCCTGAAATGGATGATGACTGAAACTGCATCATCAGTCACTAGAACACGAGTTAGTCAGCTGCTCCCACACCCCCATGACAATGGCCAAGCTTGAAAGACCAACACCCCAGCACCAGCACGGACCCCAGATCCCGGACCCCGAGCTTGAAAGACCAACACCCCCAGCGCCGGCAAGGACCCCAGATCCCGGACCCCGAGCTCATCCAGCACCGGGGGCGCGTGGCACCATCACGCCGAAAGCCATGTGGCCATTTCAGAAAAAGCTACAGGCAGGGTGTGGTGGCTCACACCTGCAAGGCCAGCATTTTGGGAGGCCAAGGCAGGTGGATCACTTGAGACCAGGGGTTCAAGACCACCCTGGGCAACATGATTTGTCATCTCCACAGAAAAATACAAAAATTAGCCGGGCGTGGTGGCGTGTGCCTGTAGTCCCAGCTACTCGGGAGGCTGAGGTGGGAGGATCGCTTGAACTCAAGAGGTCGAGGCTGCAGGGAGCCGCGATTGCGCCACCACACTCCAGCCTGGGTGACAGAGCAAGGCTCTGTCTCAAAAGGAAAAAAAAAAAAAAAAAAAAAAAACTGACAGCACAGCCACCCAGCTCTGGGCATCTATGCCAGAGAACAAGAGTGCAGGCCCAAAGACAGATGTGTACACACATGTTCACCGCAGCTGCACCTGTGACAACCCAGACAAGACACTGCCCAGAAGCCCCTCACCAGGTGAGTGGAGACAGACGCCACGTACCACACCCCTGGCCCTGGAGGCTCGGGGGACGGTCCCCACAGGCGGACAGTCTGCAGGAAGCATGGAGCAGAGGAAGCCAGTGTGAGTGAGGAGAGTGCCCACTGCCTGAACCCATTCACACAGAGCTTTGGGAAATGCAGACACAGCTGCAGTGAGAGCAACAGACCAGGGGTGCCTGAAGAAGGGGGTGTGGGAGGGGAGGGACCCCGAATGGGAAAGGGGAAACCTGGGCCTTTTCTCGTCTTGATTGTGGTGATAGGTACGAATTTACAGATGTTAACATTTACAAAAATGTACCTATTGAACATGCACCAGCTTACTGGGGGTCGTTTACACCCCAACGAGGCTGTGATGATGAACAGGAGAGTGGGGCGACGGCTGGTCCCCCCATCCTCCTCGTCTCGCCCCACAGTCTTCCTGGGGTGCCCGTTAGTTCAATTCCAGTCTGTGTGTCCGAAACTCCAATTTGCAGAGGAAACATCTCCATGTCAGCACGGCTGATGCTTCCTCGCAGGCCAGCACGTGCAAGCTGAGGCCCCAACCTCCTCGCACTCAACGACACTGTCGCCCTCAGCTGTGCCCTCCACCTGCGGAGTGATGCCAACACAGCTCTGAGACCCTCTGTAATGCCCTGGCAACTCCCACCTTCCTCCAGCGGGCACACCTCCAGGCCCCCAGCCCTCTCCCGTCTCCCAAGAGCCCTCAAGCCCTCTCCTTATTTCCAGTCACCAAATACAGCCACAGGGATATGTTCAAAACAAAGACCTGACCATCAAAGTGCCATGACCTCAGGACAATCCACACTCTTCACTATGGCTCAAAGGCCCCCAGCAGCTCCCCGCCAGGGCCCAGGGCCCTGCTAACTCTCCTCCCTGATGGGCTGTGCTCAGTCCCATGCCCTCTGCTGAACAGGACCACTGCCTCCCTCACCCCAAGGTCCAGGCTGACAGCAGGACCCTGCCTCGGGTGCAGGGGGGCCCCGCGGTACTAGGGTGCAGCCATGACTGCAGGTCCCCGTGATGCCGCCCTCAGGATTGGAGGGGCCTGCCTGCCGGTGCGTCCTCACAAGTGGCATCTGGTCTGCACGCAGGGCCTGGCATCGTGAGGAAGCCAAACACACTGGGGGAAGACATGCCTGGACCCAGGTCTTGGGTTGGCAAATGTTTTTATAAAACGCACACAGCTAATTACATGCGAGTTTTAGGCTGGCTTAGAAACCTCAGCAACAAGGGAAATATGCTGAAGCTTCCCATAGCTGTCAGGTGTGTTACTCAGGAAACTCGGGAAAAGGTGGTAGATTGTCTTTTTCTTTAGATGGAGTCTCACTCTGTCACCCAGGCTGGAGTGCAGTGGCACGATCTCGGCTCACTGCAGCCTCCGCTTCCCGGGCTCAAGTGATTCTCCTGCCTCAGCCTCCTGAGTAGCTGGGATTACAGGCACCCGCCACCACGCCTGGCTAATTTTTGTATTTTTAGTATTCACGGGGTTTCACCAGGCTGGTCTCCAACTCCTGACCTCAGGTGATCTGCCCGTCTTGGCCTCCCAGAGTGCTGGGATTACAGGCATGAGCCACTGCATCGGGCCAGTAGATTTTCCACATAAAATATATGGCCAAGTATTAATAGGAAAGAACTGATAAGGCAAAAAAGGACATTAAATGTTGAGGAAACCTGAAAGGGTATAAAAATACAGATAAGTGTGTTCAAAGATCCTTCCTGGGAAAGAGGCCAAATGCTACATTTTCAAAATTCTGCCCAGGCTGGTGACGGAGAAACGTCCTTTCTGCACGGTCTACACAGCAGGGCTGTTGGGGAATCGATCTTTAGGGTATTTAATGGTTAATGTTAAAAATGCATCGGGCATGCTTCTGGTCCTAATTTAAGGCAAATAAATCACTTCATAAAGTCACACCCCACTGCACTCCAGCCTGGGCAACAGAGCTAGATTCTGTCTCCAAAAATAAATAAATAAAGTCACACCCTTTTTCACATTTCTGCTGCAATGGATCAACTAAGATAACTGAAGTAACCTCCCCAGTACCTAATTACACAACTAAAACAGTTTGATATAATTCTGTAAACTGCAATTAGAGGTGCTAAACATTTGTTTCTAACCTGATTTCTAAAATACCTCTTACTCATTTCATAGACAATCTACAGATAACTTCAACTTCAAAACACTTCCTATTACCGAAACAGAAAGAAACAGTCCCTTCTAATCCAAGATTTCACGGTGGGAAAGCATTTAGGACATCCAGTAGGGAAGCATCAGGAGGAGGTGTGGCCGTGCTTGCAGCTGCTTCCTCTCAAACTCCAAGCCCCACACAGAACCAGCACGGGTAAAACGGGGCGACCAGGAGAAAAATCATAAGCAGAGACAGCACTCACGGCAAGGCCGCACTCCTGAAGCTGAGCCCCTCTTTAACACGTGAGTAAATGTCCCCTATCTAGCGTAGTAAAGCATGAGGTGTGTCCAATCAACATGAAACACAAGTTTCAGTCACTGTTCCCAATTCCATTTTTAATTTTTCACACAAAAACTACATTCCATTGAGTGGACATTACAGGATGAAAAAAGAAAATGGTGGTAGCTGATTTCTGACATCCAATCTGATTTTAGAGTATTCTATTTTTGTGATATACATTAAAGACTTACCTTATAACCAGGAAACAGTTGGATCTGTTACCGACGGCAAAATAGTCAGCTGTGGTCAAAATATCAATACCATGAGGGAAAGTGCCCTAATAAGAAAGTGGAAATGGGGGAAAAAGAAGAATTTGAATGAACAAAGGCATTTCACCAAGTTCAATAATCACATCCACAGACATTTACACTCATGAACCCCGAGCCCTGAGGCAGGTGGTGAGCAAGCCACACACCACAGACATGGCTCGCCGAGGACTTCCACGTCACACTGACTTCCTGACGGTCTACCCAGGCAACACCACGCTAAATCATTGAAACCACTCACAAGTATTTCATCTTTTTCAAACAACTCAAACATTTCCACTTCGGTACGTGGTAAGAGACCTTTCCCGAAAACATACACCGTAAACGGTCTTCAGGTCTCAACAGTGTTACAGCCACTGACCTCCATCGGCCTGAGCCCCATGCCACAAAGTGCCACAAAGCTGGCAGGTCGGTGCACACCAGAGCGAGCAGGCCTGGGTCAGGTCGGGGATGCAGCCGCCTGCACGGTCTACAAAGCCTGGACCAGAGCCCAGGCCTCACTCAGCAGTCCCGGGCAGGCAAGACGTTGACTGGGGGCAGCTGGCCCAGCCGGTTCTTGGGGGTGGTGACAGCTGACCCCAGAAGCATCGAGGACCAGCAGCCGCCGAGGCTCTGACATGGGAGAGGCGGCACCTCCTCCCACCCCGCCACGACAGCCTCCCAGTGGAGCCCCAGCTCCAGCCCCGCAGCCTACATGGTGTTACTGATACCACTCTCAGGTTCCAGGATGTGAAATTCTGGAAACAACATAAATAATTTCCTAAGAAAATACAAATGACAAACTTTAAACCCCACATAGAAAGCCTTACAGCTATAAACCACAGCAGGGTTTTTCAAAGGTCTCCCAAGCCTGCCCACCTCCGAGGCCGGGATTCAGATCCTTCCTTGACGTCTTTAACCCATTCATCACCACCCTGCACTTGACCATTAAAACCTCACACCTTCATGTAATAGCTTCGCAAGTCAACGTAACTGAACAGCCAGCACTCCTGAGAACACCCGGGGCCACATCCCTCCTTCCCACCAGGAGAGGCCGGAATGAGCAGGTACCATGCGGCTTTCTTCCAGCAAATCTCTCCCAAGGGTTACACTGGGAGCTTGGGCTGATGGAGATACCATAAACTTCTGCCTGAGGCTGCTGCAATCAGTGACAGCATGAGCATCCTTCACTGAACCGTGAACAGGGGAGAAACCTGCACCCAGGTGGAGCTGTTGCGGCTCACTCTGCAGAAAGACAGCAGGTGCCACAACCTGGGATGTCGCCCACTGGGGTACAACTCCATGCCCCACATCACAGCAGGCAGGAGCCCAGGGAAACATCCGGGGTGGCCCAGGACCAGGTCTCACCGAGAACAAGAACAAGGGGACTCTGTGTCCAGCATCCCCCCACGGTGAGAACAAAGCAAGACCAACACAGGGGCCAAGGCTCTGTCTGGCCAGGCTAGGGCTGGAACAACAGGCTCCGAGCAGACAAAAGCGGGCTCAGCTGCCCTGAGCCTCAACTTCCTCACCTGTGCAGGGGGGAAGTGGGGGGCCTGGGTGTGGACAGGCCACCACAAGGGCCTGATGGTGTCGGGGGCCTGGACAGCACTCGCCTAGGAGCAGGGTCATAGGGCTGGAATGTCGGACAGGCCCTGAACGTGGAAGCTGCCCATGGGTTAGTCACAACCTGCTCAAGAGCCCCTGGGCTCAGTAGGGAGAAGGCAGAGACCACTCAGGACCAGAGTCTCCAACTCCAGCCAAGACGAACCTGGACAGAGAAGCTGGTCCCTCGTCTCTGCCCCCAGCCCCCTCTGTGTCCCCCAGGCCGCTCCCCAACCACCCCCCATCCCTGCTGCTGTTACCCAGCGGCCTCCACTGTAACGCATTTCTTACAACTTCATTCCAAATCTGTGTATTAGAAACAGCCTCCTCCAAATCCGAGGGTTTTTAGGCTGCTTCCCTGTGTGCTATGCGACACGTCCACTCCCGTTTGCTTTGCCTTGCCAAGTTCTCGACCTTCTTCTCAAATGTTTCTATCCAACCTCAGCAGGACATGGCCGTGCGGGGCTGGGAGACGCTCCGCACCTGCGCGTCTTGCATTTCTTTCAAAGTCTGTGTCTCTTCAAAATCTGTGCCGCTTCTTCCACGAGGCTCCCGCTGCCGTCCGCATGCTGGTCACTGTGCAGGATGCTCTGAGACTCACACTGCTCAGGCTCAGGACTGAGGTGCAAGACTCCCGCACCCACGGGAATATCCCATTTTCTGGCTGCTTGCCTAAATTTAGACCAAGTGTAAAGGCCTTTCCTTTCCCTGTCAATCAATCCCCAACCTGAGCTGCCCCGATAAAGGTAACGTGGCTCAAATCCAGCCACACACACAGGGAGGCTGGTCAGCTCAGCTGCAGGGCCCCGTGGCTCCCTATGCGACTGGGCTGCTCCTCCCAGGAAGCAGCATCTGGGAACCCGGAACACAGAGTGATGGCGGAGTGCGCCCCAGGGCCCACCCAGCACGGTCGTCACCCCGGGCTCTGGCCTCAGCACGCCCCTCTCCAGTGGGGGCTCTGGAGGGGCTGGAAGCCCAGGGACAGGGAGACTTCTTCTCCTGGGCTCTCACTTTCCAGGAAGCTGGCAAGTCCCTAGGCTCAGCTAAGTGGTTTCCAACAAGCTCCTTCTTCCTCACAGCAGCCACACTCTCCACTCAAAAGACCAAACCTCGTTCACATTCTCCTTGGCCTGGGCGGCTCTTGCTGTCTGCACACCCAGGCTCCCCTTGCAAGGCTGGTGTCTCTTCCTAGTGAACTGGCTCCGACCAGGGCTCAGGGCTCTGAACACATGCAGGCCCCACGGCACCCCAAGGATGCTGGGTGGGCCTCGGCTGCCTCGGGCCAGCAAGAAGTAGTCACGCCCCTTCCTGGGCTCCGTCTACAGAAAGCCGCCCACACCACTCACGCCAGGCTCCTCCAGAACCATTTCAATAACAGGCGCAAGTCCTCGTCCGCCCGCCTCTCCAGCTGACTCTGGCATCCGGCTTTTCCTGTGGACTCATTTGGCCTCAATGCTTCCACTCCAGGTCAGACACCTTGCCTGGAGGGCTCCCCACAGGTCAGAAGGGTCCGCAGGCCCACGTCCACCCCATGCCGCCCCACACCACCTGGCCACAGCCCAGACCCCGGCTGCATTTGCTTTGCTGTCCGGGAACTCCAGAGCCTTCTCGGCTGACTTCTCGTGGGAACTTTGCTCCCCGCCCAGGTCCAGCCCAGACCCCGGTCCCCTCTCCGGCCTCTGTCCCACTCTCCTGCAAGACCCAACCACACGCCCAAGATGTGACGTCATCACACACAACATGAGTAACCTGGGGCCCCCCATTCACAGGCGAAGCTGACCAGTGACCAGATGTCAGGGTCAGAGGGCACAGCAAAAGCAGCCCCAGCATGATGTGGGGTCGTGGGGTCATGGGGTCCGTAGCTTCTGGGAGCTGACTTCTGGGCCCGTCTATGGTCTGGATGAGGCACAAGCTGACGTCAACAGAGCCAGCTCCTGCTCTGTGTGGGATGAGGCGGGGTCAGGTCTGCGTCCCCGCAAGGCCAGGCTGGTCCCAGGGACCCGCCCCACCCTGCAGAGCCACATTATGTGGCTCTTGGCAACGTGTAAAGCACAGCTTTCCGGCCTGTGTGTGTAAATTACTGTACATGCAGGTTCCCTGTGAAACAGGACTCGCTGTTTAACATGTGCGTCCTATAGTGAACTCATGACCCTGGCATTGATGTAGCCACACCACATCTCACAGTGCGAGAAGACACCAGGGTTATAGCTCTCAAGATTCCTACCTATAAACCCGCAGGAAGTTTTTGGAATAAAGGTGTTTGAAAGCAGCCATACCTGTCTCCCCACATTCTCCTGGAAGGCGGCCTGCGGAGCAAAGAACAAACACAGCAGGTGAGCGAGGTCAGCTTCCGCCAACACCAGAGGCAAGTTCAGAACAAACAGCACAACGTGAATGACCCACGGCTTTATTTTTTAAATAAAAGCCCTCATTGTTGGCTGAACAGAGCCTCAAGGTGCGTCACTCTGTTTTTACGTCCTGGTGCTCTTTAAAACCACAATTTAAGAATTCAAGTTTATAAAATCAGACACATCCTGAAAAGTGGCCTTTACCACTGAGCCTCCCAGCAGCACCCACGCGGAGGCCCCGGCTGTCAACTCAGAGAGACAGACAGGCAGGTTAAATCAAAGCCCAGAGCCCGAACACTCTTCCTCAGGAGTGAGGCAGCTCATGGTCACCAACTGGCACCACGTGCCGCCCTCCAGGGAGGGCGCCCTGCCCGCACCCATGGCACGGTGTCAATAGGCTCTCCAGGCCGAGTCCCAGGGCCGGGCACAGGCCCAGAGCAAGGGCTGCTGAAAAGGTCAAAATGTGAACTTCAACAGGATGAAGTGCTTCCAGGAGGCCTCTCATGTCCTCCCCAAACACCCTGCCCCCCTTAGGCGCACCGACCAGGCAGAGCAGGTTACCTGGGCAAGGTGACAACCACACCTCCCTTCCCATGTGTCACCAGCTGGTGCCCCGTCCTTCCCAAAAGCACCCGGGCTCCGAGTTCTCAGGGCTGGAGACACAGGAGACTTCAGTGTCCCAGGAAGACCCAGCAAAGTGCACCCACGGCCACACCACACACACCACCAGCAAGGGGCGAGGCCAGGGAGGCTGGCGGCTTCAGGGACCACGCTCTGGAGGAGCGACCTCCCGCCTGGCAGGATTCCTGCCAACACTCGCCTGGGGGCTTCCTGAGAGCAAGGTTGAGCGATGGCTGCTGGGAGGAGCACACACAGACGGGCACCAAGTAAGGAGCCGAACACAGCCACCCAGGGTCTGTGCCCCCACCCCCCAGGGAAAAGGAGCAGACGCGCCCACCACCTCTGGCCAATCACACAGAAACCAGACGTGCGGGTGGCTCCAAGGCAGACCCCTGGGCTGGGCTGGAGATTGGAGGAAACAGGCGCTTCACAGCAGGCTGGGAGGAGGCCTGACTGCTGCTTTGCAAATTTGTAACTTTTGTGATAAATTCATTAGGAAAGTAAGAAACAAAACCCGCCAAAAGGCAATGCAACAAAGATATACTGTAACATCAATTTAACATACACTATTAGGAAGACATGTACCATTCCAGTGGTATCTAAAAGATGTTTTAAAAATTCAAGATTTATGTGGAAAAGCACAAGCCCTAAAACAGGGAAAACAGTCCTGAGAAAGAAGACGCTGGGAGGCATCTCCCTGCCCAGTGCGAAGGCTGACTATGCACAGCAGCATCGCAGCACAGCCCGTCACACAGTGTGCGCTGGCAGAACAGACACGCAGACCAACCAGCAGAACAGAAAACACGGGACAGCATCCCCGGGACCGGGCGAGGTGGAGTTCCCAGACCTTAAGAAAGTCTTCACGTCTTAAAAAGCACTAAAAACATGAGCCACAAAAACAAAAAACTGATCGAGACCCCAGCAAAATTAAAAAATTAAAAACTCTTGCCCTATGAAGAGGACGGAAAGATGAGCTACAGACTGGGAGAAAGCCAAACGCAAATCCAACAGAGGACCAGAATCCTACATATGTAAAGAGTGCCCTAAACTCAAGAACTACAAAAAACAATCCACTTAGAAATGAGTAAAAGACCTGAGCAGACATTTCACCAAAGAGGAGGTACAGACGGCAAGTAAGCCCGTGAAAGATGCTCCACACCATCAGGCATGACAGAAACGCAGGTAAAGACCACAACGACGTATCACCACATGCCTGTCAAAAAGGCCGACACAGAAAACAGTGGCCATGTCAGACACAAGCGAGGACAGAGAAAGGCAGGGCTGCGGGCAGGTGGTGGTGCGAACGTGAATGGTGCAGCTGCTCTAGAAAGCAGTTTAAATGTCCAACTACCACGACCCAGAAACTACTCCTGGCATTTAACCCAGAGAAATGGAAGTTACACTCACACGAAAACCTGAGCACGAATGTTTACAGCAGCTTAAAGACTAGAAACCATCCTGATGTCGTAATACATGAATGGTCACACAAACCACGGCACCACTCAGCAACAGAAGCAGCAAACCAGCACCACCCACCACGCTCGGGGTGGGTCTCCAGAGAGCTGTGCCGAGAGAAGAAAGCTACAGCATTAGAGGCCACAGAGTCCATTTACACAGCATTCTCGAGATGACAGAATAGAATAGGCAACGGAGAGCCGACCGGTGGCTGCCAAGGGTCAGGAGAGGGAAACAGCAGGGACTGTGGGCAAAGCAGTAGCACAGGCCTCTCGGGAAGACAGGGCTGCTGTGTATCCTGATTGTGGTGGTGGATACGTGAATTTGTATGTGATACAATCACACAGAAGTAAACGCGTGAGCGCACGTGCGCGCGCGCGCACACACACACACACACACACACACACACACACACACAGAGTACAGGTAAAACCAAGGAAGAAGGAATAAGACTGGTGGGTTGGCTCAATGTTCTAGGCTGTGATGTTCCATTGCGGTTTTGCCAGATTTCATCATGGAGGCAATGGTGAAACACGCATGGGCTCTCCCTGCATTAGTCTTTAAAACTCCATGTAAATCTCCGCCAGGCACAGTGGCTCACGTCTGTAATCCCAGCACTTTGGGAGCCGAGGCAGGCAGATCACTTCAGGTCAGGAGTTCGAGACCATCCTGGCCAACATGGTGAAACCCCGTCTCTACTAAAAATACAAAAAGTAGCCGGGCATGGTGGTGCACGCCTGTAATCCCAGCTACTCGGGAGGCTGAGGCAGGAGAACTGCTTGAACCCGGGAGGCCGAGGTTGCAATAAGCCAAGATCGCACCACTGCACTCCAGCCTGGGTGACAGAGTGGGAGGGGAGGGGAGGGGAGGGGAGGGGAGGGGAGGGGAGGGGAGGGGAGGGGAGGGGAGGGGAGAAAACTGCATATAAATCTCAATTATCCCAAAATAAAAAGTCACAAATAGAGGTCAGACACTATGTATCAAACGAAATGCTGGAAGAAAAAGATTTAAAATCTTCTCAGTTAAATGTAGGCTTTAAGTGCCTTTACTTTAACTGTGAGTGAACGGGGCCCCATCTCCCTTCCTCATGATGAACAAGAAGCCACGACCACACCCCATCTCTACTGCCCATTCCTTCCCCGCCGGGAGACATGTCTTCTTGCAATGTCAGCACGTTTGGGGGTCTGCTAGATTCCTTCCAATATGCAGAAAAACCAGCATTCAGCAACGAACACAGCTGGAACTGTTTTCACAAACTCACTCACACACTGACTGCCTGAGTCGCCATGCTCCTGCCAATGCTGAGAACCAGCTGCAGCACCTTCCTCACAGCGTTGCTGGGAGGGTCACAAACCATGGGATGGACGACCGCGGCCAGTCTTGACATGGGAGCACCAGGGCAATGCAGGGCGTCTAGAGTTCAGGGGCAAGGGACCGTGTCCAGCCCCAAGGAGGGACAGGACTTCAACGCCTTTTGCTGCTGCCTCCTGGCCGGTGCTGAAGAGGCCTCAGGGCCTCACAGGGGTGACCTCACCCAGTGACACAGCGTCAAACAGGAAGCCAAGCTGAGCCAGAAAGACCGAGACATTGTTATCTGAAAGCAGCAGCTCCAAAAAATGATTCCCAATTATGAGGCCCTCAATCCTCACATTTCCAACTAAGCTTCAAAAAGGTGTCTTTTACCTTTGGCTGTTTTAATTTTGCAAGCTACAGGGTAAGCTAGGTGCACTCGGTGGTATTTATCAGAAAAGATTTATTGCCAATTTAAAGGGATTTTAATGTGAAAAATGATTTATATTATTTCACTTCATATTCAGGGTTCATAGAAGCCTAAGTACTTTAATTTTATTACTGCTTCCCATGAAATGTCTTAGGTTGCAGTAAAGAAAATCTAAAAGCTTAATTTAAGTACAGATTTAACATAAAATTGTATTATATTTCAAAGTCTTACATTTACTGCCTTTGGGTAAATAGCAGGGCAAAAATGTGATGATTTCCCCAAAAAATTATGAGGTTTTTACTGATGCTGAAGACAAAATAAGAGCAGCTTCAGGGACAGAGAAGAGCTTCTGAGCTCTCCTGGTGAATTCTCTCTAGTTTTAAAGGACCTGAGGCAGAGAAAGACTTCTAACTACTTCAGGATACAGAGAGCAGGCAGACCACCAGAAGCTATAGAAGATGACAG